>NC_000007.14:47209938-47512969 GCF_000001405.40 Homo sapiens | reverse complement strand
GTTTGTGGCCTGTTTGTCACGCAAAAGTTGTAATGTTTGGTTTGTTCAGATCTACTCATCTTTTCATTTAGTTCATACTCTTGTTCCTTGTTGTAGAATGTCTGCCCTTTTCCAAAGTCACAAAGATGTTCTCTGATATTTTATTCTAATAATTCATTTCAGCTTTTCCAATTCCGAATCAGTTCTATGATTGATGCATCTGAAATTCATGGTATTTCTGTTATTATTATGATGATGTTTTTCATGGAGTAACCAGTTTTCCCAGTTTTGTTGTCTGGCTCCTCCTTTCTGTCTGAGTTGTGAGGTCTCTCTCCAGTGTCATTTTCTCTCCTATAGATGAGGCCACCGCGCATGTCTGTCGGTCACAAAGTTTATTTCATACAACACAGAGTGCTGTATATCTGTTAGCCTTGCCTTTTGTAAGAACTCTCACATGTGAAATAGTTTGAGATCATAATTTTTCAATAGCTACCTAATATTTTGTTTGTATATATATGTAATTTTATCTTTTTATTGCTTAGGTAAACTATTCTTTTCATGGCAGAGAGGAATCTTGGCTATCACCCTGTTCTACTCCTAATTACAGAAGGGGAAATGTGTGCCAGAGGGGACATGACTGGCACGGATCCTTGGAGAGGGGCTGGAGTGAGCATGTGAGTTCAGACTCCTGAGGTCCCTGGACACCTGCTCCTGGTCCTGGTGTGTAGCTCATGGTAGATGTTTGCTTTAGTGGGCTCATGCATGTGGAGCCCCAGTTCTTGCACCAGGCACAGAAGAGCCTTTGCACACCAGCTCACTGGGTGTTCCAGTCCAGCTCTGGGAGGTGGGCTCTGCCCATCTAGAGCTGGGCTGGCAGCTGGTGTCACTGCTTAACCTGCTCTGTCGCCCAGGGCAGGCAGCTTCCGCTCTGTGCTGCAGTTTGCTGTTCGTGCAACGGAGTGAGAATGTGACTTTCTCCCTGGTCCCCATGGGAACAGGTGGAACAAGGCGTCTAAAGTACATGGAGCTTCGTGGAAGGCACCGTGGCAGCCAATAACGGGGCTGCATGGAAGGAGCCTCTCCCAGCCAGCAGGGCATGTGTCTTCTGCAGGGGGAGGTGCAGCGGCCGGCAGGCTCCGGGCAGTGTGCCTGGGCCCCGGTTCTGCAACCCAAGTTCTCCAGGTTCTTCTTGTGGGTCCAGCTCCGTGCTCAGAGGGGGAGGTTCCAGAAGCTGAGGCATTTTCCCTTGCTTCGTTTACAGGAGTGGGAAGGCCTTCGCCAGAAGCCCCTGGGAGAATTCACTTACCTTTCTGTTGGTCAAAGTTGGGTCCTTACCCCATTCTGAGAGCCTCAGGCAAGGAGAATGAACGGGGTTGCCCTCGCGCTGCGGGTCTCGGGCACCCACTGCTAGGGTCCTAGAAGACCCTAAAGGGCTCTTGTCAGTGTGGTTTGTATTCATCACGATTTACCCTATTAGAAATGGGAAACTGATGAGTATTTAAAATATTTAAGTCAGTTAAAAGCAATGGTAATGAACCAATTACATGTTAAAATGAACATAAGCTTAATAAAAAATAACTATGTTTCAAAACAACAAAATGAGAGGAGGTGCATTTTTTTTTGTGATTCTGTTATGCAGCCTTAATCAAGAGGCTGGTTACCCTTGCATGCAGTCTTCTGCAATGTTTGGTTTGAAGCGTCAAAGACAATCTAGCCCCATAAACATATCTACTTGGAAAAGGAGGCATTTTAATAGGCTTTTCCGGCCATTGTAGCTATTTCATTTTGATTCTACACCAGAACTCAAGTGACAGTTGCTTAAAGTTCAGTTTCACTGTGGAATCTGAAATTGTGTCAGTAGAGTTTTTCCTACGCTGTTTTATTAAAATCCACTGGCCTGTCTTGCACACCAAGTGCATCTTTTACCCGGTGTGGAACACCACGCACTGGACATTTGGAAATTATTGGTCCACTGACAATTTCGCAGAACTTCTAAATGTTGACATATTTGTTATACAATCTCAGGAAAATCCCCACATTTGTTAATAATATTGTTGATTTTAACAGAAATGTCCTAGGAGTTGTTAGGCCCTGGTGATGGGTACAAGTCTTTTTTTTTTTTTTTTTTTTAAAGACAGTCTTACTCTGTCACCCAGGGCACGATCTCGGCTCACTGCAACCTCTGCCTCCTGGGTTCAGGAGATTCTTGTGCCTCAGCCTCCCAAGTAGCTGGGATTACAGACATGCATCATCATGCCCAGCTAATTTCTTGTATTTTTAGTAGAGATGGGGTTTCACTATGTTGGCCAGGCTAGTCTCAAACTCCTGACCTCAAGTGATCTGCCCGCCTCAGCCTCCCAAAGTGTTGAGATTACAGGCGTGAGCCACCGCACCTGGCCTGGGTACTAGTCTTTTAAAATTCTAATTTTCACTTGAAATCTCAAATTTTGACATTGGTTTATGATGACAGACTCACTTCATTTTTGAGAAAATGACAAGCACTCGAGTCTGAATAACTGCATTTTGTCTGCTAGGAGTTCTTTCAAATAAAAATGACATCCCCTGAGAAGGTGGCTAGTTTAGCTGCCAGCTCACACAACTGCTATTCCAAAAAGGAGGCGGGTCTGCCTGGCTGAGGGTCAAAGTGAACACATACGTTTTGTCTTCTGGGCCTGTGTGCTTCAGAGATGGATTTTGGTGCGAAGTTCTTCTTCTGTTTTGCAGCCTCCCTTCTGGCCAGCACCTTCACAGCCCCGAATCCCTAAGTGGTGATCAGGTAATGAGGTCTCCATAGCTTGTGGGCCTGCTGGCTATGGGCTTCTGAAAGCAGACCTGGAACAGGTCAAGATTGGGACACAGTTGTCCAGCACGTGAATCCTCAGTCTCATCCACAAACCCCAGTCTCACATTAGTAAAACAGGCGAAGATAGGTAGCTTCTTTCCAGGGTGTGGTGGAAATTTGGCAATACGCATGCAGTTCAAACTTTTAGGTGCTGAGTGTATTAGCTGCCTGTTACTCGTGTTAGTGCTGCTATTGTGAGACCCTGGTCATGCACAACAGAGACGCTGTCCCTTGAGGAGCTTGCAGCCCATCGGGAGAGATGGACACAGGGAGATCATCATGATATGACAAGCCATGATGACCTGCCATGATGGTTCAGTGGCACAGAAGGGTGTCAACTCAGGAACGGAGGCAGCTGAGCCGGGCCCAGGAGGTGGGTGCAGGATGGCGTGAATGAGGAGGTGAGGTTGGTATGGGCAGGGTTAGGGCAGGCAGGGGTAGGGCAGGCAGGGGGCTGTCTCCTGTGGGCGGCAGGATAGGAAGCTGGGCCTGGGCACTGTTTGATTCATATTTTGTAATATGTCAGAAAGGCAGGGAGAGTATGGCTGGATGCAAACACTGAATTTGATGCACAGACGGGCTGGAGTCCCACCTTCATGGACCATGGCTGCCCCCTTGGCTGAGTCACCCTTACAGTTCCTCCCCGAGAGGTGCTTACGAGGAGCAAGTGCAGTAACATACGGGAAAGTATCTTGTACACTGCCTGGTGCGGTGCTGACCAGAGCTGGGCCACGGATAGATTGACGGTGGACTTGCTACTCTGAGGATTATCCATGCTGCTGACAATCGAGTGTGAAGTCCTAGTCCAAACATTTGTAAAACTTTGAGGGTCACTTGTCTACATACCAGAAACAATGGCCCTGCCTCTCAGGATTGTAGTCTTGGCTCATGGGCAGTTTATATGATTTCACTATGATAATTGAATTTAATGATTTTGCCCTACAGTGCCGATGGCTGTCTGGTGGCCGAGTAGGCCACCCACCATGAATGTATCATACCACTGCCACCCTTGCACTGACCAGGGCCATTTTTTTGTGTTGAGTTGGCGTGTTGCATGACAAATGATCCCCAAAGTTAGTACCTTAACATAGCAGTAAGCATCTGTTATCTCCCACTGTGTCAGTGATCAGGAATTTGGGACACAGGTGACTGGGCAGTTCTGGCTCAGGGTCTCTGGAGAGGCTGCACCATCTGAAGGCTTGGTTGGGGTTGGAGACCAGCTTCCGAGGTGGCACACTTCTGTGGCTGGGAAGCTGGGGCCAGCTGTTTGTGGGAAGCCTCAGTTCCTCTCCATGGGGGCCTCTCCACAGGGCTGCTTGAGTGTCCTCACAACATGGCATCTGGCTGTCCTCAGAATGAGTGATCCTGGAGACCAGGACAGAAGTCACGATGTCTTTTAGCCACAAAAGTCACACACCATCTCCTCTGCCAGGTTGCACTGTCACACAGCCCAGCTGATTCACTGTGGGAGGGGGCTATACACCAGCATGGGGGCCAAGAGACGAGGTCACCCAGGCCATCTGGAAGGCTAACCGCTGCATGATGTCGTGGTCCTGTGACATGCTGCTAGACGTGTGTGGGCAGAATTCTTTGCCTGACTCTCACTCAGCCAGAGGCCAGAGGCCTGCCCACCGCCCTTCTCCTTATCTCAGTCCTTTGTGCTGGCCTCTGCTGGGGATGGTTTCTGTCTGGACTTTTAATCTTGTGTGGAAGCCCCTTGTTTCCCAATGGCAAGTCTCTCTTGATTTGAAAATCACTGATCACCTTTGTGTGTTTTGCCCATCAGAAGGTGTAGGATAAATACATGTCTTTGTGAATAATCTTACAAACCTCAAGGTATAGAATGACAATTCAGCAATTCAAAAATATAGATCATACAAAGATAACAACCTAGCTGTAACTACTGGAGTTCTAATAATTGCCAGGCAGTGGGCAAGTGACCTTATCTGTTTCATCCTCATTCAACCCTACACAAACCTTTTTGACTTTGACACATCATAGAAAACAGAGTGCAGGAGGGGGAGTGAGACATTGATTAAATTCACGGGGTGTTGACACGCAGAGCTGGGATGTGGGGCCCCTCTCCCTGACTTCTGAGGCCTTGGTCTTCAGGTCCCACACACTTCTGCATGTGGACATTGCTTTCTAGTTTCAAAGCAGGGTCCCTTGAAGGATTCCATTTGACCCATGATAGCTCCGTGGGAGGAAGCAGAGACCCAGCTTGAGGGGCAGAGCCTGGATAGGAGGCTTTGGTCACTGTTCCCCAACCCAGGTCTCTTTCCCTCCTCCCACAGCTGTCCCTGTGGGCTGGCAAACGTGGGGGAAGGGAGGGCATGTACCCGACGTTCCCTTGGAGCTGGCACAGGAGGCTGTGTTGGGATTATTAGGTGTTGTTGCTTCATTTCTCTCTCCCTGTCCTGCAAGGCCTGCCTGCAGCATGCCCGTGGTGCTCGTGGGGAGGTTTATGCCTCATGATCACAGCTGCAGCCTCTGGGCAGAAGGGCCTGTGAAATCCGCATTGGTTCCAGCTCTGCATTGCATTGTTAGGGCCTCCGAAGGGACACAGGACTCGCTCCGTTCACACAATGGCCCCTCTGGAAGGATTCTCCTATAGGAATTTAGACATGAATTTATTCTGACAGTCAGTTCTCAGGTTGGCCGGAAGTGGAAGCACTTCCGAAATCCAGATGCACGACTTTCTCACAAATTTAAAGGCTCCCATCCGGTCTTTCATGGACACTTTAAATTCTGATTCTTAAGGGGCATCTTCCAGTTTCTCTTCTTTTTTCAGGGATCAGCTATAATTTCTGGGCACACACGAATGCATTCTGCTGCTGAAATTCACTATTCTTCTTTAGGGATCCAGTTCGGCTGGACGTACATACCCCTTGAAAAACCAATCTGCTCATGACCCCTTGAAAAACCAATCTGCTCATGACCGTGCTCCCAAGACATTCCTACCTGAGCCACCTGAGCTGTTGCTAACAGACAACAGTTGTAACTCTGCTCTTGCACACCATGTCCTCACTGCCTTCTGTCCACACTGCCGTGTGTCATATGTAAAAATCTCTCTCGTGCCAGAGAGAGGCCACCTATGGGATCTTCAAGCCAGAGACTCTGAAGGATTGAGAGGGTTTGAAGATGTAAGAATTCTTGCTAGAGAGACTGCTTGACACACATTCTTTCTCTTTTTTTTTTTCCCAGCCTGCAAGTATTCCTGCCACAAGAAATGTGAAGCCAAGGTAAGCATTCCGTTGCTTTCCCATGGGACTTTTTATAGCTGACTTGGCCTTCATTGAATGATATGTGTGGGGGGGCCTCTTTGGACTGCAGCCACGGAAAGAAAACTCTTTAGGAAAGCCAGGGCTGGGGTACGGTGTATACTTTTCATCTCAAGGATAAACCAAAGAGCTTTGAAATCCACGGTTTTGATTATGGAAAATAATTCTTAAGAATTTGATTTCAGATAAGAATTCAATAGTTGTCCCCTGGCCACATCAACAGCTCCTTCTCAGTGGCACATGGTCCCTGGTTTCTCACTGCCTTGTCATACTGCCTCTCGGTGGAGAGAGGGCAGGAGCAGGGAGGTCCAGGGCATTCCCCTGGCCTGGAGACTTTTCTGCCTCATTTTGGAGATAGTTGTGCATAGACGGATTGGGGTTTTCAGCTGCCACGGAAACCTGGGAACCCTGGAGTAAGGTTTAGTGATGTTCACTGAGGTTTGTGAGTCTCTAGAGAGGTTCAATTGCCCGATGGCCTCTATGACCAAAGGAGGCCTGGCTATGTCCTGTTGGGCTTAGGGTTTTGGTGAGTGGGGAAGTGAGGTGGCCTGGAAGTGCCGTGTGGGAAGTGACAGACACCCCAAGGAAGAAGCACATGGTTTTCTACGTTGTCTTGGTGCTCGCACCTTCAGATCTCCTGGGGATGGTGGCTGTACTTACGGAATCCCCAAGTATGATTTGGGTCTGCAGTCGGGGTGTCAGCAGTGTTTTGCCCCATCTACTGTTTGGCCCTGCCTATGGGGGCTCTGTAGGTGCCCTGACAGGTTGTCCCCATGGCTGTAGGTCCAGGGAAGAGGAGTTTTAGAGTCTTGGGATTTTGCTACTGTTACAGACCTCATGGGTCAGCTGTTTTGATCATTTCCAGCCCTGCCTTCGGCTCCGAGTGGAAGGCTATGCTGGAAGCTGACTTCATGTTACCATGAACTCACTGCATGTGGGTCTGTTTTCCATGTGAGGACTAGGGCGGCTGGTTTCCCCGACCCTCCCGATCTCAGGCATACACAAACACACACATGAGTAAATACACACATGTGCATGCACATAAATACACATGCATGCACATAAATACACATGCACACAAACACATTTGTGCTCACACGCATACATGCATATGTGTGCACAGAAATACACACACACACACACACACACAAAGTTGGAAGAACTAGACTAGTATAGCTCTATTTCTTTTCTCCCAAGAGACTTTTTAAAGTCTTCATTATGGAGAATGCCGAGCACGTGCAGGAGCAGAGAGGATGGCACAGGGCCTTGCTGCCCCCTTCCTGAACCCCAGACCAGCAGCCCCTGTGACCTGGCCACACCTCCTTGCTGGCTGCCTCCTTCAGATGTCATGTGGGGTGCACTTCTCGGGCCTCCTGGGGGCTGTGTGGAGCGCTTCTCCTCTTGCTTTCCACCCTGCTCTGGAGAGGGCTTCCCCTTTTCCAGAGGAGTGGGCATTTCTTGTTCACACACTCCTAGGCGTAGCTGATTTCTGACCGTGGTTTATTTGAGGTTTTTTGTCCACAGATAGGCTCCTTTCCTGGGGTGCTGTGCACCTTCAGTGGTGTGGGAGCAGTGCTTCTGAATGCAGTGGTGAGTGGGAAGATTGTACCTTTGGGGGAGCATTTCAGACTTGGAGAGCTTCCCCCTCCCCTAGGAGGACTGGGATGTGTTGTCCCTCACCCCTGTTGTATGGTGCCTTTGTCCGCATTGCTTGCACCTTGGGTCGGCTGCGGAGTAGGAGGAGGGGGTGGGCTGCTTGTCCTGACTCTGTTGTGGGCCCAGCCACCTCTGAGCCACAGCCGCAGAGATGAGCCTGCTGTTGTTCCTTCCATTTCTTAAATGAAGCCTGTCGCCGGCTGCTTAAGGGATTGAATTCTTTGGTTCAAAGTGTATTCCAAAATCCTTAACTATCACTGAATATGGAATTTCTAACGGCAGCAATTGGCAGTTTGCTGAGGGATGGATAAGCTCTTATTCCTATCAGATCACAGTGTGGGGAAATATATCCGTGTTCATTTTTTTTATAATACAGCTTTGAACCACAGGGGAGAAAGCCCCTGGCAATAACAAAGCACCTTCTCATTCCAAAAATATAATGCCGTCGTTGTTGGGGATATGAGGGCCATAACTCCCCAGCTGCTCCTGCAGGGTATGTGGCTAAGGGAGCCGCTCGGTCTTCCAGGAACTGAATATGGCTGTGGCTTCTCCCACATTATTGCACTCGGCTTTTGAGTCCTTCATTACTGTGTTTACATATATTGCCCAGTGGGCTCCTTAGACGCTGCACTCAGATTGCTCAGGCAAGTATGAAGCCTTGGTTCAGCTCATAGGCTTTGGTCTGGCATCAGACCCAAGACTGGGTGGTAGCGTGTGCTGTGTTAAACCCCCTCGATGGTGTTCCCCTCTGTGTGGGAGCACTTGCGCCTGTGTCTACAGGCTCCACACATGCCCTGGAGCATGTGGCTGGTGTGTGGTGGTGCTGTTGATCTGCTGCTGTCAGTGACATTGTCACAGGCTCCTCCCATCCAGGCCCTCAGAGCCCCTTCTGTGGCACTGACAATGTGGAGAAACCATCCTGCAGAAATGGGGACCGAGACAGCAGCTGGGGACCTGCCTCAGGCAGGGAGGCAGAGCCATCGTTGGGACATTTTGAGAAGCGCCAAAAGACTGCTATCACTCTCTTCTTGAGCCATTGGACAGTATGTCCTCTCAGGCCAGGCCATGCAGCTCAGTGGATGGATGGAGGCAGAGACCTGGACTTGGATCCCAGTGGGGCTTTTTGTCTCCTGAAGCCTTTCTAGTCCCCCTTGCTATGGTCTTGATGTTTGTGTCTCCCCCAGATTCCTGTGTTGAAACCTGACCCCCAAGGTGATGGTAGCTGGAAATGGAGGCCTTTGGGGAGATGATTAGGTCGCGAGGGTGGAGTGTCTATAAATGAGATTAGTGCCTTTATAAAAGGGACCCCAGAGAGATCCCTTACCTCTTCTGCCATGAGCATACATGGCAAGAAGGCACCCTCTATGAACCCTGAAAAGGGCCCACACCAGACACTGAATCTGCTGGTGCCTTGATCTTGTACTTCCCAACCCTAGAACCTTGGGAAGTATATTTCTGTTGTTTATAAGCCTCCCAATATTTTGTTATAGCAGCCCACATGGACTTAGATAGGCCCTGAGCCTCACTTTCTTCCTGCATAAAAAAAGTGAA
Organism: Homo sapiens; assembly: GCF_000001405.40. Classification (NCBI taxonomy): domain Eukaryota; kingdom Metazoa; phylum Chordata; class Mammalia; order Primates; family Hominidae; genus Homo; species Homo sapiens. The sequence goes on along the minus strand of NC_000007.14, from coordinate 47,503,660 downwards.
TAATAGGTTTCTGTAATAAACAGAAAAATAACTTTCTCTTAGCTGTTGGTTATGTTAATACTTAAGTTTCAGGGAAGTCACATAATGTATGTACAATCACTTGAAAGTTTGGGATTTCAACTGTTTTGCTTCCTGGAATGCAGTGCTTATTCATGTGAGCCACATGAGCTGTGTGGGCATCATGACTTGCTTTTTTCCTGGCTGTCACTTGACTTACTGGCAAGAGTGAAAAAAGAAGTAGGAGAAATGAAGCAGTTGTAGGAAAGCAGATGTTGGGGAGGGGAGAAGGGGGAGGAAAGGGTGGCAGGTGGTGCCCCCCTGAAGGAAATGAAGGGGAGCTTAGGCAAGCAGATGGAGGCATGGGAATCCTATCCTTGAAACCTGCAGCCTGGCATCATGGTGAGATGCCTCTTCCGCCTCTGCCCACTTGCAGACACATTTGCTCCTTAGAGTTGCACTTTGTGTAGGGTATTGAGTATCATCTTGAATCATCAGAGGTGAAATGGACCTGCAGATAATTTTTTTGTAAACTTAAGACCCCACGTAGGGACCATACGCAGGAGTTAGTGAGGGGAACATGCGCAGGAGTAATGTTGGGGAGATGCCCTGCACAGGGTCCCGATGCGCAGCTCCCCCTTTAATCCAGGAAAAACACAGAACCTCCTACCACCTGGGCTCCAATGCTCTCAGACCCCCTGGCTCATCCTCAGCCTTTGCAGCCTGGCTGCGAAGGTCCAGCTTGCTGTTTCTCTCTCTGCATGTGCCTCGGTTTGCACCCTTCTTGGATATAAAATACAGGAGTGCTGGTGTTGCCTCCTTGCTGAGTCTGTAGAAGGAGAGTGCAGCAAGAGGAGAGAGGTCCCAGGCTCTGTCCAGCCTCTTGGCTCCTGCAGGTGGCCTCAGCATCTTCTTCCACTGTCCCGGTGCTACGTCTGGGCACTTGCCAAGCCAGGAGCCTTTCCCCGCTCTCCAGCTGGCTGCTTGAGGGAGAGAGAACTTTGTGATAGGCTTGCTGCTCTTTTTAAGCTGAGACTACAGGAGGTCCTGGGGAAGTCAGCGGAACCCCCTGCTGCCCTCATCGCCTGCTGCCCTGGGGGCCTTTGCTGGGCTCTCCCATCAGGGATCCCCATGTCCTGGCTGCGGCTGATGCAGGAGCTTTTTCACTTCCACCAGACAGGCCCAGGGCAAAGACTTGGTCCTCTGCCATGGAAAACACGGGACCTAGAGTTTATGGCTTCTTCAGAAACTGTCCCTAGACATTCATCCTGGGCGTCAACAGACGCTCAGTGGCCTAACTGATAAGTTTCAACCATTAACTTCTGTCTGGCAGTTAACTTTCATCTTCAGATCACTCCTTTTCTCTGCATGCTAAGAGCCGCAGCTGCCGTGCAGTGGGATACGGGCCTGCTGGGTCCCAGGGATTGACCTCTCCAGCCCCCTCTCCCCATTGTCTGATGAAAAACCTCGAGACCCCAGGGAGGTGAAACAACTTACCTATTGTCACCTAGCTTCTGGGCCCAGAATTCATGGGCGTTGCATTTCAAAGTTCTGATTTTTGCTGTTCCATGTGTTCTTTTTGGTGCTTTGCCATCTTCATGTATCAGAAATGGAGCTGAGGTTTGTGTGGGTGACTTTAGCCCACCTTGCTCGTATGCCTACAGAACCTACTATGCCTCTTGTGAACTCCAGCTCCAGGGCCAACTTCTCTAAAACACGAGTTGAGCGTCTCTCCCGCTTGGCTTGGGGCTCACTCCTCTTGGGCTGCATCTCTATTTCTCTCTCATGAAATGATGCCTGAGAATTCTCTGACTCCCGCATGGCTCAGGCCTCTTCTTCCCCATGAAGGCTCTGCTCATACATCCGTGGCATCTTGTCCGAGACTCCCAGTCCTCCCACGAGACAGTGAGCAGGGGCAGTATCTCTCCCCAATTCCCATAGCTCTTTGCAACCCTGCAGGGGCCTCGGCTGTCGCAGCTGTGCGTTTCTGTTTTGGACCTTCTCACCCGTGCACAAGGAGGGAGGCTGTGGGAGCTGCTGCTTTGCTGACCCTGAGCTCTCGGTTACTGCATTCTTTGAGCCTGTCTCATCTTCCATGTCCAGACCTTACCCTGTCTAGGGCCCCAGAGCCTCCACTCTCCAGCATCCCACCAGCCAGCTCCGCTCTGCTCAGGGCAGGGGCCTGTCTTTCCTGCCAGCACACAGGCCACGGAGGCTGCAGACTCTCGTCCCCACCTTCAGCAGGGTTGGTGCTCCCTGGGCTGTTGGTGGAGGATGGAATCTGGTGAAGCTCATTGCCACAGCTTTTAAGGTTGGGGTGTCAGCTTTGACCTCCCCAAAAGGTGTAAGTAGTGGCCTTTCTTCATATGGTCTTCACTAGGAATGAATGATCTGAATTTGCTAGTAACAAGGCCTAATAAATTCTTTCTTTCTCTCTTCCTTTCTCCCTCCCTCCCTCCCTCCCTCCCTCCCTCCCTTCCTTCCTTCCTCTCTTCCTCCCTTTCTTTCCTTCCTCCCTTCCTCTCTTCCTCCCTTTCTCCTCTTCTCCCTTTCTCCCTTTCTCTCTTTCTCTCTTTCTGTTTGTCTTTCTTCCCTCCGTCACCCGGGCTGGAATGCAGTGGTGCGATCTTTCACAGCAACGTCCACCTCTTGGGTTCAAGGGATTCTTCTGCCTCAGCCTCCCAAGTAGCTGGGGTTATAGGCGTGTGCCAACACGCCTGGCTATTTTTTTTTAATTTTTATTTTTAGTAGAGACGGGGTTTCACCATATTGGCCAGGCTGGTCTCAAACTCCTAACCTCAAGTGATCCACCCACCTTGGCCTCCCAGAGTGCTGGGATTCTAGTGTGAGCCATTGAGCCCAGCCAGGACCAATACGTTTTTCATAACCAAAAGGAAAATCCCTGGCCCTGCGTGTAAAAGCTCTTTTGTTGTTTGTGAGTTCATCTCTTTCCTGCCCCTATTTGTACCCTTTACAATAGCTTCAGGAAGATGGTTACTCCCTCTGAACTCAGCTTCTTCATTTGAGCATAGGATTTTTAGGGATGTCATGAGATACATCTCTCCATGTCCAGCCTGTGCAGAAGGAATGCCACTCAGTCAGCGCTGTTGAGGGATCTGCAGGACCCTGCCGAGTGCTTTAGATATGCTCTGTCATTTACTCGTCACACTTCTGTCTGAGGAGGCTTGTTCTGCTCCCTCTTACAGGTGACAGGGCTGGGACCGAGCAGTTGCATCTCTTGCTAAAGCCTGCGATGGTCCTGCCCCAGCTCACGCGGCCAGCACGGGCTCTGCCTCTCTCTGCCGTCTCAGTAAATGTTTACACGGGCATCCCTTCTCCTCCCTCCCCACTTCTTGCTCTAAGGGCGGAGGCAGTTAATTTTTAAGCCAGCCAGTTCAGCAGACATTTCCTGAGGGTAGCTCTCGGCCGTGCACAGAGCTGGACCCAGATGCAGCGTGCTGTCCACAGGGAGCTTCTGTCTGCAGCCCCACAGGACGAAATGAGAGTCTGATTCTGCCAGATGATTGCAGGTCTCCACCTATGTTTGCCAAGTGTGTGTGTGTGTGCGTGTGTGTGTGTGTTTTAATGTTTGACAGCTTTTAAAATGGTTTTTAAAATTAGAAGATGTTATTTTTAGAGCAGTTTCAGATTTGCCGCAAAATCGAGGGGAAAGAACCGAGGGCTCACACACACGTGCTTACATGTACACACGCATGCATATTCACGCACAGAGACACACACTCTCCTGCCGTCAGCATCGCCGCACCAGAACAGCACATTTGTTAGAATTGATGAGCCAGTATTGATGAGTCCACAGTCTACGTTAGGGCTCACTCTGGGTGTTGTACATTCCATGGGTTTGGACAGGTGCATGATAAGTGACATCCACCATGACAGTACCGTATGGAGTAGTTTCGCTGCCCTAGAAATCCTCTGTGCCGCGCTTCTCTCTCCTGCACCCCGGCAGCCGCTGACCTTTTCACTGTCTTCATAGTGTTGCCTTTTCCAGAATGCCATAGGGTTGGAATCATACATGTGTAGCCTTTTCAGATGGGCTTCCTTCACTTGATAATATGCATTTAAATTTCTTCCCTGTCATTTCTTGGCTTGATAGCTCATTTCTTTTCAGCTGAATAACACTCTGTCATCTGGATGTGCCACAGTTTACCCTCCATTCACCTACTCAAGGTGGGTACTGATTGGTGGCTTCCATGTCTTTCTTTTTTGCTAGTTGTCACTACTGTCAGAAGAACCATGAAGCATCCTTAAATTCTGCTCTTTTTGAGGACACTTTTATTCCTTTTCCTGTAAGATCCCTTTTCTGGTAGGCTGTCCTCACCAATCATTTTTGACTCATTTTAATTAGAAAGTCACTTTACACATTAACACCTTACTAGAGGCATGTTTATACCTGTGTCTCTTTTTCTACTGGGAACTATTACTCCTGACTCCCAGAGTCTGGGAAGTGGCCCCACTGTGTGAATCCCATCAGCCAAGGCCACCATGTGGGCTCTAGGCTCACTCTCAAAGTCAGCAAGCCACATTTGGCTTTTCATGTCAGCACAATTATACTTTGTACAAAAGAATTAAGGTTTCTAAATCCCTAGTAATCTGAGCCTCAATCAGAGGCATTCATTGTGGACTTCTAGGCCTTTCTTGGACTCGAAGGTGGCCAGCAGGACCAAGCCACTGTCAACTGAGGAAGTGCGTCAGCTGGGCGACACCAGCTGCCAGCAGCTCGGGGCCTTGCCCTGTGGGGCTCTGCTCCTTGCACCGTCTCGGCATCTGCGGGGCTTTATGGTGACCCTGCTGGCATTCCACAGGCTGGGAAGTCACTGAGTTCGCCACTTTACACCAGAGGAAACAGGTCTTTGAAACTGGTGGTGACCTTTGGCCGGGCTGACGGGACCATGTTGGCTGTCTGGTTATGAGTGAAGTTCTCGCCCTGTGATGGCAGGTTTGTTTTTTAGTGCGGCATAAGTGTAAGCTATATTTGTGTAGGAAGTCCTAGCCCTGCCCCAAAAAGAGGCCAAAAGAGAATTATGATCTTTTGAAACAAGATATTTGTTTTAAATAAATAATATAATTTTAAAATGTATCCTGTGTTTTCTCTGAATCATCAGTTTTCATTCCACATTGTGTTGTAACAGATGAAACAACACATACCTGGAATGAATCTGCACCTATTTGCCACATCATTTTAACTACGTGGCCAGTAACCTAATTAGCAGCTCTGCAGCCAGCATCTGTATCTGTGTCCTGGGCAGGAGGCTAGAAGGTGCAGCCGGAGGGAGAATGTGGGTCCCTGCATCCTGCACGTGGCTCAGGCCAGGCCTGTCTGCCTTGACTCTCGGCATCTGTGAAATGAGGGTAACTTTCCATGGCACTGTGGTTACATGGGAGGGTAGGAGGCTGTTGGCAAGGGCACCCCGTGCCTGCAAGTGTGTTTTATTGATTAAACTAGGGCTTTCGAGGTGCCCTGGAAATCTTCTTCTGAACCCCACCTCTGTGTCTTTTGACCAGTTCTAACCTGAGAAAGAAGCTCTCCCTGCAGAACCTCCATTACTTGAGAAATAATTTGGACAAGCGTGCTGTTGGTTAAGGTTCACTCCCCACCTCCACCCTGCGGGATGTTGTTGGGTGTCTGTTTACCAGGGGTGTCACGGAGGAGAGAAGGGGCCAGCTGACCTCATGCAGCCAGGCTCTGATGACAGAGTGGGACACCCAGAGAAGATGAGGCCCCTGAATTCAAAACAGATGCCACTTTCATGGTGACAGTAATGAATGTTTGAGTGACTGCCCTGACTGGGTCAGATAGACCAGGGTGGGGAGCCCGGTCCTGGAGGGAGCCCCATATAGCTCGAGGGGCAGGGGACAGAGCAGCAAGGCCAGGCATCCATGGGCACACGTCGCTCCAGTGTAAACAAAAACAAAAGAAAAGAGCACGCGGTGAACATTTCCTGCTCTGTGTGTGTGTGTGTGTGTGTGTGTGTGTGTGTGTTCCATACGTGAAACTCTGTACTAGGCGAATACTTATTTTCTCTTGCCTGGCCTCTTTGGGAGAACAGAAGTACAAAATGGAAATTTGCATGTGTAGCTCTCAGAAGCAGCTTCTGAAACTTTGAGGACTCATAAAAGAGAAGAATGAATAACAGACCTGGGTCTGGATCCTGACTCTGCTTTGTCTTACCCATGTGACCTTGGGCTTCAGTTTCTTCCTCTATAAAACAGGAATTAACCCCTACTAAGAGGACTGCGGAGAACTGAATTCAACAGCTCCCCAAGCACAGGGCCTGGTGGCTTCTGCAGGAGTGCTCTTTTCCCCTTTTAATACCTTAATCTGCATCATTGTATTAGGAATCACTGTAGATGTCTACAGTGTCAGTTGCTGGAAACTACTCTTTCTGCAGTTGTGGTACTGACGCTAGTAGATTTATTTCATGAAATGTTGCCTACCGCTAGCATAAATCACTATGCATTTTATTTATTAACTGTTAAATGACAAGAAAGTATATATATTTTCTAAATTTTCTTCTGAGAATGGGGTCTGCTCTTTTAAGCAAACAAATTCCATTTAGTGGGCTTAATTAGTGCCTCAGACTTAGCCTGAGGCCCACCTGAAAGTGGTTCCATATGGCTAATGGCAGAGCCGTGGGCTTAATATTTTCTGACACTGGAATCCAAGTGCCTCTTGCTCGATGCTGCCTTGGTTCTGGCCAGCTCTGTGACCTTTCCCCTGACTGGCTGCCCTTCTTTCTACTCCCCCCAGCCTCCTGCATTTGCACAGGCTCACCCTGCCTTGGCTCACCCCACAGAGGACTTCCGTAGTCCTGGCCCACATCGCTGCAGCCAGGGTATCTGGGCCTAGGGCAGAGCTGGGTGCTGCAGGTGTCCCTGCCTGCTTGGTCTTGGACTTCTGATGTGATTTCCCACAAGCCCCTGACGAGCAGGTACAGATGCATCCCCAGCCCTCCGCCTCTCTCACCTGTGCCTGGCGTTCTGTACTGCGTGTGCGTGGACTCTCCCACTCAGACTCTGTTTGCGTTGGCCACCATCGCTTTTACTCCCGCTTCTCTTGAAACACGTTCTGGCCGGTGGTGTGCAGATGAGGGTTTATACCCTGCTGGGGGTGCAGCGGGCTGATTGGCAGCCTCTGCTGATTCCCCTGGTGAAAATACCTCACCTCCCCCCGCCTGCTTCCAAGCTACCAGCCTGACATTAATCAGCTTGAAACACTCCTGAAAATGCCATTTGGCTCCAGCACCTCCTGCCCATCAGCTCTGGTCACAGGGGAAACGTCCCTCCTTCCACACATGTGGCCCCAGGTGCTCTTTCTGCTGACTCTGGCTGCCATCTGCAGGAGCCCTTGGCCCCTTTCTAGAAGACCCCAAACTCTGTATTCCCCTGTGTGAGCTCACATCCTGTTCAGTGATGTCCTTTTTTGACGTGCTTATCTTACTACCCCTTTTTTCAGACCACCATTCAGTTTTTGAACTGCTCAGAGTCTATAATGTATGCTTCCTCCCATTATCCTGTCACCCCTCCTCCAGGCTCACTGGGGTCCTCTCCTCTCCTCAATCCAGGGCCTCTTCACCTCTGGGCTTCTGGGCTGGGTGGCATCGGGGCCTCTCCCCAGCCCTGTGGCACCGTGTGCTCCTTCTGGATCACAGCTCTTCCTCTCTGACCCTGCCTCTGGCTCTGTCCAGGTTAGAAATCCACTTGTCATAATGTGTGTGGTTTCGTCCACTGCTCTCCTGAGTGGTCTGTCCTTACCCCTTCCCTCTGCCGAGATGGAGGAGGAAGGTGTGCTGCAGTTGGGGAGCTGCAGAACGGCCTGTTCTCTTTCAATGTTTAGACACCATATGCAGTGCATCTTTTTAAAATTTCTACTACAGTCATTCTTCCACATGGATGCCACCCACCCTGGCATCTAGCAATGTCATCTCTGCAGAAGCTTATCTCCGGGACTTTCTGGCAGTCCTGGGCCCTGGCTCTGGCTGGGAGACTGCATTCTGGCTCTGAGTGTAGGTTCCCAGTGGGATCTTGTTCCTGAGACCTCTCTATGGCCCGTTCAGACTCAGGTCTTCCAGAGCCTGAGTTCAGGCTGGGAGAGGTGTTGGAAGCCCGCCCCTGTTGGGACATAACCATCCCTGTCAGGCTAGGAGAGACCTCTGCAGGCCTCGTCCTCAGGGCGGGGGTCGTGGCCCTGTGCCCACCATACTTCCAGATACCCCACTCTGTCTCGTGCAGCCCCTGCCCCAGACGCTGCCCTCTCATGTTGTCAGCGTGTGTGTCCATGAGTCTCAGCCCCCTAGACCACAGGACAGGCACTTAGTTGATGTGCGGCACTGAAGCCTGTGCTCTCTGGCGACTGCACCAGTGTTGCTGTGCATGCGCCTTCATGCCTCTCATTGAGACATGGCTTCACGTTCCATGGGGAGAAGAACGTTTCTTTTTTTTTTTTTTTTTTTTTGAGACGGAGTCTGGCTCTGTCGCCCAGGCTGGGGTGCAGTGGCGCAATCTCGGCTCACTGCAAGCTCCGCCTCCCGGGTTCACGCTATTCTCCTGCCTCAGCCTCCCGAGTAGCTGGGACTACAGGCGCCGGGGAGAAGAACGTTTCTAATCAAACCGCTGGCTTTATTTTTGTGGGGCTACTTCTGAAGGGTAGGTTTCCTAGTGAAGCCCCCATTTCTTCTTTTTTTCAGCCACATTTTTATCAGCGGGGCCAAAACCCATAACGAAGCATTCAAATCCCCACCTCCAGATTTTGAATTGTAAAATAAAACTTGTTTCACCATGGGTTTCCCCTTCCCCCCTTTTGTAAAGCAGTTAATTTTAGGCAGGGATTCAGGAAGTGCCTACTCCCATTTTCTGTCAAGCACAGAAATAGCTCGCGGGGCGCCCTCTCTCCGCCTCCCGGGAGCAGCTGGCGGAGTTCATTTTTGTGTGTTTCTAGGCATTTCAACTCCTGCCTTTCTGCGCACTGTGTGTGTGTCTGTGCACCCTCAACTCCAAATTACCCTGGAACTTTCCGAAGCCCGCAGGCTTCCTTTCTGTTCTTAATAAAGCGGTGTGCAAGGATCTGAGCTGTTAACCCTCCCTTATCACTGGAAACTGCCCCCTGTTCAGAAGGTCTTTAGAATAACAAACTCACAACTGTGTCTTTCAGGGGAGGTGGAGTGGATAGAATGGCTGAATGGTTGCAATACTGTGATGTGAGAAATTCTGCTTTCAGAATCTTTATCTAAAACCTTTCGCTTTTTCAGAGGTTTCTTTACTTCTAAAAAGCATTTGGAGGGGAGTCGATTGAACCTCAGGAGGTTGGTTAGAAAGCTTAGCACTGCCCAGCAAGAGCTGGAGTGGCCCAACCTTGAACAATGGGTGGGGTCAGTAGGAAGTAGACTTGTGGGCATTTTAAAGGTAGACCTGTTAGGATTGGCATACCCACCCGGTGGGTCAGAGGCACGGCTTGTGAGTAATCCTTAGGTTTTGAATTTGAGACACTGGGCAGAGAGGAATGCCACTGGCAGGATTTTGTGAACAGGGGTGGAAGTTTAGCTTTAGACCTGCAGGAACCAGTTTAGGTTTCATGGAATATGTTTATGTGGACATTAGAGTTAAATGGAATGCCATTATCAAGATTTTGTGAACAGGGGTGGCAGTTTAGCTTCAGACCAGCAGGAACTAGTTTGGGTTTCATGAAATATGCTTATGTGGACATTAGAGTTGGCCAGTTGGCCATTTGCAGCTCAATGCTTAATTTTAAAAGATTTGATAAGTTGTGAGCTCTTAGGGTTTCTCATGTTTTCTTTTCTTGTCAGCTTTTTTTTTTTTTTGAGACGGAGTCTCGCTCTGTTGCCCAGGCTGGAGTGCAGTGGCGCGATCTCGGCTCATTGCAAGCTCCGCCTCCTGGGTTCATGCCATTCTCCTGCCTCAGCCTCCCAAGTAGCTGGGACTACAGGCGCCCGCCACCATGCCCGGCTATTTTTTTTTTTTTTTTTGTATTTTTAGTAGAGACAGGGTTTCAGCGTGTTAGCCAGGATGGTCTCGATCTCCTGACCTCGTGATCCACCCGCCTTGGCCTCCCAAAGTGCTGGGATTACAGGTGTGAGCCACCGCGCCCGGCCTCTTGTCAGCCTTCTTTAGAGCAAAGGACAGTTGGTAAAACCCAAACTGTTCATCATGTGATTGTTAAACACTCTTGCCAAAATGTATTTCAGGGAAAATTTCTCTGGTGCCTACCTTTGTGGAATTTACCATTTTCTTCCCTGAATAACTGTTGTATGTTTATACCTTTTCTTCCATTTTAAACTGAATTTCGAAGGCAACTGCTAATTCTTTCTCATCTCCGAGTGCCCCGAAGTGTGATATTTGATATGCCATTCTGCAATGAATGAATGAATGAGAGGTTGAGACAACTGACCCAAAGTCTGGCGAAGTGACCAGCTCACTTATTTGTGCTATTCCTTTTCTTTACGGATGACCACTGAACATTGACTGTCAGAGCTCTGCGCTTCACTCTGGAGGGTGGTTTTATTCGAGATCTGGGCATCCCCTCCCTAGGGGTGACCACTTCCTCTGCCTTGTCATTAGCAACAGGTCAGTGGAAGCCAGGGCTTGATATGAAGAGCCTGCTATTGATTTCATATGGAAACCTCAGATGCCACAGACCCCCAAGAAGCAGGAGCTGGGGGTGGCATTAGCTGATGTCATCGCCCGAGGCTCTGCTCCCTGTGAGCTCAGTGCCGTCCTGATGAACGGGCCTTGGCTCTCACAGGCAGTGGGAGCTCCTCCTGCTCCAGAGCTCCATGTCCGGAACCCCGCCTTTCTCAGCATGAGGCTGGCGTGGTTGAAAATACAAACACCTGCTTGCCTGCTCCCTGGTGGATGTGGGGCCCACCCCTCATTTTAAAAGCCTCGGAAAACTGTGCTTTGTTTTAGTGTTACTGCCTCCTTGGACCTTTTCCTTTAAAATAAGAAGAGGATATTACAAAATCACAGGAGCAGAGGGTCATAACATTTCTGTGCTCTTCTCTTGAAGCAGAAATAAAAGCACATCTTATTTGTGTGTCTCCTGAAGAAGGGGCCTTGCCACTGGGCCTTGAGGCACAGGCACCTGCCCAGTAGGAGGTGGGCAGGTGGTTTTCCAGGCAGAGGGAGCAGCCTGGGCTGAGGCTCACAGGTGGGAGGTAGGGTTAGGCAAGGGAGTTGAGCCTGGACTATGTTGGCTGCAGGTGAGGAAAGAGGATAAGAAGAGATCAGGTGTGGGGAGCTGACAGTGCCAGGCCCTGGAGTCTACCGTGCGGCAGGCAGGGCAGCCTGCCGATATGCGGCTGTGTCCTCCATGAAGGCCTGCGCACCAGGCACATGGGCTCCAAACCCAGCCTTCCTGCTGCTGGCCAAACAGAGAGCTGTGGTGAGGGGCTGCCCCCACTGTGGGGTGGCCAGAGCCATGACAGAAAGCCAGTGTAGGGTGGACATGAGATGATGACTCCCTGTCATTCGTGAGTGGGATTAGGAGTCACTGGCACACAGTTGGAAAGGGAGCCATTTCTGGTGCCAATAGTTAAGGTCCCCACTCAGTAGGCCCCTACAGCTTCTTCAGAGTCAGGTATTTTAACTTGTATGTTAAACATGAATAAATCAAAGCAAAATCAAAAAGCGTTCCTTCATTTGCTTAGACTACCAGTTGAGTGTTTTAGAATGTTCATGGTGTCAGGCATGGCATCTGGACCCGTCCTTCCAGGAGCCTGTAGGATCGCTCTCAGGAACTGGCTGTGATTGATGGGGCCATGCACACATCAACATACACCCGGGGCCATCTCTGTAGGACATGACTCTCGGGTTTCACCGTCCCACTCAGGCCTATGGTCTTGGGCAGTGGTTCCTCCCTGCCTTCCTTCAGGTGAACAGGACGGGGCGAGGGACATGTCTGTTTTGCCCCTGGTTAAGTATTATCATGAATCAGTCTCATTGCTGCAGCCTCATCATCAGAAAATTGTCCAGGAAATGCCTAGTCTGAAAAATATGGAGTTCGTGTTTCAGGAGAGAGGCAAAGTCTGTATGGCCGACTGAGATGGCCTTCGGTAACTATGCTGCTGTCTTTGAAAGGCCGTGGGGTCCCCTTTCACCCTCACTCCAATCTGACAGTGTATATTTGATATAGTCCCACTGTCAAGACTTTCCTATGAGCTTGAGGTTCACATCCACCCCGCGAGGTCGTATTATCCCTATGTCACAGATGAGGAGGAAAATTGAGTTCACAGAGGACAGTCTCCGTAAATTCATCAGAGCCAGCTGGGAGAAGCAGAGGGCTTGCCCTAATTTCAGTCTCTGGATGCAAAGACAGAGCTTTTTCGGTTCTGTCCAGTCACTCTGGGGCTTGAAACAGTATATATATGGTTTAAAATACATATTTGTTTAAAACCGAAGCTTACATTCAAGAACACCACATACCGTGCATGTTCAGCCTGATGCATTTTTTGGTGAATCGCAGCGTAGATGGACGAGAGGCTGCCCCTCTGCCTCTCTGCCCACTGGCTAGTGTCCTGGGTCATGTCTGCCCGCCTCGTGCTGAAGCCACAGCCGCGCTCTGTCGGCCTCTTGCCCCCACCATCGGCGGCTGAAATCTCCTCATCTGTGACAGCTCATGGCCTCATTGCTGCTGTTGGCTTTTTCAAGTGCTGATTTTGAGCCCCTTTCCTCTACTTCCCGACACAGAGCACTGAAGGATGGCATTCTGGTGCCCAACACACTCGTCTGGGCATGCTGGGGCTGTGCGCATTGCTGGGCACACTATTTCTGTTCTCTGTTGTTGCCTAACAAATCCCCTGTACACTCAGTGGCTGAAACCAACAAGCTGTGATGGATTCGTGAGCTGGCTGGGCAGTGCTTGCTTCATGTGGTGCTGACAGGGGGACTGGGTGGCCAGAAGGTCACAAACGCCCTCATGCCCATTTCCAACGATTGGCACTGGGCACCTCGGTGCCCCCTTGTAGGTGTCTCCATGCGGCTGTTCAGGCTTCCCTTCATTATGGGGGCTGGGCCCAAGAATGGGATGCTCCAGGCGAAGGCGGCAACTGCAGCTGTCTAAGGCCAGGCTTCGGAGTTCTGCCATATTCCACCACTCACAGCAGGCCACAGGGCAAACCCAGGACGAGCCCAGACTCAAGAGGAACAGGGACAGACTCTACCTCTTGATGGGGGAATGGCAGAGTTCCTTTACAGAAGACCCTGTGTGATGCCACCGTCTTTGAAAACACAACCTACTAAACTTATTCAGGCAATAGCATGCAGGGATGTTATTGTAGAGGTAATCATCAGTCTCTTCTGATGAATTAAAATGTAAATTACTCACAAATGTCAGTGTCAGTACTTTATTACTTTATTATTAATTATAGGTGGCCGGTGAGAATTATAGGCTGATCAGATGTAGCTGGTGAGGAATGCATGAGTTGGGACCTGGATTTTCCTTGTGGAAATGGATCCAGTAATGTGGATGCAGTTAAATCTTGGTCCTTGGCATTATAATGCTCTAATAAAAAGACGGTTCATCAACTCAATACTACCTTTTAATCTTTCTGCAATTAGGTTGGATTTATGATTTATGAGTTTTTCTTCTTGCTTTTTTTGCAAGCCATTAGCATTTTATCAATCACCAGATGTCCTCTTTCTCTTTTTGAAAAGATAAGGCGTAGGACTGTGGTAAGTGTTGGCCTTCAGGGGTCTGTAGACCCTGATTCTGCCTCTGCGGGCCTCGGCTGCACCATGAGATGCTTGGCCTCCCTGCTCAGCCCTGGTCTTGTAAGACAGACTCACTGCAGGAAGGCGTTTGGGCCCCCGAGCGATCCTGTGCTGTGCCCTTTGCTGGGACTTGTGTATACAGCATGCAAGTGATCCTGAAAGTGCTTTTCAGCCACTTCGAGAATCCCCTGGACATTGTTCCAACAATAGGTTCACATTTGATTTCTGATCTGAGACAAATAATGGTGACATAATGGATACAGGATACTATGCTTTTGCTTTAAATCTATTATATTCCCTACCAGTGGTAACTTGTTTGCCTGAGGCCAGCGAAGGCCTGGCCCTGCCTTGTGGGCCATGGGCCTCAACTGGGTAAAGGTAGCCAATGTTAAACAGCTACACAGCCTAAGTAAAGAATGAAAAAGAAGGTTCCAGTAGGTTCAGCTAAGCCCATCTGGGATAGGGGCACTACTCTTTTGTCTAAAAATTATTAGATTCCATAGAGTTGGATTGAAAGGGGAAACTGAGGCCCCTAGAGGTGAGAAGAGCCGAGACCAAGCCAAGACCAAGGACTGGGAAAGCTTGAGCCTTTCTTTTTTCATTTTACTGTGCCACAGACATGATCTTCACTAGCTGCTTGTTAACTGTAAGGAAAAATATAATGACCTGATTCTGGGAATTTTCCTTCTCTTTCTCTTCCGCTCCTGTCCCGGTTCTCAGCCCGCAGGCTGAGAAGGTTTAATTGCGTCTGCCGGGCGGGTGTTTTCTCATGGGGATTAGAGCAGGCTAAATTGGGCTTTGACGCTTAGTGGGATAACAGAGCTTCCTGAGGAATGTGAACCTAATTAGGGATTCCAGGGTCAAGCCTGACAAAGGAGACACAGAAGCAAAGTTAGGGTGAGCTCTTGAAGGAAGCAGAGAAAGTTAATAAAGTCTCGAATGTCCTCATTTTGTACTGCCATTCTTTGTATAGATCTGCTGTTGTTTGCAGGCTTGTGTTGAAAATCTGACCCTGGGCCTCTCTTCAACCCTCTACCTAGCCCCCTGTCCCCAGGCACCATTGGAAAAGCAGCCTTGAATGATGAGTAAGGCCACCTTCGGCATGTCAGGAGCCCCCGGCCTCACCTGGGGGACCCAGCTCTTGTTGGTGTGCCCAGAACGTTCTGTGTCGACCTGACGTCTCCACCCGTCCTGTCAGACCTTTGATTGTTAGTGCTGGGGGGTTGCATTTTGTTTCCCCAAATTCAAATGTTGAAGTCCAAATCCCCAGGACCCCAGAGTATGGCAGGATTTGGAGATAAGGTCTTTAAAGAGGTAATTAGGTTGAAATAGGGTCATTAGGATGGGCCTAATCCAGTATGACTGGTGTCCTTAGAAAGACTGGGACACAGACACACACAAGGAATGGCCACGTGAGGACACGGGGAGAAGGTGGCCATCTGCAGGCCCGGGAGAGAGGCCTCAGGAGGAACCACCCTGCCCACATCTTCATCTCAGCCTCCTAGCCTCCAGGACTATGGGAGGATAAACGGCTGTGGTGTCAGCTGCCCATTCTGTGGTATGTTGTTACAACAGCCGCCCCTTACCCGAGCTAAGACTGTTGCTTATTTAAGCAGATAAACACTTGGGTCAGTGTCAGCACTGGGAATGAGGGGACTTTCCTTCTGTGATTATTCTCCTTACCCTGCCCTTGTAATAAATGATAATAATGGTAATATAAACACATGAACAATGCATCCTTTTTCAATCTTAACTAATGGGTGAATTAAAGATCTTGCTAGTTTATTGATCAGTAACATACAATGTAAGAAGTCAAAGCTGTGGTATAATAGAAGTGGCCCTTCGTAAAAGCTCCACCCTCCTTGCAACCAGGCTGCTACTCCGTGTAGAGATTATAGAAGAGTCCCAACCCCCAATTATATCGTAAGGTCCTGGTGGTCAGCAAATATTTGGCGTCCGTATCTGTTTTTCCCTGGCTAGTTCAGGGCCTCAGAGGTAGGTTACCTCTGACTGTTTTTATGACTTAGGAAAGAAAGTACTGCCATCTTGGCGCCATCACGAAGTTTCTTTAAAAAGAATTGTTTTTGTAAAGATAAAATAAAAGTAAACTTCATTTCTGAGTCTTTGCAACTTATCTTAGAGTTAAAACTATTATGATTAAAGTAATTTTATGTATGATAGAACTTGTGCATAAGGTGATGTCTCTGTACTTGGCTTAACTCAGTGAATTGCTTTCTCCCTTGTCTGCAAGGTTTGGCAAGGTCAGTGGCTGGCCCGTTTGTCTCTACTCAGTTTCTACTTGTTTTGCACCTGAATGCTGTCCCACGGATTTGCATTCGGTGTTGTGTGGTGTGTGTGCATTTGTGGAACGCCCGTTTCATTGCTGTGGGTTGGTATTGTTGAGCTGATTCTCCCCTCCAGAATCCTGACATGAACAAGGTTTGCCCAGGCCTGCTTGATACCAGAGTAGAGTAGAGACTTCACCTGTGGGCAGAATGACCTGGAGAACAAGCAGGAAGAAACGATTAGAGGAGCCAAGCCTCCAGGCTTTCCCTGTAGCTGCCGGGTGTGTAAAAGCATGCTTGACACTTGAGGGTGCTCGCTTCAGTTCTTTTTTTTTTTTCTTTTGAGACGGAGTCTTGCTCTGTCGCCCAGGCTGGAGTGCAGTGGCACGATCCCAGCTCACTGCAACCTCCCAGGTTCAAGCAATTCTCCTGTCTCAGCCTCCTGAGTAGCTGGGATTACAGGCACGTGCCGCCACGCCCTGCTAAGTTTTGTATTTTTAGTAGAGACGGGGTTTTGCCATGTTGACCAGGTTGGTCTCGAGCTCCTGACCTCAGGTGATCCGCCCATCTGGGCCTCCCAAAGTGCTGGGATTATAGGTTTGAGCTACTGCGCCCGGCCTCTCTTCAGTCCTTACTTCATGTTTCTGTGAGGTTCTAGGAAGCTGATTCACGTGACCCACCATGACTGGAATTTTTGATGATTTGGAAAAGATAGAATTGAAATTTACATTTATTCTCTTTATACAGAATATGCATGTTTATACAGAATATGTAGTGCATCAGCTATACCCACACGGCTTTAGAGAAACTGATGGAAAAATGTCACTTTCTATATGGCTGTTTACAAAGTGAAATTTAATAAGAAACAACAATAAAAGCTGAGTTTGGAGTTTTATTGTGTTCATCAAAAGGAAAACAATGTCGGTCAAGCACGAGGAGAACTGAGTTGTCCTTTATTTCTCCCAGGACTTGGATCTCCCAGAAGTAAGCAGAGAGGGATTGGTTCAGGTTTGAAGAGTTGATCTCACTCCTTACTGAGGAAGATCTGCACCCGAGGCCCTGTGTCTGTTAGCACTGGGGGTAATGGTGGCCGGGCCAGTGCACCTTGGATGAAAGCACTTTCTAAGGCAGAATGTACTTGTTAGCTGAAGTGCTTTCATTCACCTTGGGGGATGGAACTGCAGGGCTAAGCTTTGTTGTGTGTGCACACACACAAACACACAGAGACACATACAGGTATACACTCACACACGGAGACACACACAGACACGCTCTCACATCAATACACACACATGAGGCATAGGCATACATAGAAACACACACAGACACACTTACAAAACTCAGTTTCACACATGCACGTTCATACATTCTCACAAGCACACACGCTCACACCCCCTACACTTTTACACTCCCATGCACATAACTACTGACTCACCCACTCATATGCAAACTCACAACACTCTCAAACTTACACACATTCACACAAAAGAATATATTTGCAGATATCCACAGTAAAATATACCTAGTCAAACACAGACACCACCACATGTAGTCACTCACACACACACACTCACCCACACACCCACACTCACACACCTGCACTCACCCCCACACACACTCACCTCCACACACCCACACTCACACACCCACACTCACCCACATTCACACACCCACACTCACACTCATCCACACACACATACGCTCACCCACACACTCACATTCCCAAGGACACAGTCATGACTTGGTGGCAAGCACTTGTCCCTCTGCCCCTCTGTCCTGTGGACCTGCTGGCTTGGGGACAAGGTTATTGATGCCAGTGTACCCAGGCACCCACGTAGCCAGGTGTGGGGCAGGCACAGCAGTGTTTGTTTGTGGTTTCCTTGGGAACAGTAGATTAGGATCCCAGGATAGCTGAAAGAAGGCAATAAAGAGGCTCCCAAACAGGCTTCTCAGAGGGGCCCTCGCCTCCACCATGGGAGGGACGGATCCCGGGGATGCCACAGCCCATGGCTTTTGGCCCACAGCCCATGACCCACTGCCTTCTCTCCAGCCTTCTGTAGCTGCTAACGGGAGCTGCTCTGCCCCCTTCCTTGTCTCACTGTTGTCACCTCTTGTCACCCTAATCCCTGAGGGAGCTGCTCATTATGAGAGAGGGTGCAGCTCCTATCAGGAGAGGAGCCTGGAGCTGGGGCACCAGCTGGAGTCATCTCTGGGAGAGTTCCCGTGGCTGGCGCTGGCCCTCTCTGAGACGCAGCTTCTCATACACAGAGTGGGGGCTCGCTGGCCTTATTGTGAGGGCTACAGAGAAAGACCTACAGACAGGGCACTGTTTCGTGTTTATCCAGCTGATTCGAGTCCACACATTGGATGAGCCGTGGGCCTCCCCAGGAGTGTGCCTTGACACAGGGAACGCTGCCTGGTTCTTGTCTCATCCTTTCACGCCCCTGCAGCTCACTCAGCATCATGTTACAGAGCAGGCAAAGCACAAGGCCAGCGGGTGCCCATCTAGACTCCTGGCCATGCCACCGCACACATCCCAGCCATGCTGGCTGTGCACTGATGGGGCCAGGCGCAGCTCAGAGGCTTCTGGTTGGCGTCTGCAGGACGGTCTCAGGGGATGCAGTGCACCGGGACCCTCCCAGCCCTGCAGCGTTGGGTGGCTGCTCTCTCTGAATAAGTCAGACTGGCATGTTAAGAACATAAGTGCTAAAGAAGTGTTAGCTTCTTTGTGCCGAGGAAGGCCAAGCCCACCTGGAGTTGGCCCCGACCCACGGTGCTTCCCTCTGTCCAGTGAAAACAGTGAAAGAACCCCACAGTGCTGGGGAATGTGTGATCAGAGCTGGAGTTTGAGGTGAGGAGAGCAAGCAGGTGTGCCTTACTCCCTTACCTGGCTCCATCCACAGGAGATACCCTCCTGATGCATGGGAGGCAGGGCAGCCTGTAGATCAGTGGAGAGCTGTGTGCGCTCCAGCAGGGATGCAGCTCTGTGCACGGAAGCACTGTGCTTCTGCCTCTGCTAAGGCTGAAGAACAGCAAGTGACACTTGACTGTCCAGCAAATGCAGCTGATAGCACCGTCGCACAGTCCCCATAGGTTCCTTGGTGCTGAGCAGGCCGGTATGAGCATCCCCAGCCCGGCCGCCTCATCCTGTGGTTCTGTCTGTGGTCAGCTTACCTGCCTTAGTATAAGGGAGGAAAAGTGTGACGGAAATACAGTCTCTTTTCAGGGACTTCCTGTCCTGGAATCTGGTTTTAGCCACATTGAAAGAACAAGTGCCCTCTGTGTTCACTTGGTCATGGTTTTTGCTAAATGAGATGTTTGTACTTATAGAAATGATGAGTTTTCTCTTTATCAACAGGTGACTCTTTGCTTCTAGAATGTCCCTTTTTCTCTGGTTGGTGCTCCATGTGCATTTTTATTTGCAAATCCACTCCCACAAAAGGTCTTTCCTGAGACATTTTTGTCTGCATTTTGTAACAGCACATGTGCAAACAGACAGTAGGGCCTGTGACTGGTTCTCTTGGAAGAGAGGAGCAAGTTCAGTAGGATGCGAATGTGGAGGCTCAGGGCAAGGCTGCCTGCCATTTGCTCTGCAGAACCTGGGGGCTGCTCGCCCCCTACTGTTCCCCAGCTCACTTTCTTAAAAACGATTCATTTTATGCAGTTTCTATTACGTGAGCCGTAAGCTCTGTGGGGTTAGGGACCAGTCTGCTTCATTTCCAAGTGAAGTCCTGGCAGGAGAAGGCTGTCAGTGAAAATGTGCAGCACAAGTGATGGATGGAGTTCGACAAGATTGGGCGTGCCAACTTATCGCGCGAGCCGGTTAGCCATATAAGCCGTGGATGGTCTGGGGTGAGATGGGACTCGGGCAGTCCCGGCTTACAGAGCTCACCTCTCCTTTTCTGTAGGACACCCTGGGGCCAGGCCAGGTGGTGGGCCGTTATTGCACCCCATCTGGCCACAGAGGGATGTGGGAACACACAGACCTGGCTTCTGGACCAAATCCTTAAGTGGCTGCCGTCTTTAAAACTCAAGTTTCTGACATTGCACAAGGCTTTTCTTTTCATTGTCTCAACAAACGTGTGCTTCCAGAGAGTGAATTTAAAAAATGTATTATAGACTGTATTTTTAAGAGAGTTTTAGATTTATACAAAAATCAGACACTCAGGCCAGGTATGGTGGCTCACGCCTGTAATCCCAGTACTTTGGGAGGCCGAGGTGGGTGGATCATGAGGTCAGGAGATCGAGACTATCCTGGCTCACACAGTGAAACCCCATCTCTACTAAAAATACAAAAAATTAGCCAGGCGTGGTGGCGGGCGCCTGTAGTCCCAGCTACTCGAGAGGCTGAGGCAGGAGAATGGCGTGAACCCGGGAGGCGGAGCTTGCAGTGAGCCAAGATCGTGCCACTGCACTCTAGCCTGGGTGACAGAGTGAGACTCCGTCTCAAAAAAAAAAAAAAAATTGGACACACTCTTCTTCCTCTTCATATATAAACATTTTCCATTCCTGTGGTACATTTGTTACACTTGATTAGCCAATATTGATACAGTCTTAGTAACCAGAGCCCTCGGTTTACATTAGGATTCTCTCCTGGTGTTGTACATTCTGTGGGTTTAGACAAATGCAGAATGACGTGCGTCCATCCTTATAGTGTCAAGCAGAATAGCTTCATGGCCCTAAAGAGTCTCTGTGCTCTGCCTGTTCCTCTCTCCCTCCTAATCCCTGGCTTTCACTGACCTTTTCACTGTCCCATAGTTTTGCCTTTTCCAGAATGTCACAGAGTTGAAATCATACAGTATGTGGCCTTTTCAGAGTGGCTTCTTTCACTTAGTAATATGCATTTAAGTTTCCTCTTTGTGTTTTCCTGCCTTCATAGCTCATTTTTTTTTTCATCATGCTTGACATGCCATTGCAGGAATGCTGATAGTGAGTTTGAAAGGCAGGGGCCCTGATTCTTCGCACATTTCTTGCCTGCATGTCACATGTGGAGTGAGGCAACAAGATGCATGTGTGCACTGAGTAGATACCATGCTTGAGGGGAGATAAGTCACACCGCTCTGTTAACCATGGGGTCTCCTTGTCCGGCTGTTTCCGCCATCCTGTAAGGTTTTGTCTGTGACTCCTTCTGTTTCCAAAGCTGTTTTTGTTTTGTTTTGCTTTACATTTATTTGTTTACTTATTCTCTCATCCATTCATCAAACTTTAAAGGGGCCCTGAGAGAGGACCCCTGCCCCAGACATCCGTCTGAGTCAGAGCCATGGTGGAGTAATGATGTGTCCCAGACACAGGAACGGCCATGTGTCACATACTCCCTGAGGACTGGACTGCGTAAGATAAGCAAGAGGCTATAAATAGTTATCCTGGTAAAAGCCAAGATTACGCCGCCGCCCACTCCAAACCACAAGTACAATTAGTCAGATCTCTGAGATTCTCTACGATTCTCCTTCGGTTGCACATTTTCAGAAAACTCTTTGAGAAGGCAGGTGCCAGGGATCTGGAGGGGGCAGTGCCAGGAGAAAGCTAAGGAGTGAGGTCACTCACCAGGAACTGAATCCTGTTTGCTGGCGCCTGGCTCCTGAGCGGCCCCCCAGAGCAGCGCAATGCCTGCCTGGCTCCCTTAGCCCCTGCCCTGTGCCACTCTTCTGAGCTCCTCACGCGCCATCTCTTAATTCTCACCATGACCCTGCCCGGAAGGCACTATTGTTACCTGCAGTTTTCAGATGTGGAAACTGAGGCCCAGAGAGATTAAAGGCCAAGGTCCTGTGGCTAGTAAGTGGTGGAGATCCTGCCCAAGGTGGGGTCTTTGCCCTGCAGGACTGGTGGCTCCCTGTGCCTGTTACTAACTGCCTCTCCTGACTGTGTTTGAGCCACCTTGCCTCCGTTACTTTCTTTATCTTTCCCAGGGAGCTCTCGGTCTTCAGAGACTATGGTGGAGTCAAAGTCTCCTCTCCCCGTCTCTTGTGCGGAATGGAATAACCAGGTTGACATTGCCACATTCAGACTCTTCAGTTCTACTTGTAGAAATAGTTCTAGAAAAGATGGCCCCTTGTGTAGAGAATGCATGCCCCTGGGTGAGGATGGGAGGAGTGGGGTCTTGAAGACCACCAGGCAGAGCCTTCCACCTCCTTCTCTGGGCCCCGCTCCCAAGCTCCCCAAGCACGGACCGACTCAGAGGTTTCCATCCTTGAGGTCTACCAGTTCTTTGTGAAAGTGGGGGCTAAATTTTGTATCTATGAGTGATTTGCATTTTTCTGGAAGGGGAGGCCCCATGGTTTCCATGACATTAGCAAAAATGACAGGGACTTTCCAAAAGTGAACAAAACCCTGGACTCTCTTAACTCTAAATCTTGTCAGTCTTGATCTGCTACAGCTTTGTAGCCAGAGTGAGGTTAGAGACAGTTTCATTCAGTCTTTGGGAGCCTGGCTTGATTATTATGCTAATTTTTTCCTGGAGAATCCATTTGCTTATCTGTTTCTTCTCTCTTTGAAAGGTGGTGATTCCCTGCGGTGTGCAAGTCCGACTGGAACAGGTAAGCCCTTTGCATTTCTTTGGCTCCCTTGTTCCATCCAAGAAAGGACTAAGTCCTTTCTTGAAGCTGCTCCCTCTTTGGGGATCTTTTGGCTTCCTCTAGGATCCATGCCCTCCCTTTGACCTGTAGCTTGCATTCACAAGGCTCTATCTGAGGTCCTTTGACCATGCTGCACTGGCCATTTGCATGGTTTTTTAGAGAAGAGGATCCGCTGCGCCTTTGCGGGAGCTGCCTTTCTATCAGTAATAGTTACCTTCGGGGCGAATCTCCCTGGGCCGAGTTTCCTTGGCTATAAAGTGAAGACAGCACAAGTCTGTTGTCTTAGTGATAAAAACCTGGACAGTGAGGGTGCCTGGGTCGCCAGGTGGCTGTGGACAGTGTAGTGCAGTGGTTTGTAGACTGACATCCAGCTCTGACAAATACTGGGTGTGTGTGTGTGTGTTCAAATCAGATTGAAGGTAAACACAATAGCACTTTCTCTTTGGCTTGTGATTAGGCAAATTTAAATTGCTGTCTGCTTTTCAAATGCAGCTCCTTGGAAGGTCATGGTACCTCCTGGTGTTTTCTTTGCCTCCATCCTTTGGAGCTGAGTGAGTGAAGCTTTGTTTCTGAGGGCTTATTAGCAGCTTGCAGGATAATTGAAAGGCTCACTGTGCCAAGACAGTAGGATACAGGACCCTCTTCTCTCACTGCAAGTCAGAAGCGACTCCCTGGGAGGCAAATGGGAAGCTGCCTCTTGCTGCTGGGGAAGTGTGTGCAGGTCTGGGCCTCCCCGGTGGGGCAGGGAAACAGGTGCACCCTGTGGTTCCTCCTGGGCATCTGTCAGGTGTGTTGTTCCCTGTACTTCTCAAGTAGGGCAGGGCTTTCTGCTCTTGGCTCCCCCTAGCTTCGCCATACACAGAATCTGGGGTGTTCTGCCGGAGATTTGGCAGCCTTTCTGGATTGTGAGCCTGGTGGCCTCCAGACATGGAACTGGCTAACTGGCTCTGTCTTGTGGTGCAGTAGGACATCCTTCCCCAGGCTCGGCCAGCGGCGCCCGTGTGGCAGCTTCCCTGCTTTGATGAAGTCAAGATCAGATCCTGGCTCCAGTGGCTGGGCCTTGCCCTTGCCCCCTGCCCATCTGAGCCTTGGTTTCCTCCTTTACCCAGTGGGCGTGGGGGTGGCTCTCTAACCTCATCACTTGAGTGGCCAGGCCCTGCCCTCGCCCCCTGCCCACCTGAGCCTCGGTTTTCTCCTTTATGCAATGGCCATAGAGGTGCTCTCTAACCTAGCTGCGGATGAGAGAAGAGGGACTACAGGGTCAGGCCTGTCACAGAAGCCTGGCCACAGGCGGGGTGCCCTTATTATGCTCCTTTTAATGCTGGCATGTGGTGTGGTCTCTTTGGTTCTGGAAGAGCAAAGTATGCATTTGAGGTCATAGGAACGTTAAAAATAAAATCTCACCCAGAAACCTAAAATATTGACAAACTATGAGAAACATGTTGCAGCATCAAGAGCTGAGGCCGTCCGGGGCGGGCGCCTGCCTGGCTGTCCCTGCTGGCCTCAGCTGTGTCCCCAGGCCTGTGGTCCAGTCTCACTCCATTCCTCCTGTGGCACTCACCGCCGACGGGGGGGTGGGGGAGTAGGGGGCGTGGGGGGACTTGGGAGCCTGTGTTTGTAGTTGGTTTTGACAGGCTGCGGTTTGTGACTGATTTCCTCAGGCTTGTCATAGGCCCCGGGAGCCAGGGGCTGAGGCCCAGGTGGCCCCAGAGCTGTGTGCCTGTCCCGAGGCCCTGGCTGAAGCCTGTTTTCCTGGTGGCAGCTGAGGCTCTCCCACCTCGCAGACAGTCCCTTGCCATCAGATTTGTTGGTGAGCCCTGGACATCAGAGGCACCAGAGGGCTAAAGCTGTGTGCTGGCTCTAAAGATGCCGGTTGCAGGGCTGTCAGACAGGCCAGAGCCCAAAGGGCCCATCCTGGCTGCTTAGATGTTGTCATTGTTCCCTCTGGAGCCCAGGGTCCCAGAGAGGAGTCTTCAGTCTCCTGGAGCACAGCCCTCCCCCTGCGTCAGGACACGGCCTCCCTGTTAACCTTTTCACAGGTGTGGTTGCTAAGAGATCTCGCTCTTCTAGCCCAGCCTGGCTCCTGCCCACTCCCCTTGCTGCTGCTCTGTGTGTGTGTGTGTGTATTATGTGTGTAATTGTTGTGCGTACAAATACATACATGTATGTTATGCATGTAGTTGTTACATGTATATGGATAGACATGCATGTTATGCATGTAATTTTATTGGTACATGAACACATACATGCATGTTATACATGTAATTGTTATACGCACACAAATGAATATGTATGTTATACATGTGTCAACACATGAATACATACATGTGCCATACATATGAGAGTTATGTATGTGAATATATATGTATATTAGGTATGCAGTCTTTATATGTGAGTGTATATATGTTATGTAATTGTTTATATGAAGGTTTGTATGCATATATTATGTATATAAATGTTACACATGTGAATATATGTATCTTGTATGTAATTATTAATGTGTGTAGGTTTTTAATGTAGTTGTTATATATCTGAGGGTATATATATGTGGATAATGTAATTGTTACCTGTGTGTGAACATATGGATGTGTGTGTTTATTATGTATGTCAGTTTATGTGTATGTGAATGTGTGTGTGTGTGTGTGTGTGTGTATTTCCCTGAGATGAACATGCATGAGTCCACTCTGTACTAAGCTCTCTGTGGCCTTTTCAACTTGCCTTGACCAGCTGGCCCCCAGGTGTGGTCCCTGGACCTACAGCCTCAGCATTGCCTGGGGACCTATAGAAATGCACATTCTCAGGCCCCAGCCCAGACGTACTGAATTGCTGGGGCCCTGCGATCGGTGCTTTAACAAACCCTCTGGCAAGGCTGATCAGCTCAAGTGTGGGAATCCTGGCTGTGGGCTGGAACTGGGGCAGAGATCAGCCCGTGGGCGTGCAGTCAGGGGTGGCCTTGGCAAATGCCTGCCTTTCTGGGCTGCTCTCCCCGTGTGGTGGTGTGGGGTCATGAGAGGGCCTTTGATGCCAAGACACCCAGTTCCCTCACATCTTTATTTTGCATGGAGCTTTCTCCCCTAAACAGGGCAGTGCTGTCTTCCTCCTGGCATGGAGGAGTAAATGGAAGGATGGACGTGGCAGCCCAGCCCAGCCTGAGCACTCTTCTGCCTCCCTGCTGGGTGGCCTTGTAGAAGCAGACCCCCCCATTTAGCGGAGCTTGGGCAGGAGGGTTTCCGCCTGCACCGTGTGGCTTCTCAGGGCAGAAAGCACAGAATCTTTTTTTTCTTTCCTGATCCTGTCTGGGCTGAGTCTTCTGGCACTGTGATCCTTGGCATTTTGGATGGGCATGGAATTGCTTTCAGATAATACTGACATCCCCGATGTCACCTGGGTTGTCACTGTGCCCTGTGGCACCTGGCCAGGTCACCTGATAGCTGTTTTTGTTTTTCTCTTTGTTACCATTCATTGAGTACCTATTCTGTCTCAGATGCCCTGCCCTCCCTCACCTGCTGGAGCTCAGAAAACTGAAGAAACTCCCACATCACCCAGACACTAAGGGGCTTCTGCTCTCTGGGGTGTCAGTGCCCCTGCAGGCCCCTCTGTGACCTGCCCTTAGACCTGGCTGCTCTTCTGCTCTGTCCTGTGCTGGCGGCCCCTCCCACACCTGGAGTTTACCTGGCACTTGTACCCACCCCCAGGCCCTCCTCTGCTCTGCAGCTAACCTGAGGGGCATGACCCCTTTGGAGAGGTTCTAGAATAGCTTCATCCCAGCATGTTTTATCGAGGTGAGCTGCCGGGTCTGTCAAAATTCCTGGAGTTGTGCTGGCTGAGGGCATGATTGTTTTGAAACCCCTGGGCCTAATTCCCTGGTAGGGCAGAAAGAAGGCAGTGATGAGCCTTGCCAGCCATACTTACCGACATCCCAGGACAGGACTGTAAGGGTGTCTGTCATCTTAATGACATACTGTGTGAGGGTTCTTTGTCTGCAGGCATAGGGTGCCTTTGTGGCTCCCCGGGGCATTTAAGACACAATGGAGAAGGAACCTTTTCCGTGATTGTGGCGCATTGAACCCGTGGCTATTTACCTGTGATGTTCGTTTTCATATTCCTGGTAGCAGAATCTTCTGTTTACTGCAGCAGCTTACAAAAGTGGGATGTGAGGTTAGATTAATTCATGGACTCAAAATCGGCACATAGTATTGTTGAGAAAGGAGCTGGGAGGCAAACCTCCCTTTGTGAATGTCAACTTGGCATATGTTACATGGACACAGGGTTGGAGCTTCCTGGGAGCCAGTGTGAAAAGGAAACCACAATGATTGGCATGTGCCTTTCTGGAAGGTGGGAAGAAACAAGAATCAGCAGAGAAAATGTGCGACGTGGGAAATTATGGAGGGTGTAGACTAAGGCATCAGGGGCATGCACCACGTCTCCATGAGTCGAGCAGAATGATGATTTTGGAGGGATGTCAGAGGCAAGCTATTGCAGCATAGCCTCATTGGGACCTCTGGCTTTTAGAACTATAAAGGGACAATTGGTGTCTTTCTGCTTACATTACCGTTCTATGGGCTGTGGTCTTCTGGGTCATAGAGAGAATGCTTCACCATTGTTCAGGTAACTACTGTCCCTAAGGCTGGGAGAGGTGGCCGGGCTCCTTACAGGGGAGTCACAGCCTGTGGTCCAGCTGCTCTGTAAGTCTACGTGTATGTGTACACGCAGTGCTCACATGCGCACACAGGCACAGAATGTAGTGGTAGGTGTGAGCATGGACTAGAGTTGGGTTGAGTCCCATCCGGGGTATGACACTGGTGAGCTGTGTGGCCCTGAATGGAGTTCTTTCACTTTTCTGGGCTCCACTTTCCTCTTCTGTAAAATGAGGACGCCACCAGCTCTTCTTGGGGTCACTGCCAGGATCGAATGAAATAACATGCTTAGATCCTCAGTGCTAGTGTGACACAGGGAAGACACGTGATGTGTGGGGAAGAGCCTGGTTGGTTGTCCTGTGAAGGTGAGTTGGCAGTGCGGTTCTTCTGGTGCCCACAGCCTTTGCTGTGTGCCATTCATTGTTGATCTGGTTCTCCTGATGGAGAGAACCAGTCTGATGAGTTCCAGAGCGTGTCCCCTGCTTCCTGAGGGTGAGGGCACCGATGACAGACACAGTAGATGATTCCTGTGATCCCGCATTTGCAGACTTGGAGGCACCACGGTCAGAACAAGGGCGCATGCGAGTCTGTCCTTGGTAGTTGCAGGTTTGCAGGATCTTTTCATGATGCTGCGGCCTAACAGTGGTCCGAATGGTGGCCCCACAGCTTTTGATTGAAGTTCAAGGGCAGAGTGTCCTTGTTTTTTTCCATCCTGTGTTTACCTTCATACACTCTGCAAGCGATTGATTCATACCAGCAAATCTTGATGCCCTCAGGTGCAGGGCAGCCTTCACTAGGACACCCCGAGGCCATGTATGGGACCCACTTCCCCGCCCGGCCTCCTGGGCAGCCCACAGCCAGCCTGAGTCCAGGGAGGGCCTGGCCCCCCCCCCGGGGAAGTGCCGCCTGTTTACAGAGGGGCCACTGTCCTTGAAGGAGGCCGGTGTCTCCGCCTTCTGGTGGCGGCCTCTGGTGTGGGAGGGTTCAGGGCAGTGCCTGATCCAGCTCCGGGCAGGTCCCGAGCCCGCACCAGCTGCCTGCACTCACGCTGTGATTGTTCTTGCTTGGCCTTGGCCACTGTGGTCTGTGGCCCTGGAAGAGGGGTTGGGTAAGAATAGTGGCTGAGTCATCAGGGCGGTGCTTCTCTTGGTTCACCTCACCCGAGGCCAGTGGGCTAGTTCCCTCCAAGGTGACTGCAGGGCTCACATTTCAGCCTGAGGCTGGAGCTCACACTCCACCTTTGCACAGCTCTGTGTGCAAGATGCGTGTGTCTGTGGTCTGTGGTGTGTGTGAGGTGTTTTGTGTGTGTATGTTGTGTTTGTGTGTTGTGTGATGCAGTGTGTGTGTTGTACGTGAGGTGTGTTTTTGTGTGTGAGTTGTCTGTTGTCTGTTGTGTGAGGTGTGTGTGTTGTGTGTTGCGTGTGAGGTGCTTTGAGTGCGTTGCAGTGTGTGTAGTGTTTTGTGTGTGTTGCATGTGTTGTATTGTGTGAGGTGTTACCTGTGTGTGTGAGGTGTTTTTTTTTGTGTGTGTTGCGGTGTGTGTGTTGTGTGTGAAGTGTTGTGTGTGAGGTGTTTTGTGTGTGAGGTGTGTCTGTCGTGTGTGTTGTGTGTGAGGTGTGTGTGTTGTGCTTTGTGTGTTGTGTGTGAGGTGTGTGTGTTGTGCTTTGTGTGTTGTGTGTTGTGCTGAGGTGTGTTGTGTGTGTACATGTCTGTGCTGTGTGTGTTGTGTGTATTATGTGTGAGGTGTTTTGTGTGTGTGAGGTGTTTTTTGTGTGTGTTGTGGTGTGTGTTGTGTGTGAAGTGTTGTGTGTGAGGTGTTTTGTGTGTGAGGTGTGTCTTGTGTGTGTTGTGAGGTGTGTGTGTTGTGCTGTGTGTGTTGTGCTGAAGTGTGTTGTGTGTGTACATGCCTGTGTTGTGTGTGTGTACATGTCTGTGTTGTGTGTATTGTGTGAGGTGTTGTGTGTGTGTTGCAGTGTGTGTTGTATGTGTAGTGTGTGTTGTTTGTGTTGTGTTTTGTGTATGTGTTGCTTATTTTGTGTATGTGTTGTGTTGTGTGTGAAGTGTTTTGTGTGTGTTGTGAGGTGTTTTGTGTGTGTTGTGTGGGTTATGTGAGGTGTGTGTGCTGTGTGTGTTTATGTGTGTGTGTTGTGTGTGAAGTGTTTTGTGTATGTGATGTGTATTGTTTGTGAGGTGTTTTGTGTGTGTTGTGTGTGAGGTGTTTTTTGTGTGCTGTTTTGTGTGTTGTGTGAGGTGTTGTGTGTGAGGTTTTTTTATGTGTGTTGTGTGTGTGTGTGTGTGTGTGTGTGTGTTGAGACTTGCTCAGTATGTTTTACTTGAACTCAGAAAGCCAGACAGAGGAAGTGACCAGAGCAACAAGACCAACCAACACAAGGACAGGACAGATGTGACTGTCAGGAAGTCTTGCAGGTCACGTGCTGCCATCCCTGCCTCTGCCCCAGTGACCGTGATGGAGTCTCATGAAGCTATTTGATTCTTTCAGAAAGAATGCTGACCAAATGGATGATGAGGAGCTTCAGATAAATGAAATCACTTTAATGGTCTCCATTTTATTTTACTGAAAAATTAAGCAAATTTCCAACAAAACACCCACACTTTCCACCTGTAAATTACTGGGTGTGGGGCTTAGTGAGCTGAGCATCCAGTGATCTGGGACAGTGGATCCAGGTGACCTATGTGGGTCTGTTCTGCCGGCCCCAGCCTGCAGTGGTTTCTGCATGCATGTTGTCACAGAAGGCTTCCCACAAGTCTCTGGGTATGCATTTCTTGTCCTCACGGCCCATAAGTCCAGGTATTTGACTGGACAGTGGTTATTTCCTGCTTATAGATTGTTTCCACCCCTCAGTAAACTTCAGAAACACAGACACGGGTCTATACACCACAGCAGAGTCTCGGCTGAAGATCACCTACACGTGTATGTGTGCGTGCTCATGGTTTCTGGATTCACCGCTGCCCCTTCCAGATTCTGTGTGTCTCATCAGGAGTCTTCATGCAAACATATTTGACCAGAGTCACAGTGAAATTGAGTTCTATTAGGTCAATGGATATACGCAAATGTTCTTGCTCCTTAATCTCTCTGATCTCCAGGAAGCAGAGAGAAGAGTTTCAAGGATCCTGTTAGATCAGCATCCAGGTGTTCCATTTGGTCAGAAGAGCCAAACTCAACATCTGTGGCTTTGGCAAAAGTCAGGTGAGACCCAAAAATAAAAGTACAAACCGATACTGCATTCCCCAGATCTTACCTTGACACTCAGTCATCACAGAGTGGTGTTTAGTTAGCCTGTGCATACAGCATTCGGGCATTGGCAGGGCACGGTGGAGGACGATGGGTGTGGATGCTGAGCAGTCGGGTGGGAGGAGGGCTGCGTGGGCGATCACACTCAGATTGGGAGGGCTGGATGCGCGTGAGGTCGCTCAGCAGAAGGTGAGGAAGGGGTGGGGCCAGCACTGTAAGTCCGTCTGTTTCTCACCCAGCGCCCCTCTGGAGGGTGCTTCGTTGTTGGGGATGACCCTCACCCCCATCTCCCAGCTGCTGCGTCCTGAACAACAACGGCTCAGGGTCCTGCCTCATCATTGCCCATGGCCTCAGCCCTGGGAGGGTGTGGATGTAGTGCAGGCTGGTTCTCTGTTGCTTTGGAGCAAGTGCAGACCAGCAGGAGTGTCCGGGATTTACTCTGTGGGAGGGAGTAGGACAGGCTGAAGATGTGCTGAGATGTGGGCTGGGACTTCCTGTTCCCATGGCTCACCTGCGCCTTCTGGTCTAGACGCCTCTAGTCCCTAGAGAGTGGCTTAAGCGAATCAACCATAAGGCCTGTGTGTAGGGAGCTGCCAGGGAGCAAGTTTAGGGCCACAGTCCTGGACTGCTCTCAGTTTTCTGTGCATTTCACCCCTTTGAAAGTTTCTCCCTATATCCCTGTGCACGTGCCTTTCTCTTGATGGGCACACACAGTGAGTACCAGTGAAGGAGGGCAAGCCAATGGGCTCCTTTCCCAGTGACACTGACACCTAGCCTTGCAGGTAAGGAAACGACGTGCTATGAGAACATTCGACCTGGAACATGCAGTGGGGCCTCCCTCCTTCTCACGGATCCCAGAGAACCATCTGTAGGGGAGGTACAGGGGGTTGAGTTGTGTTCCCCCGAAATTCATGTCCACCTGAAACCCCTGAATGTGACCTTATTTGGAATGATGACAGAGATGAGGTCATGCTGGATTAGATTGGGCCTGATTTCCATGACTGGGTTCTTGTAAGAAGAGGAGAGGATGCAGACACAGGGAGAAAGCCAGGTGATGACAGAGGCAGAGGCTGGAGCCACGTGTCTGCAAGCCAAGGAACCTCACCAATTGTGGCAGCCTGAGAAGGTGGAAGAGGCAGGGACAGATCCTCCCTGGGGCTCTCAGAAGGAGCGCAGCCTGCCGCCTTGGTTTCAGACCTCCAGCCCCTGGGTCTGTGAGAGAACACATGCCTTGTTTGAAGCCAACCACTTTGTAGTGCTTTACAGCAGCCTTAGGAAATTAATACAATGGGGTGCATCCCTTCACTTCTTTCATATTGATTAGTTGTTCCTCAGGCATTTCTGGAAATCCTTTTTGGCTCACACCTCTCCAGCCTCATCTGGGTGAAGACATGGGCCGCGAGGAGCTGGTACCCAGTGGACACCCGAGGGGGAGGTGGCTCCTGGGCAAGCCTGGCTGAGGCCCCTTCTCCAAACTGCCGCATTCTGCTCAGATGGAGCAGACTTTGAGAATGGGCAGATAAACAGCAGAAGATGTTAGTGGAACGTGTTTAAAAGAGGAGCTTCTGGTGATGAACTGTCATTCGAACTGGGCGGGATTGTGAGGCTTCTGTCACCCCAGGGCTCTTCCAGGAAAGGCTGGCAGGGCCCGCGGGTGCCCTGGAGCTGCCTGCAGGAGTCAGGCACTAAGTCAGTGGGAGCCAAGGTTGGAAAGGAAGACCCCCTTCCATTCCATCCTGAATGACTCCATGGGTGAGTGGGACCCAGGACGGCTGCCCTTCAGAGCTCAGCCCAGTTCCCAGAGACGAGACGGTGAGATGGTTACCAGGATGGTCCCTGCCCCTTGGCCCCGGCCTCTGTTTCCAGCTGCTCCCCTTAGCATCTGCACAATTGCCTAGTGAGGCCATCATGACCCTGTGGGCACAGTCTTCTGGGACTGATGCCTGTGGTTGTGGCACCCCCACCCTCACCCCTTCTCCCCACAGGCTGAACTTTGATCCACACTTTTCCTTTGATTTCACCGTCTCCTCTCACGCCTAAAATAACATACAGGCCTTTGGCTATTTCCAAAGGGTTTCTGGGAACTGCGCCCCAGTGAGGAGGCTTCCCAGCAGCCTTGGCCTTCCCTTCAGGCAGACTCCTCATCCACAGTCAGGAGCCCACAGGTCTCAGTTCACTGACCTGCTGAGAAAGACGAAAAACCTTCAACACATTAAAAAAAAACAAAAAACAAAACACACCCGTCAATGTGAGCCTCACACAAGCAGGCGCTCTCCCTTTGTAGCTGGAATTTGAAAGTGGTGGGTTGGATACTGTTCCTGAAGCTATTGTCCCACCTCTGCAGGTGGAGGGAATTGTGAACGGTCAACAGCAGGGAACATATTAACCCTGGTGTCAGCTTACATCCACCCGGGAGCACAAAGCCTTGGCTAATGATTAAAAACCCACTCCGGCTAGGAGGCCTGGGCTGCAGGTGTGTGGCTCACAGACACTGGATTCCCATCAGCCCTGACCATTACCTGCGTCTGTGGTTCAGGGTTGCTGCATTTCTCTGCGCTGGGGATCTCTTCCTAAAGTGACAGGTGGGCCAGGTCAGGGCTGGACGCACCAAAGGCACCTTTGGCTGAAGTATTGTCGTGTGGTCCCTGGACTCACCTGTAAGCAGTGTTTCGAATGAATGAATGCTGCCAAGTCTGATGACTGGACGTCTGCAGCAGACAAGAAAAATCAGGTTGAGTGGGATTTCTTTTCTTTTATGGCACAGATTCTAGAGTGGTCACATATTTTACTTATTTATTTTAAGATTTTTAAAGTTGTTTTTAAAGTTTAAAAACTTCAGCTTTTATTTTAGATATAGAGTGTACATGTGTATGATTGTTACCCAGGTGTGTTGGACCCAGGTAAGGAGCATAGTACCCAATAGGTGGTTTTTCAATTCACGTCCCTCTCCCACTCTCCTCACTTGGGCAGTTCCCAGTGTTTACTGTTCCCATGTTTATGTTCACGTGTGCTCAGTGTGCTCAGTTCCCATGTGAGAACATGTGGTGTTTTGTTTTCTGTTCCTGTGTTAATTTGTCTAGGGTTATGGCATCCACATCCATCTATGTTGCTGCAAAGGACATGATTTCGTTCTTGTTTATGGGTTTGTAGTATTCCATGGTGTACATGTACCACAATTTTTTTTTTTTTTTTTTTTTTTTGAGACAGAGTTTCATTCTGTTGCCCAGGCTGGAGTGCAGTGGAACAATCTTGGCTCACTGCAACCTCTGCCTCCTGGGCTCAAGCGATTCTCCTGCCTTAGCCTCCTGAGTAACTTGGATTACACGCACCTGCCATTACGCCTGGCTAATTTTTATATTTTTATCAGGGACAGTGTTTCACCATGTTGGTCAGGCTGGTCTCGAACTCCTGACCTCAGGTGATCCGCCCGCCCTGGCCTTTCAGAGTGCTGGGATTACAGGCGTGAGCCACCGTGCCCAGCCTATACCACATTTTCTTTATCCAGTCCACCCTTAATGGCACTTAGGATAATTCTATGTCTTTGCTATTGTGAATAGCACGGTGATGAACATATGAGTGCATGTGTCTTTTTGGTATAATGATCTATATTTCTTTGGGTATGTACCCATAAGTGAGTTGCTGGGTTGAATGGTAGTTCTGTTTTAAGTTCTTTGAGAAATCTCCACACTGCTTTCCACAGTGGCTGAACTCATTTACTTTTCCACTAGCAGTGTACAAGCATTCCTTTTCTCTGCAGCCTAGCCGACGTCTGATGTTTTTTGACTTTTTAATAATAGCCATTCTGACTGGTGTGAGATATTCAGCCTTTGTTGGATGCATAGTTTGTGAATATTTTCTCCCATTCTGTAGGATGTCTGTTTACTCTGTTGATAGTTTCTTTTGTTAAGCAGAAGTTCTTTAGTTTAATTAGCTCCCACTTGTCAATTTTTGTTTTTGTTGAAATTATTTTTGGGTACTTGGCCATAAATTCTTTGCCAAGGCTGATGTCGATAAGGGTATTTCTTAGGTTTTCTTCAGGATTTTTATAGTTTGAGGTCTTACATTTAAATCTGTAATCTACCTTGGGTTAGTTTTTATATACGGTGAAAGGTAAGGGTCTAGTTCCATTCTTCTGCATATGGCTAGCAAGTTATCCCAGCACTATTTATTGAATAAGGTGTCCTTTCCCCATTGCTTGTTTTTGTTGACCTTGTTGAAGATTAGATGGTTGTAAGTGTGCAGCTTTATTTGTGTTTTCTGTTCTGTTCAGTTGGAATATGTGTCTGTTTCTGTGCCAGTACCGTACTGTTTTGGTTACATTAGCCTTGTAGTATAGTTTGAAGTTGAATAATGTGATGCCTTTGGCTTTGTTCTTTTTGCTTAGGATTGCTTTGGCTATTTTGGCTCTTTTTTGGTTCCATATGAATTTTACAATAGTTTTTTTTCTGATTCTGTGAAGAATGATGTCAGTAGTTTGATAGGAATAGCATTGAATCTGTAAATTGCTTTGGGTAGTATGGCCATTTTAATGATATTGATTCTTCTAATTCATAAGCATGGGATGTTTTTCCATTTGCTTGTGTTTTCTCTGATTTCTTTCAGCAGTAGTCACGCATTTTAAATATGGAGAGGCCCTTAAACGCAGTGGCCATATGTGATTGGTTCGGGAAATAGCAGTAACTACTGAAGGGGAACATTAAATACTGATTTTATTTATTTATTTATTTATTTTTGAGACAGATTCTTGCCCTGTTGCTCAGGCTGGAGTGCAGTGATGTAATCTTGGTTCACTGCAACCTCTGCCTCCCGGGTTCAAGTGATTCTCATGCCTCAGCCTCCCGAGTAGCTGCGATTATATGCGTGTGCCACCACGCCTGGATGATTTTTGTATTTTTACTAGAGACGGGGTTTCATCATGTTGGCCAGGCTGGTCTCGAACTCCTGACCTCAGGTAATTCTGCCTGCCTCCTAAAGTGCTGGGATTACAAGTGTGAGCCACTGTGCCCGGCCTAATTTTTGTATTTTTAGTAGAGATGGGGTTTCACTGTGTTGTCCAGGCTGGTCTTGAACTCCTGATCTCAAGTGATCTGCCTGCCTCAGGCTCTCAAAGTGCTGATTTTTTTTTTTAAATGTCTGCAGTTGGAGAGAAGTTGGCATGTGACAAGGAGACGTTACAGATTCCAGGTCAGAGGAGGCATTCGTTTGTGCATTATTTATATTACCTGAGTGTATTTTACCTGCAAAAGGGATACTCATGTAGAAAACCACACACAACAACATCTCCAACCTACATCCACTTGGGGGACAGCCAGCGTGCTGTGGGAGGGAGCTGGCTTGGTCCAGGAGCCAGGGTCTAGGCTCAGGCCCCTCCTGTTATACATGGCCTTGTTTTCTAACCTTCTGTTTTCTTATCTTCAAATATGGGGGTTGCTTGGCTATGAATCTGTGGTCTCCTGTGGCTCAATAGTCCTATTTTAGAGAAGCAGGTACCATGGCGGTTTCCTCAGGTCACTGAAGGCATCTTGAGCTTTTTGGGCAGAAACTTCACTCATACTGTGTGTTGCTGGGGACCCAAGTCTGGGTGTCAGTCTGCCAGCATCAGGACAACTGTTGGCTTCAAAATCTGAAACTTCATGGGCTCCTGGTCCTCATAGCTGCTGTGATAATTGTCTCATTCTCCTGGTGCATTTATAACAGGTTTCTTTAAAATGTGCACTTTCCCGAGAGTATCAGGAAACAATTTTTGTTAAAAAATTAAAAAGAAAAAAGTCCCTGCCGGAAACCTTGTCATATTTGGAGACTCAATCGTAGAGAAAGAATAAGGAGAAACATGTTTAATTGGATGAGTATTTTCTACTTTAGTGGGAAGTTTTTCTCTACTTAACTAACACTTCGTTTCCCAGCGTGATGACCACTAGCACTCCCCATCCCGTCCTCTCTGGCCCTCAGGCCCTGGGGTAGCCCCATGGCCTGTCTTTCCAGAAATTATGGAATTTGAAGAGAACCTGGGGTCATGGAAGATGAGGGACTTCACCGGGGCAGGCTGTGCTTGCATCCAGGTTGTAATAGCTGTTAGCTTTGTACTTTGGACACAGATGTAATTATCTAACATATGCAACAGACTTTCAAAAGTACTACTTACACCATCACCACCACCGTCATCACCACCATTACCACCGTCATCACCACAGCACTCCCTAGTTACCTTTGGGGGATGTAGGGAACCAACTCATTCTGATTTGGTAAATAAAGAGAAGCAATCGAGCATTTAACCTTTGGGAACTGTTCTTTGGAGTTTCCAAATAAAGGAAGAGGGAAAGTTGTATTGAAAGAAGAATTCCAGCTAATAAACCTTGAAAATGTGATAGGGTTAACATAGTGCCCTTTCCAAACTCCTAATAAATGACTGTCTGGCTCTAGGCTCTGGTCCTCTGTAACCTGCACTATCACAAAAGGGGAGTTAGACCATGGGTCATAGGGTTGTAAGCCTCCTTGCAGGAAGTACACAGCTGAGTCCTCACCCTAGCCAAGTCCTCACCAGAATCAAACCAGAATCAGACCCAGCCTCAGATCCATCTGCAACTGACAGGAAGTCCAGGGGCCAGGACATCTGTGAAGCCATACTGCAGGGCTCAGCGAAATCCAGGGCAGAGGGAATTCTACTGTGTGGAAACAACCCCAGTCTTTTTCAAATACATTGCAAAAAGAGGAGGAAGAAAAAGGAACTGGGTCGGGTGCTGTGGCTCACGCCTGTAATCCCAGCACTTTGGGAGGCCAAGGCAGGCGGATCATCTGAGGTCAGGAGACCAGCCTGGCCAACATGGTGAAACCCCATCTCTATAAAAATACAAAAATTAGCTGGTCTTGGTGGTGCACGTCTGTAATCCCAGCTACTTGGGAGGCTGAGGCAGGAGAATGGCTTGAACCCAGGAGGCAGAGATTGCAGTGAGCCGAGATTGTACCACTGCACTCCAGCCTGGGCGACAGAGGCTCCGTATCAAAGAAAAAAAAAAGAAAGGAACTGAAGTGACATATTGAATAAACATCGTAAGACTTTATTCAGACTGTAACTTAGACTGTAAAAATAAATCCAAACAACCCCAAAACACGTATGGCAGAGAAATTTGAACATGAATTAGATATTTTAAGAAATTATTCTTCACAATTCTGGCAGTTTGTTCTATGTATTAAAATGTTCTTGACTTTTATTTTTTTAAATTATTTATTTATTTATTTATTTATTTATTTTTAGACGGAGTTTCGCTCTTGTTGCCCAGGCTGGAGTGCAATGGTGTGATCTCGGCTCACAGCAACCTCCGCCTCTTGTGTTCAAGCAATTCTCCTGCCTCAGCCTCCTGAATAGCTGGGATTACAGGCATCCACCACCACGCCCGGCTAATTTTGTATTTTTAGTAGAGATGGGGTTTCTCCATGTTGGTCAGGCTTGTCTCGAACTCCTGACCTCAGGTGATCCTCCCACCTCGGCCTCCCAAAGTGCTGGGATTACAGACGTGAGCCATTGTGCCCGGCTTGACTTTTAAAGATATGTACTGAGATATTTATGGATGAAGTGATGTGATATCTAGGGTTAGCTTTAAATGGCACAGTTGGGTAGGGGGTGTCGGTGTATGGATGCAGTTGATTTGGGGACAAGTTGGTGACTGGAAACAAAGTGGTGGGACCTGGGGCTTCTGATCCGCGTGTCTCTACTTCACAGGGGCATTGTGCAGGGCGCAGATGATGTGTTTAGGCACAGAGCTCAGGCTGGCTGGTCACTGTTTTTATCATATGACACACCAGTGTTTCCCAAGCCAGCGTCCTTTCCCCCTCTTGCAGTTATCTTCCATGACCTAATGGCTTAAGACTTTTCCCACAAGTCTCCTGTGTGGCATTGAGCCGTTGACATCTGGGTGATAGCCCCTCAGCAGTGCTACAATGTGTCTTATTTGATGAAATGTTTCGCTGAAAACCCACTGAGTTTGTCAACACATGGCACAGAGTTCACAGGCTGCTTTGTAAAATAGTAACACTTGCTTCATAAAGCCTTTAAAGAAATCATTCTGAATAAAGGGTTGTTTCACACTAGCCAGGTACATTTTTACTTTTTTTCCCCTGGGAAAATCATACAACTCACTCACCAGGGAGATCAGCCTTGATAGGTTTTGTGCATGGAAGGAAATAGGGCCAAGGCGCAGGCATCCAGTGAGCACAGATTGTGATTCAAGAGAGTGAAGCACTTTGGAATATTAGGGGAGTTAAACATGGACTTGGACTTGTATGAGGTCCTGAGCTCCCCATCATTGGTGCCATTTAAGTAGTGGCTGGAAGTTATGTTGCAGTGTTCCTTCTTAGGGTGATTGGGAGACTGAGTGCAAATGATGGCAGAGGATGCAGTAATGAAGCCCGCATTGCATGTGGTGACAAGGTCGTTAGTATAAACCACACTGATGCACAAATATTTTAGGTCAGTGGATCTCAGAGTGTCATCTAAGACCAGCAGCATCAGCATAAACCTGGGAACTTAGAAATACAAACTCTTTGTGCCCACTCAGACCTGTTGAATCAGAAATTCTGGGATAGGGTCCCTAAGTCTCTCTCCTAATATGCCCTCCTGGTGGTTCTGATGCAAACTGAAGTCTGTTCAGCCTGTTCTAGGAGATGACTTGCTGGGGTGGGGCTGCCACCCGGGGCCACCTTGAGCAATCCTAGGGGTGTTGAGGGTGCTCGGGGCGTAGGGTTACTGAGAACTCGGCGGCCTCTGGGGTTTGGGTGACCTGACGTTTATGATTTCCTTCCACCTGAGAAACTCACATTCTCTGATGCCTTTCTTCTTTCCATCCCGGGCAGATGACTATTGGCTTCTGTCGTACGTGCTCCAGAAAATATTCTGATGCCAGAGTCCTCAGTGTGTTTGCCTAGAAAATGCTGTAAGCTTCTCAAGGCAAGGCATTGCCAAATCAATAGAGGTCCTCAGGTAGGGAACATAAATCTGGAAAAGAAGTGCACGTCTTTAGAAGAAGGCATCTGCAGCCTGAACTTGCCACCCTGGAGCTTCCTTGTCAGGAGGAAGGATTCCTCTAAGGCTTTGCTTTCTGTAGCAGCATGAGGCATCCTAGGGATGAAGAAGTAGAGTCAGGTAGATAAAAATTACGGGTGGACTAGGCTGTGATTACGGCCCTTTTAATAATGTTAGAGTAACAGGTGTATTAAGTGGGGGCATTAGAATTAGAAACTGGCAAGTTTCTAGCAATTTTAAATCTACAAATTTGAAGATTAAATTATAGTTGATTTTCATTACTTGTGGATTCCATATTTGCAAATTAGCCTCCTGGATACAATTTATTTGTAACACCAAAATCAATACCAAGGACAATTTTGTGGTCATTTGAAGACATGAACAAAAAGACTCAAAATTCGGGTTGCCCACCTGCATGTTCCCGTCTGACACTGAACAAAGCAAAGCTCTTCCTTGTTTCAACTCATACTGCAGACAGGCATCCTTTCCACAGTCTATTTAGTGCCACATTTCCCCCATTTTTGTGCTTCTGTTGTTGATTATGCTGTTTAAAATGCAAGTGTAGTGCTGATGTGATGTCCAGTGTCCCTAAGCACAAGATGACTGTCCTGTGCCTGGTGGAGAAAGCGCATGTGTTAGACAGTCCTTCCTTCAGGTGTGAGTTACAGCACCAATGGCTGAGAGTTTCATGTTAATGAATCCACAGTATTTATTAAATTAGGGTCTCTCTTTGTCACCCAGGCCGGAGTGCTGTGGCATGATCTCGGTTCACTGCAACCTCTGCCTCCTGGGTTCAAGTGATTCTCATGCCCCAGCCTCCTGAGTAACTGGGATTACAGGCATGCACAACCACTCCCGACAATTTGTACATTTTTAGTAGAGATGGGGTTTCACCACATTGGCCAGGCTGGTCTCGAACTCCTGACCTCAGGTGATCCACCTGCCTAGGCCTCTCAAAGTGCTGAGATTACAGGTGTGAGCCACTGCACCCGGCCAAGGTTATGCCTTGAAGCGGTTGGTGAAAATGCTGTGACTAGAGCTCGCAGGACCCTAACCCTGTATTTCTCCTAGAGACGGAAGCTCAGTGTTGGTCAAATCAGTGTTTGCAGCAACTTTATAGAACACAACTACTGCCAATAACGAAAATCAACTGTAATTGATTAGGCATTGATTAGGGTCCATTGTAGGACAGCCTCATTGTCAGGTTTTCACTTAATGATTCTTTCCCTGAGCTTTACTATCTGAGAGAACAGATCCCAGCCCACTTTCTGGCTGCCTTCTGTGAACCTATGATAGGCAATTTGCTTACAAACCGGAGAGGCAGGGAGAAGAGAGGCACAGCGGGGAGGAATCAGGGCAGAGGGCTAACTAGTCTTGGCTGTGGAGTTCTAGGGAGGTAGAAAAGTCGATGGTCCCTCGTGGTGGAGTGAAAGCTAAGACAGACCTGGCCTGTGTCCTAGCACTCCCCTTGCTGCAAATGGCCTCAGGTGGGCAAGCCTGGTCCTGGGTTTGAACTAGATGAAGTGACAGCCTGACAATGGGGCTGTCTTACTATGGAACCCTAGTCAATACCTAATCAATTACAGTAGATTCTCATTATTGGTGGTAGTCATGTTCGATAAAGTTGCTGCAAACACTGATTTAGCCAACACTGAGCTTCTGTCTCTAGGAGAAATAAAGGGTTAGGGTCCTGCGAGCTCTAGTCACAGTGTTTTCACGAACTGATCAACACATAACCTCGGCCAGGCGCAGTGGCTTATGCCTGTTTGAAAGTGGGGATGATAAGGGTTCCTTGCTCAGCAGGCTGCTACAAGGATGGAGAGAGAATACAAGCAAATCATGTTGCATTATGTCAGGAATAGAGTGGATGTGGAATAACTTGCTGTGACAATGATCGTTACTGGTATTAATACAGGGGCAACGAGGAGGGTCATTGCTGCTTGCATGTCACTTACTATGCATTTGGCTTCACATCCAGGCAGAATCTGTCATTTAAAGGGATCAGAATTTATAAGTGATTATTGAACTGAAGTATCAGTTAACTTGCGGAATCCTGAACCTTTCATTTAGGATTCCATTGTGTCTGAAAACCGGTAAAAGTAGCCACCTGTCTTTGACGTACCATCCCACCCTGTCTTTGAGTTCTCTCCAGGGTCTGGGGTTCCCTGTCCTGTTTTTACATAGTGTACATCTACAATGAGTCATTGAAATTTCCCATTTGGGGTTCCTCAGAGTGTAAGAAAGCTTAAAGATACTTAGGAATAATTGGAGCATAGAAATCCTCTGGACTCTGCCCCAGCTGCCCTACAGAAATTTGATGAGTTTTACTGACTGCCTCACGCAAGGCTCTCAAAAACTTCAGTGTTTGCAGCAGTAACAAATCCTTTTTTGCTCACATTTCATTGATTTCTGCAGTATTTTATTAAGCTCTGCAATTACAATAACTGGTACAACTGGCATTTGCAGGGTTGGGAGCAGACGCAGTGGTCATTTGGTCAGCTTTTGAATTGACAGAAGAAACACAGTGCGGGACTGCAGAGCCCAGCCTGCTGGCTTCAGGCATGCAGTGGGCATGCAGTGCCCGGCTCCTCAGTAGTAACAATGATGTTCCTGGACAGGGGTGGTGAGGAAGGCCCTGGGCCCCTTCGGTCTTCATCTAGTTCCTACTTCTGCACTGCTAGAGTCTTGGCTGACTGAGCCCCTCAGTGGGAGCGGGGACAGCCAATTCTCTAGTGCTCCATTGTGGAGCCCAGCCAGCTGGCTCAGGCCATGCATTCCATATTGTCTCATGGAACGAACAGGGAGACAGCAGATCCATGGTTGGTGGGAAGCCTGTAGAGGTGGTTTTGGAGTGACCTCATTTATGTGGTCCTTGGAGGGCAAGATGCAGTTTCATTCTAACCAGTAAGCAGAAAAGACTCACACATGAATGTGGCTTTGCTCAGCCTGGTTCAGCTTCCAATGTACTCATTTCTTGACATACAACACTTAATGCGGGGCTCACTGTCTTATGTTTACACCTGCCTGTGTCCCCTCATCTCACTGTAAGCTTCCCAAAGGCGGGAATATGCTCTTTCCCGTTTTTTTTCAACTCCAGCATTGTCAGTGAGACTGGACACATTCTAACAGCTGGAAAATAAATTTTGAAGTTAATTGCTCAATAAACTTATTTTCTCATG
The DNA here is from genome assembly GCF_000001405.40 of Homo sapiens. NCBI lineage: Eukaryota > Metazoa > Chordata > Mammalia > Primates > Hominidae > Homo > Homo sapiens. The sequence goes on along the minus strand of NC_000007.14, from coordinate 47,460,978 downwards.
GCGGGATCTATAGATCTGTAATGTTAAGGTATATGATGCACATAAAACCTCTCTGGTTTAGAGCACATCCTCCTTCAGCTTTATTGGAAGTTACTAGGTGGAGGAAGAGCTGAAAGTAGTTGGATATCTTGTGTCTTGATGCTCCTGCTGTTCCTCCTCCTTCAATATTTTGGCATGCCCATCAAATTGCCCAATCTTCCTAGTTACATTAACCAGCTTGACTTACTGGATTGTTTTCCCCACTGCCTCTCCCTTTTATTTAACACATTCAGGAGGAGGAGGCAACGTTTCCACGTGTGGCTAGGGGCCATTCCGGCCCCACACCTTATGCCACTCCTTGCTTTATTGCTGCTGTTCACAGTCAGCCTGGCTTCCTGCCAGGAGAGGGTGAAGTGAGGGGAGCGCAGGGCGGCAGGTGAGCATCTCCAGGCCACCTGCCCATCCTGGGAGCTGAAGGTTGCTCCTGGCAGCAGCATTTCCCAAACACCCACCAGGCATCTCAGAGCTTTCAGATGTCGTCTTAGTCAGCTTAGGCTGCCAAGACAAAGCACCACCGTGCGGGGCAGCTGCAGCAATGGGCGGTTATCACCCTCAGTCCTGGAGGCTGGAAGGCTGAGATGAGGGTGTCTGCAGGGTTGGATTCTCCTGAGGGCTTTCTCATTGGCTTGTAGGTGGCCGTTTTCTCCCTGTGTCCTCACATGGCTGCCCCTCTATGTGTGTCTGTGTCCTAATCTCCTCTTCTTTTTTTTTTTTTTTTTTTTTTTTTGGGACAGAGTCTTGCTCTGTCGCCCGGGCTGGAGTGCAGTGGTGCGATCTCGGCTCACTGCAAGCTCCGCCTCTCAGGTTCACGCCATTCTCCTGCCTCAGCCTCCCGAGTAGCTGGGACTACAGGAGCCCGCCACCATGCATGGCTAATTTTTTGTATTTTTAGTAGAGACGAGGTTTCACCGTGTTAGCCAGGATAATCTCCTCTTTTTATAAAGACACCACTCATACTGGATTAGGGCCACCCTAATGGTGTCATTTTAACTTAATCACTTCTTTAAAGATCCTGTTTCCAAACTGTCACCCTCTGAGGTCCTGGGCACTAGGACTTCAACATATGGATGTTTGTGGGAATGCATTTCATCCATTAACAGATGGTACCAGGCATTTTGTCAGTCTCCAGTGGGGAGGAGGACGGTGCTACCTTTGCCAGATATGGTGGGTAATAAATCATAAACTTGAAGTTATGGTCTTGATTATGGAACAGATGAGTCCTCTCTTCCACTGCCCTGCCCCTCCTTCATTAATCAATCAGTTTATAAATATTTATGTCCTGGGGACCTCTGATGCACCAGACACTGGGCCCTGTGTGGGGATATGGAGGCCTGCCGTGGTTCTCTTGTGGGGGAATTTACATTCTAGGACACTCCAGTGGCATAGTCCACTTGGGGCCTGAGACTGACCTGGGAGGGGATGAAGGTGCTTGCAGAGAGGTTTGGAGGTGCCGTTTTCTCCTCTGCTGTGTTCTCTGGGACACTGGTTTCATAACTATCCAGACACTTCAAGTCTCTTTACCTTTGACAAGATAGTTTCTTTTTTGGAAAGGGGATAAAATATGCTTAAATAGAAAAAGATGGAATGGGTTTCATGTTTTGTATGTTTCCTCTTCTCTGGGATGATGCATGTGGTCCTGGAAGTCACAGCACTTTCTAGAGGAAGTCCTAGTGATGTGGACCCCAAAGCACATGGCATCTCTGGGTGTTTATCCCGAGGCAGCCACTAAGGATGTTAACATTTTAAACTATAGAATGTTTCTCATAGCATCATTCATAAGAGTGGGAAATTTGAGACCAAAAAACATGCTGTTAAAGAGGGATTATGTTCCATCTGGATAATTGGGTACTATGCCACTGTTAAAAATTGCAGTGCAGAAGAAAATATAGTGATATGGACATAAAGCACCATTTGGCTTTTAAATAAGTATGGGCGGAAGAAAGTCGCCCGTACTTATTTAGGGGTCCATCCTATCTGGCTAAAGTTGGTTATCTTGGGGTATGGGAGGGAGAGAGAGGCTGATTCTGTCTGCTTCTTTTTGTATATGTCTACTTTCTGAATTTTCTATAACCAAGTAACTTTTATCATAAGAATGAAAGTAGGTGGTACTTGTTATTTAAAAAGCTGGTTCTCAGAGCTAGCCTCTCAAGGGCAGTGAGGCCCTGCTCTTCAGCCACAGGGGTCTACACAGGCTCCTCAGATGGCCTGGGACCTACATGCCTGGGGTCTGACTCCCGAGCTGCAAGCCTGCACCTGCGGGAAGGGATGGGGGGACTGCTTGTTCCTCATGCAGAAGGCTTCGTCTGTGGTTGGCTTGTGCTCACAGGAGGTGGCTTGAGCAGCCCCGTTTTTCACAGCTCATCCCAGCGCAGACTGATTTTATTTCATCTTGTTTTATATTACATTTTATTTTATTATCATTTTCAGATCCAATTTGTACAGGACATCTAATCTCTCTGGGATAGAAATGAGGGAGAAAAAAGGTTGGGGCATCCAGGAGGCACAGCTGTTCTAAATGTGAGCCACTGACTCATGAGGCACTTCCAGATGGAAGCCTCAGAGGTTAGAGGACACATCTGTCCCCATGTTTAAAAGGGAAATGGATGCCCTGTGCTCAGCTAGTGAAGCTGCCCTTTGGCAGAGCCCCAGGTGACTGTCCCATGGCGTGTGTGTGTGGGAGTTGGGAGGAGCCCGTGGGCCCTGGCCTAGAGCACTCATCCTGGGCAGACGTGGCCTCAGCTGACTAACCAGATGACCTTGAACGGGTCAGTTAGATACCAAGGACATTATTTCCTCACCTGTAAGAAATTGAGTAAGATCACCCATGTTTCTGTGTAGTGTAAACGTCATGTATGTGGCATATTGACATTATTTTGGCATGAGACGTACTGTCTCAATAGGTTTTAGGATTGACCTGAGCAGATATACTTCCTTTTTTTGGTGCCTCAGACTATGTCCTCTTCCCAGAGTCTCCTGATAGGCTCAAGCTTCTGCTTGTGAGCTGCTAGGAGCAAGTTCAGGGTGCACCTGAGGACAGTGCTGGGTCCCTGTCATTGTCCCTGTTTTTACAGATGAGGACACTGAGGCGACAGGGCTCACTGACTACCCAGAGTAACCTGTCTGTAGGGCAGAGCTAGGATTTGAGTCAGGCTCCCTGCCTCCAAGTCCTTTCCCATGGTCCTTCAACTGTAATACGCTCTGCCTCTGCAGAAAGGATGAGTGGTGGTAGATGGATGGAGGGCACCATAGTGTGTAGTGGTTGGAGGGGACTGACTTGGAGCTCTATAGAAATAGGGAGCATTCTAGGTGCTTGAGTGGCAGGAAACCATGGTGGTGATGGGTTTTTGATAGCTTGGGTTTCAGAAGTGGTAACGAAGTTAATTTAGTGGAGAAAGTGGGAAGATGAAAGGGAGAGTGATTAGGAGGAGTGGCCTCTTGGAGGCTGTTGAAGCTATTTGGAGTGAGAAGGGCCTGTCTCTGAGATAGGTTGCCTATCCATGACGTGTGTGGAAGTGGGGAGGAGCTGTAGGCCCTGGCCTAGAGCACTGATCAGGTCAATTAGATATCAAGGGCATCATTTCCACACCTATAAAAAGAGAACATTTTAGTGAGGAATTGAGTGAGATCACTCACACATCCCCACTCCATCTTCAGTGGAATTACCCAGCTAGCTTAGAATGAACCATGGTGGCAGTATTTACGCCACAGGAATGGACAGAGGATACATCGAGGTGGTTGCCTCTCCCCTCCCCTCCCCTCCCCTCCCTTCCCCTCCCCTCTCTTCCCCTCCCCTCCCCTCCCCTCCTCCCCTCCCCTCCCCTCCCCTCCCCTTTACCAGCACACCTCCAGGGATAATGATATGGGAAGAATTGAGCCCACACTGAATATTTTAAAAGACATTTATAAAGAGAGATTATCATTTTCTTAAAAGAAAGGGGTAAGGTAGGGAGAAAGTTACTATGATACTGAATTGTCCTACACAATGGGAGTCCTTGGAAGACAGTCTCGTTAATGTCATTCACTAATACTCATAACCTTCAAAAGGGCTGAGAAACACTCAAGGAGGAAGAGCTGAAAGCGTCCTTAAGGAATGGGGACCTGTTGTTACCCAGCTGGTTCTCACTGTTGGAGCTCCAGATGTGGAGGGGGTTGGCTGAGGTGAGCAGCAGGTGTGGGGCAGCGAATGTCTCGTGGGCTGTGTTGTGTGTGTGCTTGCCGGGCCTGCACCTATACGTGCTGGTCCTTGAGCGTTCCCTGTTGCTGTCTCAGCATCATTTACCTCCTCAGCTTCAGGGGACCTGGGTCTGTTGGCCTTGTCTTCCTTCTCCTCACATCCTGAATGGATGCCCTCCTGGCCTCCGTTGATTGCCCCAATAGTAATAATGTAATATACTAGTAAAAGCTGGCACGTGTTGAGCATGTGTGGTGTTCCAGGCACAGTATTAAGCACTTTGCATGCTTACCTTACTTGATCTTCCTAGAACTCTGCATTATGTGCCATTTCCACCCCCATTCCCCAGGTGGGGAATCTGAGGCTTCTAGAGGACGAATATCACGGGGTTGCTGGTGAATGTTTAATAGAGGTTTTCCAGGTAAAAGCTCGGTCGGCAGTGTTTGCTGATTTCTTTGGTATAAATACTCCCCCCATTGCTGATTTCAACCTCCGACCTGATGTCTGGGAAGTGCACCCTGGGCTCCTGGAGCCTGCTGGAGCCACTCCTGATGCCACTAACAGATGAGGTCCAGGTCAGCAGCTGTCTGCTCTTGGGCCTGACATTTCCACCTATGTCGTCCACTGCCCAGTGTTCCCCTTATATTAATCTTGCTGCTGCTACTACCACTAAACCTTGTTAAAAACAATTGAGATTGTGTCACTCCCCTATGCAGAAACTTCTGACACCTTTCATCGTCATGGATTCATCATCTGGCATTTGGGCTCCTTGAGCCCGGGCTTGAGCCTCTTTCTCATGCATCCTGTGAGCATGGCGTGTGTCACTCCTGGCTGCCCCACCCACCACACGCAGTGTGCCTCCATTTCTCTGCCCAGACTCTGTCCTCTGAAGGAATTTGCTCCTCCTGCCCCACCTCTGCCACAGGCGCCCACTTTGTATCAGATGCTTTCTAGCCATCCTGGCCTATCCCAAGAGCTGCCCTGATGGATCTGCAAAGTGGCCGTGGTTTCTAGAGCTGGAGACGAGCTCTTCTTCTCCCAGGTGCCCATCGCCGCCACCTCTGGCACTGCCTTCTCTCTCCTTTATGGGGTCTTAAATGTGTACTTATCCAGCACCTCCAGGACAGGATTCTCATCCATTCAGTTTTCAGTCCATCCTGGTCTTTCCCCTCTGTCACACCTGCATTCTCCCTGCAGTGCCTGAAATGGGCTAGCCCTCCTGCAAATACTTGTTTGCATTTGTGGATATGAAAGGGAAGCAGGGCTGCTCAGAGCCCTCTCTGCTTGTTGTTTCCAGGGTTATCCATATGAATCTGATTATTGTGGGATAAACTCCAGGTTAAGGCTGCTCTGTCAGTGTCAGTGCAATTCATTAGCTCTTCATTCTAAAGCAAAAGCCCTGCTGTGCCCTTCTGGGTGTGGAGGCAGGTATGGTCCTGGTCTGAGTTGGGGTGATCCTCTCAGCATTCTCTGGGCAGCCCCTTTGCCCATCAGAGTTGGCCAGGCTGGGGTGGGTGAATTAGGCCCTTCCCTCAGCCTTGCAAACATTGAGCTATTGTATGGAACCAGCTGGCTGCAGGGCCAGAGACCTATCTCTGTGGCCCATGGTGGTCAGCATCTGTGGGTCTTGCCCCCGTCAGCACCCCCGACATCCCATGTGGACAGGACCAGGTATCTGTATGCTGGGGGTTTGGTGGGGCTGTCCTTGGGATGCCTGTGCTGTGCCCTGAGGGGCTGGTTTCCAGGCTCTCTGCAGGGGGATCTGTGTGAGTTTGGGTGGGACATCTAACAGGACAGAACGCAGCTCTGCAGGGCATACTCCAGAGTGGACTCAGCATACATAACCCCTCCCACCTGCTGCAGGGCACTTTCAGACTCCGGAGATGACTGACATTAACACGGGCTCATTAACAATGTTGTCACCTTCTAGAGAAGGCACTTCCCTCCCAGGCCGCCCTTGCTAACTTGCTCGCCTATGGATGGGAGCCCCCTGCCTGGCTCTGCCTGGCTGGCCGCTGCCTGCAGTTGAGGACACTCCCATTGGGGGTACTTTGAGAGAGCTGGCTCTCTAGGGCTCGGCCTGTTTTCTGTCACCATGAAGTAAGGAATAAACTGGCCTGTCCTCAGGGTGCCACACCCTGCCCAGCTGTTGCCCCCCCAGAGCAGCCCCTCCCCATGGCCTTTCCTCCATTGTAAAATGCGGGAGTTGGACTGGAAACAACACATGCAACCCTCCTCTCTCCCCCAGGGCTGATGATGAGTGCTGCTGGCTTGGGCTTGGTGCCTTGAGGCATCTTCTTAGTCCCCACAGAGATCCTGGGAGGCTGGTGGTGTTGTCAGCTAGTTTCACAGAGGTGGAAACCAATGCTCGGAGGAGTTAAAGTCCTGTTTAGTGTCTCCGGGTCTGATGACTGTGGCCAGTAAAGGGACAGGTGGTCCTATTTTGACCCCCTGCCGTCACTGCTGTGTCTGCCCCTGCCAAATGGTGGGCAGGTGGCAGGAAGCGCAGGCTGCCTTGTGGAGCTGAGCCTGGTCTGAGCAGTGCACCCCTGGCTAGTTATAAACTGGGGCCCCCTGTTTGTGTTCAGCCTGGAAGGAGACACCACGTGGTTTCCAGTGGAATGGGCGCCCCCAGAACACCCTGCCCACTGATAGGGTTATGCTGGGGGCCCAATGAGGCCCTCCCCACCTCCCCTCCCTTGGTCCACTTTTCTATGTGAAGAAATGTTTTCGTTATGAAATAAGTGATAAAAATAAAAGAATGTAAGTGCATGTAAGATGTTACAAAAAAGCACACACAAATCTCCCTGTCAGTTAAAGGGACGTGACTGACCATGTAGTCATGAGATCAGTGAGATCAGTTTAAACAGCTGCCTGGGTGAGTCTAACAGCTGAGGACACGATGTGGCCCGGGCTGGCCACCCTTCCTCTTAGCTCTGAGTGCTAAGTGAGGAAATAAACCCGCCTCGGGCAGGTCCGGGACTCTATGTCACCAAGATCTGCCGTGTATCCGGCCTCCATCTCCCGTTTTGTAACTCAGAACCGTCTGGTGCCTCATTCCCATAACTGAGGTTTCGCTGCATACCTTTCCTTCTCTCTGGCCTGGCCACTCTTGTCTTTAACCCTGTTTTTGTGCTTGTTTATTGGTTTGGTTTTTATTTTAAAAATTTTATTTAGTTATGTTGAATTCATTCGATGAGTCATCTCAAATTCTATTTGGAATGAAGTGGAGCAAAAATGAACTAAGGAAGGAAGTGGTAAAGGAGAGAATGGGGTTGGGGGAGAGGAAGGAAAGAGGGAGGGAGGAAGGCCAGTGGGCATCAGGCATCTGTTACCTGGGATACAGAGGTGAGTAACCTGCCCTCCCAGCAGCTCGAAGTAGGTTTTGTTTTTCCTGGGGGAACTTTTGAGAGGCGGTTCTCCCTAGTGGCTAGTCCCCAGGAAGGCACAGCCACTCAGCTTCCTGGTCAGAAGGCTCTCCCGGAGAGCGCTGTTCTTGTTCCTGTCCCTCAGGCCCTTGGCAGGCTGGCCCTCGGCAGGCTGGCCCTCAGCCCCGGGCGGACATTGTCCTGTGAGCTCCATGCCTGCGTGCTCACCGTGGGGCCGGGCACACCTGCCAGCTGCTCCTGGCTGTGGTTCTGGGGACTCCCACACTCACCAGGCTCTCCCACCTGGTGGGCTATTCCAGCTGCCTCCTTTATGCCCAGAGCTGCCGAGACATTAACACGAAGAGGGGTGTGCTTGACTAAAGCAGGGGAAGGAGCGAAACGTAGGAGGAGCTGTTTCTGGAAGGGAAAAGCAGCCCTGGCCGGTGGTCCCTGCCCAGGCCCAGCACAGTAAGTTCCCAACTCCCCACGTGCCGCCTCTCGGCTGGGCTGGCACTGGGCACTTTGTCTGTCCCTGGCCACCCTCCTCTGTGGCCTCCGGTACTGGCTGCTTTGCAGTGAAGGGGCATTTCCAAGTCATTTTTCCCCTTTCACTTCAATGCTGCAGATGTTCGGTGGGACCTTGTGTCCTAAGAACCATCCGCCCCATCTGCCCCTTCTTGGGAAACTTATTTGTGAGAAGAGCAAAGGGGAGCTTCCGACTTCTTTGGAAATGCTGACATCTCTGTGTCCTCCCTGAGTGTTGCTTACCTCTCCCTGCTGCCAGTCTTCCTGAGCTGCCTCCTTCCATATGGTTCCAAACCAGCCTGAGCTCCTGGCCAGGGAGGCAGGATCCTGTGACTATTTCGTTACAAATAAATAGAGATACAATCTTAGTCTGTTGTTTCTCATAGTTGAACATGAAGGTAAAATGACAAGATGACTTTATTTTAGTTTCCCACCCTCCATGGGGTGTACTTTCTCTGGCAGTTCTTAACGATTGCTGCTTATGTTTAAAAGCATTAAGCAGAAAATCAAGTTGGGCAATCCTGACAATTAATTGGTTCCTGGTATTCTTGTTCTGGAAGGGAAAAAAATGTCTTATTAACTGTGTGGCTTTGGGAAAATCACTTACCCTCTCTGAGCATTGTTTCTCCTACTGTTAAATGGGCATTGTGGTCACAGCTGGTTTTGTGATCTAAGGGGGATCCTAATAACTTGTGGATAAAGTGCATTTCCAGGGCCTCACAGAGGCCTGACACAGAAATAAGATGATGGAATAAGTAGCTAATATTTCTTTGGCACTTATTACTGGCCAGGCACTGTTCTAAGCCCTATGTTTATGTTTCCTTATTTAATCCTTCCAAGAATGCTGTTTCTGTCTCCCTTTTCCAGATGAGAAAACTGAGTCACACAGAGGGCAAGTAAATTCCCAAGATCAGACGGCTTACTCGAGCAGTAGAGCTGGCTGCCTACCCAGGCATTAGTATTACAAAGAGTGTGTGCTGAACCCCCAAGTCGTATGTGCTGGGTGGTGGAGGAATCAATGAAGGATGAACAAATAAATGCCTTGAAATTTGCCAGCTGAATGTTGTTCAGGTTGTTGCCTTTGAAAAAGATTTTACATTTATTTCTTCTCCATTTGCTTGGTGAAACAAAAACAGAATGTGCAGAGGTGTCTCAGCCCAACCTGTTTAATTGTCCTCACCTCACACATGGCCCGGCAGCTGTGATCTGTGTCTCTCGTCACCGGGCTGTTCATAGTCCTGCTTCCTTGTGGATTTATCCGTGGCTTTTGTTTCTTTTGATTTATTTATTTATTGGAGATGGAGTCTCGCTCTGTTGCCCAGGCTGGAGTGCAGTGGCACCATCTCGGCTCACTGCAATCTCCACCTCCTGGGTTTGAGCGATTTTCCTGCCTTAGCCTCTGGAGTACCTGGGACTACAGCCACATACCACCACGCCCGGCTAATTTTTTGTATTTTTAGTAGAGACAGGATTTCGCCATGTTGGCCAGGTTGGTCTCGAACTCCTGGCCTCAAGTGATCCATTTGCCTCCACCTCCCAAAATGCTGGGATTACAGACGTGAGCCACTGTGCCTGGCCTTTTGTTTCTTTTTACAGAGCTGTTTACACTGCTAGTTTTCAGGGCTGGTCAGGCTGCTAGGAGCAGCGCACAGGCCCTGGGGACACCCAGGGGAGCTGATATTCTCTTTGCAGGCTTAGGCCTTGCTGGGATTCCTAACATGACGTCCATAAAAGGGCTGCTTTTTCTTATTTTTTAGACAGCGTCTCAGGCTGGAGTGCAATGACATGATCTTGGCTCACTGCAACCTCCACCTCCTGGGTTCAAACAATCCTCCTGCCTCAGTCACCCAAGTAGCTGGGTTTACAGGCACCTGCCACCACACCTGGCTAATTTTTGTATTTTTAGTAGAGACGGGGTTTCATCACGTTGGCCAGGCTGGTCTTGAACTCCTGACCTTGTGATCCCCTGCCTTGGCCTCCCAAAGTGCTGGGATTACAGGTGTGAGCCACCATGCCCTGCCAAGGGCTTCTTTTCTTTCCTCTTCACCAAAAGCCAGTGAGGACAAGGAGAGGCAGGGAACGGGGTGCCATGTTTAACCTATCCTGGCACTGCCCTGCACCCATATTGGCCCCTGGGTAAGCAGGAGTGAGGGCCAGTGCTAGTTACTGCTTCTTTGGCCAGCCTGGGCTGTAGCTAGAGGCCTGGCAGATAGTGGAGACCTGCTTTCTGCCAGTGGTCAGAGCCCCCCTGGGAAGAGGGATGGTCACCTCTGCTCCAGGGTCTTGGGTCTTAGGGAGGCAGAGATGCTAAGGGGACTGCTTCTTAAAGGGTAGTCTTGGGGAATTATGTGAGAAAACACTTAAAAAATGTGTATTACCGTTTTCAGTACTTGAGTAGGCACAGGGTACTGAGGTCAGCTCAGTGGGTGAGAAAAATCCACAGTTTATAGTCATGTGTATCCAAGTCACACTGTTAGCTTTTACCGAGCTGTCAAGCTGATGCTTAACCACATTGCTATTCTGTGGGCACTGTCTTCCTAAATAGGCCCCAGTTATTCCATGTTATGACCTTGGGAAGGAGCAGATGTCACTGCTTTTCATCCTATTCTTCTTTTAGATAAGCCTGTTAAAGTCAATGGGTACATTTATTTTTGTTAACCCAAAACTAAAGCTAACTAGCTGTCTGTTATTGAAATCTAATAACAGCATCCTCATGCCTCTTCAGATGGCCAGATGACTCCACAGCCACTTTGGGATTAGTGGTTCGTTTCTTCCTTTCTTCATTCTACAGACTGCTGTGCTGGGTGGCTATTGTGTGCAGAGTGCGGCCCCAGAGGCTAGAGATACCTCTGGGAGCTAGACTGCCAGTGCCTCTGCTGGATCCGCATGGGAGGGGGCTGTAGAGCTCAGACGAGAATTCACAGTTAGTTGTTTTCTTGCAGTTGTGGTCGGCACAGTAAAGTAGACCAGGGCTGGGCGTGGTGGCTCACGCCTGTAATCCTAACACTTTGGGAGGCCGAGGCGGGCATATCACCTGAGGTCAGGAGTTCAAGACCAGCCTGGCCAACATGGTGAAACCCCATCTCTACTAAAAATACAAAAATTAGCCGGGTGTGGTGGCGGGCGCCTGTAATCCCAACTACTGGAGGCTGAGGCAGGAGAATCACTTGAACCCGGCAGATGGAGGTTGCAGTGAGCCAAGATCACCCCACTGCACTCCAGCCTGGGCAACAGAGTGAGACCCTGTCTCAAACAAACAAACAAAAACAAAACAAAAAGGAGACCAAAGTAGAAAGGAACATATGACTCAGGTCGGGTAGGGAGATCAGATTATGCTTTGCTGGAAGTTGCCATCTGAGCCAAGTGCTTGAGAAATCACAGGAGTTAACCAGGTAAAGCTGGGATACATGAATGAGGAGCATTCTAAACTGTGTGGTATGTGCAAAGAACCTGGGGCAGGAGGAAGCACAGCAGGTAAGGTAGGGACAGGGAGTGAGGGAGGCACATGAGGAGGCAGGGGCTGGCTCACCCAGGGCTCTGAGGACCAGGCTGAGCACCTGCCTTTCACCCCATGGCAATGGGACGTCAGTGAAGGATGCTCCATTTGAAATGCCGCACTAGCATTAATTGCACGACATAGGCTTGGTTTGCTGCAGCTGACTCTACTCTTCACACTGCCTTCCACCTGCAGGATACGCACCCGTGCCAGGCGCACAGTGCTGAACGTCGAGCAGTGACTTCCCTGGGCAGTAGAGATTCTGTACAGTTTAACTGGATGTATCGGCAACATACAGTGCAAGGCTCAGGGACAATCTGCAGTGAGCAAGGCTGGCTTGTTAGTCTCAGGCAGGCATTGGACATTTTTGTCTTTATTCTGTGAACAGTCTCACAAGGGAGACATCATTGTCCCGCTCCACAGATGGGGTCACTGAGGCTCATGAGTGCCCTGGCCCAAGATTCTGCAGCTGGCAGGTGGTGTGGGACTCACACCCAGGTCTGTCTGATTTCAGATTTCATTACTATACTGTGAGGTTTTGGAAACTGTTGATTTGTTCAAACAAGCAGTCGAAGGACATAGGTTAAAAAAGAACCAAATTCTGGCTGGGAGCGGTGGCTTACGCCTGCAATCCCAGCATTGGAAGCCGAGGTGGGTGGATTGCCTGAGGTCAGGAGTTCGAGAGCAGCCTGGCCAACATGGTGAAGCCCTGTCTCTACTAAAAATACAAAAATTAGCCAGGTGTGTTGGTGGGTGCTTATAATCCTAGCTACTCGGGAGGCTGAAGCAGGACAATCGCTTGAACCCAGGAGGCAGAGGTTGCAGTGAGCCGAGATCGTGCCACTCCATTCCAGCCTGGGTGGCAGAGTGAGACTCTGTCTCAAAAAAAAAAAAAAAAAAAAATCGAATTCCCACCAGAGTTGGGCTCTCATTGATTACAAGCTTGTCTCGAAATTAACCTTCCTGTCAGGTGGGGGCTCCCAGATCCTCAGCTGTGGAGAGGAACATCAAACCAGCTGGGATCCCACCCCACCTGGGGAGGATCCCATGTCTCCCTGGGACGTCGTGGACTTCAAGGAAGTTTTGTTGCAGAGGGAATGGGGCCTGTGTCTTTCACTCTTCCCTCCTCCCTGTGCTCCCCCTCTGCATGCCCCACATGGGTGAGTGCAGAGGAGGCTGCTGGCTTTCTGGTGAGTGTGCTTACTCCTGCCCGGGTGGTGGCCATGGTGTTGATGTGACAGCCAAGGGAGCAGCTCCAGGGATGGCTGCTCTGGAAATGTGCTTTGGCAGTGGCCTTGGGGAATCTCCAGTGGCCCTTTCAGTCCCAGCAGTCCACAGCCTCCCCTCCTTCTGCCAGGGCCCCCAGCCTCCTGCTGTCTTCTCTGCCTTCTTTAGGTGGATGTGCTTGGCTCTTCCCTTGTTCTGCTCCCAGATGTGCAGAAAGACTCTTTGAAGCTCAGGTCTTCCTTCTGATCAGGGCTGTCCTCCTGAGCAAGAAGCCGCAGTTCACAGTGGAAAGCATGGTTCTCATAGAGATACTAGAGCGAGCATCATCACATGTTCTAGAGTTGTCCGCTGGTCTTGGCAAATGGCGCGTGGTGGGGTGGGGCGCTGTGGGATGGGATGAGGCTTTAGGGTAGGGTCTTTAGGGTGAAGCCTAGGGTGTGCTAGGATAGCGCACTGCAGGATGGCGCCCTGCAGGAGGGCACAGCGGGACTGAGAACTGTAGGGTCACTGCAGGACCATGTGCCATAGGGCCACTGTGAAAAGCAGGTTTGCCCTAGTGTGCCATGCGTGGATTGCTAACTCCAAGGTGAGGTCGGGACATGAGCGCACAGTCCTGGAAAGAGGAGGGAGATGAGGCCTAGGCGAGTGGAGGACCTTTCCTGAGGCTGCAGGTGCCAAGCGGTGGACCCTTAACTTGGACCCAGACTGCCTGATGTGGAGCCTGTGTGCTTTGCCATAAGGCTAGGCTACTTTCTCCCAAAAGAGGTGTTTTTGCCTTCCTGCCGCTTAGTCTGCTCTCGCCCACTGCTGTGACACACTAGGAAGTGCTCTGTCCTGGGCAACAGAGCAAGACTCCATCTCAAAAACAAACAAACAAACAAACAAACAAACAAACAAACAAACATATGTGGAACCAGAATGACCCTCCAGGCAGTGCATCTAATTTTTTATCTGAGGAATGCCTCTCCTCACTTTTCACTCACTGACTCAGGGAGTCCAGGACTGGGATGACCTCCAAGTGTTTGATCCACAGCTGTCATTTTACCGGAAGAGAAAGGGAGTTTAGTGACCTCATTGACCTCATTGAGCCCATGGGGCCAGTTTGTCACGTGGCCAGGATGAGCTCCAGGACCTGTAGAAGGAAAATGCTTCTAAAGAGCAGTCTGGCCGGGCACGGAAGCTCATGCCTGTGATCCCAGCACTCTGGGAGACCGAGGCCAGTGGATTGCTTGAGCGTCAGAGCAGCCTGGACAACATGGCGAGACCCCCATCTCTACAAAAAAAAAACAAAAATTAGCCGTATTTGGTGGTACATGCATGTAGTCCCAGCTACTTGAGAGGATGAGGTGGGAGGATGATCTGAGCCCGAGAAGTCACTGAGAGGCTGCAGTCAGCCGTGATCATGCCACTGCACTCCAGCCTGGGCGACAGTGAGACTCAAAAAAAAAAAAAAAAAAAAAAAAAGGCAGCCTGGAACAGGGCGGTCTTTGCAGGCTTACCTTTTGCAGGTTTAACCTTAACCACAGATTCTACCTGGGCCTCCCTTTTCTCTTTCTCTTATTTGGGTGTTGAAGGCTGTGATAAGAGCATGCCAACAGGGACACAGGTGAGGGAGGCATGGGCTGGGCAGAGGCTGGGTGGGAGGCTTTGCTGTCTGGGTTTTTTCACCCTGGAAAACAAGAGAACAAAAGAAGCAACTTGTGTTTCTATCTCATGGAAACTCTAATCACTAAGGGCTTGGATTTGATTGACATTGGCGATAGGGTCCACAAGGAAACCACAGCTTGGGAAGGCTTCTGAGGACGTGAGCAGGCAGCTCTCTTTTCAAAACACCTAGAGAGTGGAACCTTGCCTCTATTAAAAATACAAAAAAATTAGCTGGGCATGGTAGCAGGCACCTGTAGTCCCAGCTACTTGGGAGGCTGAGGCAGGAGAATGGCATGAACCTGGGAGGTGGAGCTTGCAGTGAGCTGAGATCGTGCCACTGCACTCCAGCCTGTGCAACAGCAAGACTCTATCTCAAAACAAAACAAAACAAAAGAAAAAAACACCTAGAGAGTGAGTTTGCAACACAGATTTGCAGGACTGGTGCCTACAAGTAGAGAGAGTTTTTTAAACCTTATATGAGGTTAGGATTTCGGGTTTCTCAGGAGCCAGGTTTAATATAACCTATAGCAAGTTAGTTTCTCAGTCATCCTTCAGTCATGAAATGCATTATGGTGCACACACAGGGTTTAGATTTGTGCAACCCAAGTGTAGGTGTATTGTTTACTTTCAAATAAAGACTTACAGTGACATTGTATCCCTGAGTCTCCTCTTGACAAGCACAGTATTTCAGAAACTCTTGGCGGCAGTTCCAGTTCAGTATGGGGCCTGGTTCTCATTTTAGTCCAAGTCAAAGCAGCTGAGGGGGTTCTACCCCAGTGTGTCAGGGGGACCTGTCATAGGCATGTCCTCTACTTGGTTCCAGATTTAACCCCTGAATGATTCAGGGGGATTTTAGTCACATGAGATCTCAGACGCTGACTTGGAAGTGATGGAAGGGCCATAGTTTCTCTGCCCTTTTTGGCACGGGGCTAGAACAGCTCCCCCAAGCAAGAGTCTTTTATCCTCACTGATGTTCATGTGATTCAGGGGCAGCCTGTGCAGGAGAGGGTGTGGACCACCTGAAAGCCAGGAGATGGAAGGAGAACAGAGTTTTGGTGTCAGAAGGTGCTACTGCAGCTTAACTGTGGGATTCCAACACGTCCGCCCACCAAATCCTCATTTCCTCATCACCATCCCTATGTTACCAACCTGTAACATGTAACATAGGGGTGGTGATGTCTGCTTACTGGGGTTTCTGCTGGGCTCCGTGCAATGCTCTTCAGGGTTGTGCTATGGAAGCTGCTGAGCACCACATGCCTTGGAGGTGGCCAGACCTGTGTTTGCACATCTGGAGGCATGAGGTGGACAGATGCGGGTCTGGGGCTGGGGATTTGAGTGGGTGTCAAGCTGTCTGTGTTTTTGGAGGGTGGCCCTGAGCTGTGCTGGGTTTCTCGCCTCGATTTTAAGTGGATGTAGACTTACATAGAAAATTGGGTATGTTGGGGGACGGGCTGAATTCCTCCTTCCTGCCCCTCTTCCCAATACAGAGGTTAAGGAAGGGGTGTCTCTGGGCAATGCTGGGACACTTTACAGGAACCCTGCATTTCCGAACACTTCATGTAAGCAACTTTGTGCAATTCAACACTTTCTGACTTTTCACCAGCTCAGGTGCTGGGGCCTCCCTGTGGTGATAGCACAGATTACAGTTTCCTCCATTGGCCTTGACCTTAGAAATTATATAACTATTGGTTTAAAAGGTTTTTTTTGTTTGTTTTTTTGGCAGTGGTTGCAATTTGTATGGTTTCGGGGTTTGAACATTGGAGTTACTGTATCGAGGCCTATAATGCTGAATTGGATTCAGAGACTATTGGATTGAGAAGATCCCGTGGGTCTGTCTGACCTGCCCTTCTCACTCTGCAGCTGAGGAAATGGGCCCTGGGTTCCGTCAGGGACAGCAGAGTCCTCATGCCTTCTGGGACCCTTCCCTCCTTCCCTCCTGCCGTCAGGGCCCCGCCTGAGGGACGGTGACACTCCTACCCCATCACGTTGGTGCCGGCAGTGAGCAGTCACGTATTTGTGTGGTTGTCATCTTGGAATGATGTGTCATGTGAGAGTTAAATAGTTTTGCCCCATGAGTTATATAATGCTGTTTATATGTTAAGTTGCGTGCCAGTCTTTCACGGTCAAATGATAAGCGTGACATAGGGTCTGAAGCGACAGCCCACTTGTAGGAACTGGGCCAGTGTACTCCAGCATGGCATTGCAATGGGAGTCACTGTATTTTGGATGCGTGGTCTGGTGAAGATGTGGGACACATATAGTCAGATCCTGGTGGGTTCATGTAAGACCCAGGACCATGGTCGATCAAACTCCTTGCTGTTCTCCCCTGAGATGTTGGCTTATTGAATACTTTTTTGAATTAAATGGGACCCTGGTTAAGCTGAGTTTCCCCATAATGAGATTGGCTCTATTAGGATTGCATCTGAGCTGCTTGAATTTGAGTGTTACATGTACAGATTGTATGAATTAACCTAAACGGGTTTTTGATGTATCATTTCCTTACCTTTTCGGAGACTTCATTTTAGTGCATTCAGTTTACTCTGGGATTGTATTCTAAATACTTTTTTTTTGTTGTTTATTTGTTTGGGACAGAGTCTTGCTCTGTTGCCCAGGCTGGAGTGCAGTGGCACGATCTTGGCTCACTGCAACCTCCTCCTCCCAGGTTCAAGTGATTCTTGTGCCTCAGCCTCCCGAGTAGCTAGGATTACAGGTGTGCGCCACCACGCAGGCTAATTTTTGTATTTTTAGTAGAGACGTGGTTTCACCATGTTGGCCAGGGTGGTCTTGAACTCCTGGCTTCAAGTGATCTGCCCGCCTCGGCCTCTCAAAGTGCTGGGATTACAGGTGTGAGCCACTGTGCCCGGCCGTATTCTAAATACTTTTTATACACACTGACAAGTTGTCCTCTGAAATCTTGCATCTGTTTATATTTCATCAAAACTTTAAAAAATGTTTTCAAGATTTTTATTTTTGCTGCTCTACTAGGCAAAAGAGTAGTCTTCTGTTTTGTAGCTGTCTAGTCTGAGCTGTGAAAGGCTTTGGGTTAGGGCTTTGAGAAGATCAGAGGAACATGTTTGGAGCCTCCTGCAGCTTTGTGGGCATAGGGGATGAGCAGGGGGTGCAGCTCAGATGTCAGGGGTGGGCGGGGTCTGGAGACCACGGGACTTCACTTGACCAGGTCTGCCCAGCACGGGCAGTGGCCATGCGGTGCCAGGCTGGATTCCAAGCCATTGACAGAATTACCTCAGTGAATCCCTGGACAGCTCCATGAGACTGGCCCTGTCTGTTACTATTCTCACTTCAAAAGGCAGGAGACAAAGAAGTGGAGTGGCCAAGGGGCTTTCCCGGGAAAAACAATGAGGAGGTGGACCCAGGGCTGAGCTCACCGGCACCTTGGTGTAGAACTGAAGAGCACGCCCCTAGATCCTGCCCCTGTCTTGGGAGGCTGAGACGATGATCTCTGTGGTTTTGGAATTGGCGCTAGGCTTTGCATTGGTATGATTTCAGGAAAACATCTGTATTGTTGGTCTCCGAAATATACATAGAATTTGTTTTCTGTTCATTTCTTGCCTAAGGAGTCCAGGTGAGCTGCACCTGCCTGAGTGGGATCCCAGGTGTGATCGGGGGTGTTGATGCCTCTGATGGTGGTGTCTGTGGGCCTGCTTTGATCGGGGAGCAGGAGGAGTGCCGGAGGCTCTGTGTCCCCCCAACTCGGGGGTCTCTGGGCTCCTGTGTGCAGCATTACCTGGCTTGGGGCAGAAAGAGACTTTGAGGGAGCCCTGTAGTGGGTGTCTGGGTTTCCCCATTCACCTCTGCCATCTGACAAGATCGCTTCCCTCTTTGAGTCCCAATTTCCTCACTTCTGAAATATTGAAGAGCCTTCTTACTCACACAGTTGCTGGGCATTTTTCCTGAAATAGTAGATCTCTGTCACCATAGTATATAACAACCCTTACACACAAGGAAGAGTTATATAACTATAAAGTAATTATAACCCGAGTCTTTTCTCCCTGTTGAATAGGCTCTTTAAAAAAGAGTAGGTATGACTGAGAATTCCTGAAAGTCACTCATTAATTGGTTCTTTCAAGTAAATAATAGCAGCCATGATAGTCATAGCGCTGGTGTCATCTGGCACCTCCTGTGTTGGAGGGCAGGGCACTGTTTGCAGGCCAAGCGATGCCTACCTTGCCCTGACTGGAGGGTGGCCTCACTGGCTCCTGTGAAAGCCCGTCCTGATGCTGGTTAGTGGCACTGCGTCCTCTGGTGAGCTGAATCACACAACATGGTGTAGACCCTTCTGAGGTGATAAGGTGGGCTTGTAGTTACGATTGACTTGCTGTTTATGATTAAACTGTGGAACGGCTGTCATTGTTCCCTCTCAGTGGTGTCTGTGTCATGTAGACTGGCAGGAAAGGAAACTTCAAAATGACCCTTGTTTTGTTATTTGCAGGCTCCAGGGAGTTCCACGCTGTCCAGTTCTCTCTGCCGTGATAAACCTCTGCGGTGAGTGTCTGTGTGGGTCATGCATTCCTGTGTCTCTGGCTGTAGGTCAGCTCTCTACAGAGGAAACTTGGGCATGGCATCATTTTCTTCTGTAGAAATCATAATTTCTGCTTTGGTTGTAAACATTGCCAATCAAAGGTGATACAGGCCAGGTTTTCTGTCCGTTTCTAAATGCTGTGTCAGGGTCAGAAGCCCAGGTGGTAGAAACACCTGTGATTGTCTTTGAATAAATAATTGCACTGCTGAGGCCTGATTGTGCAAGTGTCACTTTTGGGGGAGACTCCAGGGTGTGCTGGCAAGAGCCCCTTTAGAGCAGATGAGGGGGGCCCTGAGCCAGCATCTTCTGGAGAGGCACTCACTGTGGATCCTCATGACCGTAGGAAGCGCTTTATTTCTGTTCTAACAGTGTTCAATACATTTGAATTGGAATGAAATCCATGTCTGATAAATAAGGTAGAGAAAACAAAATCCTTGGGAATTGTTTGGATGCTGATTTGAACAAATCAACCTTAAAAAATAAATGTATGGGCCGGGCACAGTGGCTCACACTTGTAATCCCAGCACTTTGGGAGGCTGAGGTGGGGAGACCACAAGGTCAGGAAATCGAGACCATCCTGGCCAACACAGTGAAACCCCATCTCTACTAAAAATACAAAATTAGCTGGGTGTGATAGCGCATGCCTGTAATCCCAGCTATTCGGGAGGCTGAGGCAGGAGAATCCCTTTAACCCAGGAGGCAGAGACTGCAGTAAGCCGAGATTGCGCCACTGCATTCCAGCCTGGCGACAGAGCGAGACTCTGTCTCGAAAAAATAAAAATAAATAAAAATAAAAATAAATGTATGGTATTGGATGTTTGATGTTATTATTTCTTTTTGAGGTGTGATAATGGCATTGTAGACATTTTAATCAAAAAGTGCCCTTATCTTTTAGAAATAAATTCTGCAAGATTTATAAATGAAATTACATAGTATCTGGGATTGCTTTAAAGCAATCAAAGTGGTGGAGGAGATTGCTGGAGATATTGATGGACAGAGGTTAGCTGTGTGTTGGTAATTTTGAAGTTAGGTGATGTGGGTACATGGAGGTTTGCAAAACCATTTTATATGGTTTTGAATTTTTCCAAAATTAAAAGAAAGAGAGAAACACATAGGAGTAGTAAAAATGAAAACCCCAAAGCTGGTGGCAGCACTTTGGAGGGACTTAAGGACACGTCCCGTGCACCCATGCCTCTGGCTTTACCTCATGGGGGCACCGATTGGGTTCAACCCCATCCCCTCTCCCTGGAACCTTTTCCACCTCCTCCTGGATACCACCCTCAGCCATAATGTTAGGAGCACTCCTGGGAGGGGCTCAGGCCTCCCTGGGGCCCACAGGGCTGGTGGAGAATCTGTGGTCTGTGGGAGGCCCTTGTCTCCAGTCACATTGGGTGCCTGACTCCACACTGCCAGTCCTGCCCAAGTCCTCAGCCTGCTGGCCATGACATGACCATTTCTGCCCTCTTCCCTCTTCCCTCCTCCACAGTCTTCATCTCACACTTGGGGGCCTGCCCTGGCCACCTGGGCACCTGGTTGGGTGGCCAGCCCCACATTCTACCCTGCATCCACCTGGCCTGTGGCTAGCTGGGTGGGGTCCCAGCGGGGCCCCATGGAGCTCTTAGCCTTCTGATAGGAGTCTGCTGAGTTGCTACTCAGTAGATGAAAGGCCGCTTTGATTATGCCCCAGCTGGTCCCCTCTCCACGTGAGGTCCTGCCTCCTTCTTGGGCCTGCAGGGTCCTCCACGACCATAGCTGGCCACCTCACCAGCCTCATCCTTGGCCGCACCTCCCCCAGGATGCCGCATACGGACACGAGGAGCTGCTTGCTGATGTTTGGCTTCTGCTCACACCATCTCCGCTTCCTCCTGGCCCCCTCCCGGTGCCCCCTCGTGCCGACCTTGACACCTCAGAGCAGGGTTGAGGCTCCCACTCCAGGAGTCCCGCCTGGAACCCTGTTCCTGCTCCCAGTGTAACCACAAAGAGTCCTTCCCGCCTTCGTGCTTTTGCATTTGAGCCCATGCGTCACTGCTCTGAGTTGCTTTCTCTCTGTGCGTTCCCTGACCGCAGCTTGCGGTACCCCGTCATGCCCTGCTAGGAAAATTCAATCTTGTGCCCCTCCCCACACTGCCCGCTGTTATGGGAACACAGCACAGAGGCTGCACACACTGTAAATTCCCGTAGCTGGCCGCCCAGGTGCTGATGTGAACACCCAGGGGATGAGTGTCCGTCGTCTTCACCTTTTTCCTAGAGGATGAATGTCTGCTGCCTCCTTACCCTGTTTCTGATCTGCCCACTGCTCTCTCGCAGGCCCGTCATCCTGAGTCCCACCATGGAGGAGGGCCATGGGCTGGACCTCACTTACATCACGGAGCGCATCATCGCTGTGTCCTTCCCTGCCGGCTGCTCTGAGGAGTCCTACCTGCACAACCTACAGGAGGTCACGCGCATGCTCAAGTCCAAGCACGGGGACAACTACCTGGTGAGCGGTGGGCGGCTCTGGGAGCCTTTGGGCAGGCTCTGCAGCAGGCACTGTGTAGGGATGGGCACTCACAGAACACTGGTTTACACATGAGGGAGAAGCTCAAGGGCCTGGGCTCACACAGCTGTCCGTGGCGCCTTCGTCCTCTGTCTCTCTGCTGCCACGCCTGGGGAGGAGACTTATGTGTCTCTGTAGGTAGCTTTCAGGGACACACGACTGCTGACCGCAGGGATGGCTGTTGCCTTGTCCTGCACTCATCAGTGAGGCTGGCTCCCCAGTGCCTTGGGACATGTCCCCAGCCAGCCACCCTTGCGCTCCCATGCTGCATCCCTCGTATCAAGAGACAAACTTGTGACTCTCCTCCTGAGCCAGAAATTAGGAAGACAAATTAGGTGGGCACCCAAGAAACCAGGGGCTGCCCTGGAGACAAGGAGACAGCTTGATTTTCAAAACACACTTGTCGAGTTGATGGTGGAGCCACATCTGAGGAATAATACAGAACAGCCTCTCACCATCTCTCACCCTCTGATTGGCCCCTTGTTTTCTGTTCCCATGGTTGGTAGCCCAGGTGGAGGCTGACTTCCTTCTGCTGTCAACAGTCACTAATGGGATTGAATGACAGCTCCCTGGCACCCTCTCTCTACCTGCCTTGTTATCTCTAGTAAGGAGGCCTCCTTATCTGTGGTAAAGCTAATCTGCCCTGCAAACCTACAAGGTGTTCATTGTCTTCCTTGCTGGTCTGCTCCAATGACTGGGGCACCAGTGGCTGGGAGAGGTGGACCCAAGTGGCAGAGTAGGATGTGGCCTCCGTCTGATGCCAGAGCAGCCCTGGCCCAGGTGCTACCTGGGTCCTGACCCCTCCCCGATCCTTGATTCACTCAGGCTCCTGCCTCTTTCTGGTCTTGAAGCCCGTCTTGTCTGTGACCTGGCAGTGGACAGGAAGTGGTGGCCAAGCCCCATTTGATGGTGGTGCCTCTCACCAGGGGCCCTCTCCTCCTCAGGGCTTCCTCCTTCATCACTGAGGCGGTGTGCTCTGCAGGACCATGGCTCCTTCCTTTGGAAGCCACTCCCAGGCTGGTCAGCGCATCCTGAGTCTCCTCTCTGGCCATCCTTCCCCTCTTCCCCAGTCCCCCTTCCCCAAAGAGACCATGCAGAGGGCCTGGAGCCCTGGCCAGCACCTGTCTGTGGGGCCTTGTCAGGGCCAGAGCTCTCCCTGCAAAATGGCTATGGCAGGGATCTTTTTCTTGTGCAGGGTTAGAAATGAACTGTGGGTCACAAAGCAGCGCCCCCCCTTGTCATAAACAGGGCTTGCTGGGTGACCAGGACAAGCCCCCACCCTCCACTTTCCTCACATCTCTGACTCTGAAGTGAGAGGGACGTTTAGTTAATTTTTAAGGCTCCTTGCTGCTGGAACATTATTATTATTATTATTATTATTATTATTATTTTCATTTTGAACTACTTGAGTATTTAGCAAGGTTCCACAAATGGCTGTGATTTTTCAGTGAACTTAGGCCATGGCTTTTGGCCGGGCATGAACTCAGCCCTTTCCAGGCCTGGGGCCACCAGGCCATAGAGGAGGGACAGCCTTCCCCACCATGTACCACCTCTCTATCGGGTCAGTTTGTGTTGTCAGGAGCAAGACCGTGATATTTATTTTATATATATGTGTATATATATTTTATATTATATATTTTATACGTGTGTGTGTGTGTGTGTGTGTGTGTGTGTGTGTGTGTGTATCCTATATGTTGGGATATTTTGTAGCCATGAGAATTAAAAAAAAATAGTAACACAGTAAATCGCCTGGTTTAATACTAGTTGAAGAAGTAGAATATAGACTTTATGTGTAAGGGTTCTGTATGCCATCCTTATCTTATTTATTTTATTTGTTTTTTATTCTGTGACCACACAAGTCTGTATTTTTCAATCTTTTCTGATCCTCGGTACCTGGAAGGGAAACATCATGTAAAAATGCAATGTGTTTTCTGCTTTCATCTCTGATGTCAAGGATTTGTCTAAAAGCTTTTTTTCCCCCTGATTTGTGAGTGTGAAGATTTTAGATATTTTTTTAAAAAATTAGTATTAATTAAAATTAAATAAAAATTAAAGTATTAATTTTTAAAATATTAAAATCTATTTTATGCAAGGCAATTTTTCCTCTCTTTTATAGGTATTAAACCTTTCAGAAAAGAGATATGACCTTACGAAGCTTAACCCAAAGGTACAGAGTTCATCCCTTTATATTCTGCATTTTGTAAAATGTAAACAATGCTTATTTTGTGCAAAAATAATTTGCTACTAGTCTTTGTGGAATGTGACTTGATAAGGAGTATTAGGAATTGTTCATATCAATTATTTTAATTACTTTTTTTTCAGTTTGAAATAGTTAGAGATTCGTAGGAAGTTGTGAAAATAATACAGAGATCTCCTGTACTTCTCACCCAGTCTTTCCAGTGGGAGAATCTTACAACACTAATAGTGAAATATCTAGGTCAGGAAGTTGGCATTGGTATAGTCCACGGACCTCACTCACATTTCCCTGGTTTTGCGTACATGTGTGTTTCTCGGCATCGTGTGTATAGATGATAAATACTAATATATATGTATAGAACAAATCTATACACATGATGCTTCCTCCTCCCGCCTCCTGGGATCTTTCATATATACTGCATATATATATGCATGGAACAAATCTATAACAAATATATGTATAGAATAAATCTAAACTGCATCATGTGTATAGATTTGTTAAGCCACCACAAACAAGAGACAAAACATTTCCATCAGCATGGGGCTCTCTTCTGCTAGTATCTCTTTATGGTCATACTAATCCACTCCTTTCATGATAATTTTCATTTTTTAAAAAATTTTTAAAATTTTTTCAAATTTTACTTTAAGTTCTGGGATACAGGTGCAGAACGTGCAGGTTTGTTACATAGATACACATATGCCATGGTGATTTGCTGCACCTATCAACCTGTCATCTAGGTTTTAGGCCCCTCATGCATTAAGTATTTGTCCTAATGCTCTCATTCCCCTTGCCCCTCACCCTTCATGATCATTTTCAACAGCAAAGTTTGGGATAATTTTAAGACTGAGTCAACATAAGTTGTGGTACATATATGTATGTATATTCTATATGTTGAAATATTTTGCAGCCATTAGAGTAACAAAGCAGAAACATGATAAGTTGCCTATTTTAATACTAGTTAACAATAGTAGAGTATAGAATTTATGTATAATAGTATCTCAATTATGCTAAATGTATACAGAAAAGAGACTAAGGGATTCATGAAAACATTGCAGTGGTTATCTTTGAGTGGTGGCAGGGGTAGTGACTTTTCCTACTTCCTGGCAACTTTCTGAAATTTCCAACAGTCTTACACTATTTCTACGACTTTCATCATAAGATAGAGCTCCTTGTCCTCGTCCTACTGACAAAAGGAAATCAAAGGAAAAGCAACACCCCCGTGTGGCCACTGTGGGCCACTGTGGACTTGTGTGTGCCTCAGGACGCTCAGAGCTGCAGTTCTGCACCGAGTCACTGTGTCTTTAGCACATGGTGGTGATTTTCTTTGTCCAAGCACCAAACTTAATTAGAGTTTTGAAGGTGCTTCCTCCTTAAGTGCTGCCTTTCCAGGAGATTGTCTCTGAGGTGTTGTCCGCACGGTGTGGGAGATGGCTGGCTGCACTCTCCAAACTGGGATTTTAACCCGAGTGGGGAGATTTTGGCAGCAGCTTGGGCCTAGGACTCCTGTTTGTGATCTCACTGGACTGCAGCCCCGTCCACACAACCTGCACCATCAGCAACTCAAAGACCTTTCTAGAATTGTCACCCCAGCTGCAGAAGAGCAGATGAGCCCCTGGAAGAAGAGGCATCACATGGGCAGTATAATGCTTTATTTTTTCTTCCCAGTGAAGGAAGTTGATCCTCATGCTCACTGAGTTTTAGGAAAGGGTCACCCAGCATGTTCTTTACTCCCAAATGAAATGTACTGATGATGAAAGAAGTCATTGTGAGATGGCCTCAGAAGGTTTTAGGAAATGGAAACCGAGGAAGCTCCCCTTTCTTGTTGCAGATCATGGATGTGGGCTGGCCAGAGCTCCACGCACCGCCCCTGGATAAGATGTGTACCATATGCAAGGCGCAGGAGTCCTGGCTGAACAGCAACCTCCAGCATGTGGTCGTCATTCACTGCAGGGTGAGTGCGCCCCCTCTCACATTTGGGGGTCTGGCTGGGCTTCAGCCTTTGGAGTTGAGATGGAGACCAATGCTGCATCTGAGCACATTTCCGCTTTGAGCTGGTGCGATGTGCTCCTTATGGGTTTGTCTTTAGGTTTTCCTACTTGCTCTTAAAGAAGGAAACAGAGTTATCACACCTCCCCAAGTTTGGCTTTAGAATTTATAGGATTGTGGTCCCTGAATGTGTAGCTGGACATTTGAAACTGTTGACCCCAAATTGACCACGATTATGAGAGCAAATCGTTTCATTTTTATTAAATTTTATTTTTCATGGAAAGCCCTCCTTTTCAAAAGAGCTATGTATGCCCTTTTCAGATGGACTGTGTCAGACTTTCCATGCCATCTTGAGTTATGGTAATCAGTTGATGGACTAGATGATGGCATGATGCCATTGCAGTAAACGTGTTGTCCTTTCCACGTGGAGCCATTGCAGTGCAGACATGGCCTGTACATCTTCACAGAGTGGCCGGGACTGTCTGTCTGTCAGCCCCAGCAGGGTTGGTGGATGCCAGCAGCCCAGGTGCATAGCTGGTGGGCACTCCTCCTCCTGGCTGCATCGGGCTCCTTCCATGCTTCCTCCTCCCACCTCCTGGGATCTTTCCTCTTAATTCCCAGTTTTCTCAACTGCTTTGTACTGCTCCTCAAATGTGATTGTTGTTGAAAGGGGTTGGACTGAAAGCAAACTCACTGAGGGGTAAGTGTGTGAAGCTTAACCCTCCTGCCAGAAACTTACTATTAGAGAAAAGCTCTTATTCCAGTCACACCTTGAGTCAGGGAGGAATCCTTTGGGAAAGGATGTAGCCAGTGGGCTGGGGTCACTGTTCATTAATGGGCAGCTCCCTATTTTGTGTGTTTGACAAAGCATTCTTAGGACCATCAAAGTATCTAGGAAGTGTTGACGGTTCAAGATAGAAGTTTTTTTTTTTTTTTTCTTCCGGACTCTTTTACACTAAAAAACTGCACAGAAATCCATTGTATTATGGAATTTAGTTTGAAAGAAGCTTCCCTTTGAGTTATATTAGACTCTCAGTATATCTTTCCTGCAAAGGCACTAGGTAGGCTGGCTTGTGGATGGTGTTTACAGCTGTAAGGCATATGATGACCACTTGATGTGCAGAAAACTTCCATCGGGGCACACAGATGTTATTTGCTTCTCTCTAGTGTTGTCTCTTTCCTCACATCTAACTTGATCATATTTTCCCCCCAAATGGACAGGTACACCCATTAGGACCACCAAATCGTCCGTGATGACCTGATCTTTTCAAGTATTATTTTAGATTATGGATCCTTCACCCAAATTGTGTTTTGGTGCAAACTAAGAGAGAGAGAGAGAGAGAGAGAGAGAGAGAGAGAGAGATAGACAGACGGACTTTTAAATAAATATAATTCTTGTTAATTAAAACAACCTATGCTTTTCAGGCTTGGTGTGGTGATTTTGACACAGTGAGCCTGATATTGATGGATCATCATTGCCCAGGATCACGTAGCAAGCTGTTCTAAGCAGCATTCCTGAGCTGTGAGCCTGGGCCCAGCAGCAGCACCTGTGGAAAGTGCAGGTTCTAGGGCACACCCAGACCTGCTGCCTGCTGCATTGTCAGAAGTCTCTTGGAGTTGCTGGACTTGAAAAGTGCCATCCTTGGCCATTTATTCCATTTTAGTTGTTGTTCACTTCAATTTTTTAAATGAAATTGAAAGAAATGATGAGATTATTTAAAACATATGGGTCCTAGTGGGGACCACCTAGAGCTTTCTAAAATGCATCCTTTTGCTAAGCAACTTTCGGCTTTCTGGACAGCTCTTGTTAGTGGAATTCATGGGAACATGTTGAAACTTCTCAGAAGTGATTTGCTAATGGCTTGCCCTCTTCTGGTGCCATGTAAACCATTTTTGAAACGCTTAGAAATTGTGCCCTGAGAGATAAGCCCTCTTTTAATTTGAAATTGCTGATGTCGATGTTAACAGAAGTTCATCATCATCACTGCGGGGGTGAAATCGCTGACATTTGGCGAAATCCGCCTGCTTTGCAGAATGCGCGTTTCCTTCCACACATGCCAGGAATTTCTAGCGTAGCTGGGCCTGTCTCAGCCTGGGCAGGAACAGAGTGAGGGTCGGTCCTCCTATGCTTCCCGTTCTGCCGTGTGATGCAGAGGCTTGTGTTTGTGTGGGTGTGTGCAGTCTCCTCCTCACCCCTCCACACCCTGGTTATTGACTGACCAGAAATGGCCTGCAGTTCTTTTGGGAGATTTCATCCACACCATACCTTTTGTTTCTGAGTCCATGGTGAAGAATACCCATGGAAAATTGTGCAGTTAGTGATTCTGTGATTTTTGTTAACAATTCCAAGTCCAAAAGAATGCAGCTTGCACTAAAACGTAACAGTCCATGAGCCTATCGTGCCCTCTTGTGTTTTCTACATCCTGTGAGCTAAGAGCTGTATTTACATGAACATTATATGAAGATGTCCTACTTCAGTTCCATACGTAGTTTGAGTGGAACATGGCCACCTCCATCTGTTCACGTACATCCATGGCTGCTTCCACCCACAATGCAGGGGTAGGTTTGGATGGTTGAAACAAGACCTTGCAGCCTGCAAAACCTTAAATACTTACTATTTCATTAAGAAAGACCTCATATCAGGGTACTGCTGGCCTTGTAAAATGAGTTTGAAAGTGTTTGCATTTCTTCAGCTTTCTGGCAGAGTTTGCATTAGTCTGTTTTCTGTTACTTATAACAGAATATGTGAAACTGGGTAATTTGTAAAGAAAAGGAATTTATTTCTTATATTAATATTTATAGGGGCTGAGATGTCCAAGCTCAAGGGGCTGCGTCTGGTGAGAGCCTTCTTGCTGTTGGGGATTCTGCAGAGGTCCTGGGGCTGCATGGGGCATCACATGGCGAGGGGGCTGAGGGTGCTAGCTCAGGTCTCTCTTCCTCTTCTTAGAAAGCCACCAGTTCTACTCCTGTGATAACTGGTTAATCCATTAGTTAATTAATCCACAGATGTATTAACCCATTCATGAAGGCAAGGTTCCTCATGACCCAATCATCTTTTATAGGCCTCACCACTCAATACTGCCACATTGGAGATTAAATTTCAACATGAGTTTTGGAGGGGGCTAATATTTAAACCATAGCGAAGTTTTCTCTTTTTTTCGGTGATGGAATTCATCAGTTAAGTGATCAGGTCCTGGGCTTTTCTTTGTGGGAGAGTTTATATTACTGATTCAATCTCCTTACTTGTTATTGTTTTGTTCGGATTTTCTGTTTCTTCATGATTCAGTCTTAGTAGGTTGTATGTGTCCAGGAATTTATGAGTTTGTTCCAGGTTATCCAATTTATTGCTATGTACTTGTTCATAGTTTTTTATGTTTCTTTGTGTCTTAAATGGCATCAGTTATGATGACTGCTCTTTCATTTCTGATTTTGAGTTTTCTCTTTTTATCTTATCTAGGTAAAGATTTGTCAATTTTGTTAGTCTTCAGAAAACCCAACCCTTAGTTTTGTTGATCTTTTCTATTGTTTTTCTAGTCTCTCCTTTATTTGTTTCTGCTCTGACCTTTGTTTTTTCCTTCCTTTGCTAATTTGGGGTTTAGTTTGTTCTTTGTTCCTTCAGGTACAACATTAGGTTTTGTGTTTTGTTTTGTTTTTTGAGACGGAGTCTCACTCTGTCACCAGGCTGGAGTGCAGTGGCGTGATCTCGGCTCACTGCAACCTCCAACTCCCAGGTTCAAGTGATTCTCCTGCCTCAGCCTCCCTAGTAGCTGGGATTACAGGCACGTGCCACCACACCCAGCTAATTTTTGTATTTTTAATAGAGATGGGGTTTCACCATGTTGGCCAGGAAGGTCTTGATCTCCTGACCTCGTGATCCACCCACCTCGGCCTCCCAAAGCGCTGGGATTACAGGCATGAGCCACCGCGCCCTGCCTGACATTAGGTTTTTTTATTTGAGAGTTTTTTGTCTTTTAACATAGGCATTTATTGCCATAAACCTTCCTCTTACAACTGCTTTTGCTGCATCCCATAAGTTTTGGTGTGTTGTGTTTCAATTTTTGTTTCTCCCAAGATATTTCTAAATCTCTCTTCTGACTTTTTTTCTTTGACCCAGTAGTTATTTAGGAGTATGTTGTTTTATTTCCATAAACTTGTGAATTTTCCAAGATTCTTCCTGTTATTGATTTCTAGTTTCATACCACTATGGTCAGAAATGATACTTGAGGCCAGGCGCGGTGGCTCATGCCTGTGATCCCAGCACTTTGGGAGGCCAAGGCGGGCAGATCACCTGAGGTCAGGAGTTCGAGACCAGCCTGGCCAACATGGCAAAACTCCGTCTCTACTAAAAATACAAAAAAATTAGCTGGGTGTGGTGGCATGCACCTGTATTCCCAGCTACTCGGGAGGCTGAGGCACGAGAATCGCTTGAACCCAGGCGGTGGAGGTTGTAGTGAGCTGAGATCATGCCACTGCACTCTAACCTGGATGACAGAGGGAGACTCCATTAAAAAAAAAAAAAGAAAAAATACTGAATATGATTTCAGTCTCCTTAAATTCGTTAAGGTTTGTTTTGTGGCCTAACATGCCATCTATGCTGGAGAACTTTCTGTGTGCACTTCAGAAGAATGCGTATTCTGATGCAATGTTCTGTATATGTCTGTAAGGTCTATTTGGTCTAAAGTGCAGGTTGAGTACCCTGTTTTCTTACTGGTTTTCTGTCTAGGTGATCTGTCCATTGTTGAAAATGGGGTACTGAAGTCCCGTACGGTTGTGGTATTTCTATCTGTCCCTTCAGATCTTTTAATATTTGCTTTATAGGCCGGGTGCAGTGGCTCATGCCTGTAATCCCAGCACTTTGGGAGGCCGAGGCGGGGGGATCACCTGACATCGGGAGTTCGAGATCAGCCTGACTAACATGGAGCAAGCCCGTCTCTATTAAAAATACAAAAAATTAGCCGGGCATGGTGATGCATGCCTGTAATTCCAGCTACTTGGGAGGCTGAGGCAGGATAATCGCTTGAACTCGGGAGGTGGAGGTTGCCGTGAGCCAAGATCGTTCCATTGCACTCCAGCCTGGGCAACAAGAGCGAAACTCTGTCTCAAAAAAAAAAAAAAGAAAAGAAAAGAAAAGAAAAGAAATACTTGCTTTATACATCCATAAATAGTGCCACAAAAGTGATTGATAATGGGGTGAATGTCACCACCATGTGTGCCTGTTTTGGCTGAGGTGTTGTTTCTTTGTAGGTGAATTGCTGTCAAATATAGTTTTATGCAAGAGGTATACTAGTAGCCATACCATTAATAATTGCACGTGCCAGGATTCAGCTGCAAAGAGTGTATCAAGTGCCCGCATTGAGTATCTATAAGGCATGCTCTTGACTTTCACTGACAGAGAGAAGGATGCTCCTGGGTGACTTTCATGTATGACTGGGCTTATCAGAATTGTGACTTGAATTTGATCAGTAGTTTCTTCTCAAGAAGTTAGGGAGCTACATATTAGAGGCCCTGCCTTTTTGGCTTTATATGATTCCAGATCAGGGGTTGGCAAATATTTTTAAAAACAGCCAGATTAGGCCGGGTGCGGTGGCTCACGCCTGTAGTCCCATAGTCCCAGCACTTTGGGAGGCCGAGGCTGGTGGATCACAAGGTCAGGAGATCGAGACCATCCTGGCTAACATGGTGAAACCCCATCTCTACTAAAAATACAAAAAATTAGCTGGGTATGGTGGCGGGCGCCTGTAGTCCCAGCTACTTGGGAGGCTGAGGCAGGAGAATGGCGTGAACCCGGGAGGCGGAGCTTACAGTGAGCCGAGATTGTGCCACTGCACTCCAGCCTGGGGGACAGAGCGTGAGACTCCGTCTCCAAAAAAAAAAGAGCCAGATTGTATTTTACACTTTTCAGTCCCCGTGGTCTTGCTGCAAATACTCAAACCTACCCCTGCAGTGAGAGTGAAAGCAGCCCTGGATGTAGGTAAACAGATGGGAGTGGCCATGTTCTAGTCAAACTTTGTGTTTGGACACTGAAATCTGAACTTCAACACATTTTCACATGGCATGGAATCTTATCTTTTCAAAATTTTTTCTTAATAGTTAGAAAATGTAAAACTAACTCTTAGCTCACAAGTTGTGGGAAAGTAGGTAATGGGCAGAAGTAGCTCCTGGGCTGTGGTTTGCAATCTGCTGTTGTAGGTTGTAAGAGTATGTTCTAGAAGGTGGCACTCTGTGGCCCTGGGTGAAGGTGGCCTGTCCAATAGTTTCTGCTTCTCCTGCTGGTGTTGCTGGTCTGTGGGCTGGGCTGTTGGTGTCTGTGGTTATGGTTTGAGTGAGTCCTTTTCCAGAACTTCTGCCTGGGACAGTGGTTCCTTTATGTGTAATGAGGGTGGGCTGCGGCGGTGTATGTGGAGCTCAGGTGCCGGCAGTGCTGCCAGTAAGCTGGAATCTATGTCCCATCATGCTGAGCTGTGTTTGCAGCCCTGATCATTGTCAGCCCGTGAGCAGGCAGGCGTTCACTTCTGTCTGACCTGGATAATTAAGTCATGCTAATTGCTGCAGCTCCTGGCACAGTTTTTTCCAGCCTAATTGGGTAAAATGACAGGCAGCTGCTGTGTTGGTCAGCCCTCCTGGGCTTCTACAGCTGCTCCAGTTAGCACCCACTCTTACTGTTTGCACCCAGCGTGCGGGTTCCCTGTTGCAGAGACTCCAGTTGCACTGGGTACTGACTTTCCCAGACAGGAAGGCTGTGGGTAATGCTGGCCTTACCACCAAAGCAGGCTCTCTATTGTTTTGTCCACTAGTGAGTCTTTTCCTGTTCTAATTACATCTCTGCTGTGGGATTTCAGAGAAAATCAGCTGATCTTTTGTCTCCTGCAGGGCGGGAAAGGACGCATAGGAGTGGTCATATCATCCTACATGCATTTCACCAACGTCTCAGCCAGGTAGGATGAAGATGTCAGCTCGCTGTCTTGAGGTGCTAAAAGCTGGGCCTGCATGGGGCTGAAGGCTGTCTGCGCGGGAGCTGTTCTGGATACCAAGGGCTCGGCTGACCTGTGTTTCCCATTCCCCAGTGCTGGGTTGGTCAGTGCCTAGAAACCCAGTTTCCAGTTAAGCGTTTACACTTGTGAAAGTGGCATTTTCCAGGTTGGGTGACTGTGTGATTGATTCTAAGTACTTCCATGGAGGCATTAAAAAAATAAGTGACCCCACTGTCCCTTGTTCTTTAATAGAGAATTCTCTAACAAAAAATAACAGAGATAAAAGTCACCATTATGAAAAGAACAGAGTGGTCTCACTAAATCAGCTCATACCTTGTATATAATGATGATGACAGCCACCTCTTTTGCAGGCACTGGGCCTCTGGGAAGTATACTGATTATTTTCCTTTTCTCCCTGAATTCTCCTAACTAATCCACGAGGCAGTTACTATCATTCCCATTGCATGGATGAGGGAGGTGAGGCTCAGAGGAGCCAGGCAGCTTGCTCATGATCTCACAGCCTAGGAGTGGAGAGCCAGGTCTGGGCTGGTTTCCATGAGATGGAACTGTAATCGTGGAGACTTTGGAGGTGCCACTCGGGTCCCCTAAGCCAGACATGACACAAACACAGCAGGGCCACAAGGACCTCAGCCCTATGCCCATCCTTCTGGCCCTGGGCAGCTGTGGTGTACACCCGGACCCTTCCCAGAGTGCAGATCTTCACTCTCGCTGAAATGCAGTGCAGAAAATATTATTTATGGGGTCTACATTTGCATCTGCCCTGTCTTCTCAATGGCCTCTTTGTAAAGCCTGAACTTTCCATTCTGAGGAAATAGAAGCCTATTCATATCAGCCGATAAACCTTTTCCTTTCTAGCACCAAGGAGTGAAATTTGACTTTCTGAATGTTTTCTCTGGAAACCAACTGAGGAGTTGGTGCCTGCCAGGGAGGAAACCAACCCCCAAGTGAAAATCAGATACCCTCTTGGTGAGAATAATCATCGGTGTGTGTGTGTGCCAGGAAAATCGAGATTCCTGGGCACATCCATCCCTCAATGATGCCAAAGACATTTGGTTGGTGACTAAACATAGCCTGGCTGGTTCTGGACAGAGACCACCTGAGCACTTCTGTTTTTTTTTTTTTTTTTTTTTTGACAGAGTCTTGCTTCGTTGCCCAGGTTGGAGTGCAGTGGTGCAATCTTGGCTTACTGCCACCTCTGCTTCCCGGGTTCAAGCGATTCTCCTGCCTCAGCCTCCTGAGTAGCTGGGATTATAGGTGTGTGCCAAGATGCCCAGCTAATTTTTTGTATTTTTAGTAGGGACAGGGTTTCACCATGTTGGCCAGGCTGGTCTTGAACTCCCGACCTCAGGTGATCACTCACCTCGGCCTGCCAAAGTGCTGGGATTACAGGTGTGAGCCACCACGCCCAGCCACACCTGAGCATTTCTATCCCCAGCAAAGTAGTACTGCCTGAACCGAAGTTCCATGCACTGTGGATAGTCCCGGATTTTTTGGGAAGGGTAGATGTCTTAGGGCTAAAAACACACCTTTGACGCTCTTGGTACAAACTCTGTTTTCTCTCAATAGTCAATATGTATTTCAGCTGCATGTGTCAGGCAATTTACCTGAATCTCTCTAAGCCTCAGCATCCTTACCTGGAAAATGATGGTAGCTCTACTTCCCAGAATGTTGTGACAGTTCAACATATGTTACACAAAAAGCACTTAGAACAGCATCGGTACTCAGGTATTGGCTATCATTAACGCTGCTGTGATTATTAGGAGTAATAGTATTAAGTGCCTTTCAATTAAATGGGCTGATACCACATGCTTTTTGTGACTTGATTTTCTACATTAATATCATTTTATATGCATCATTTCCCGACATCATTTCAGTGGCAGCATAGCACTTTATTCAATGGATATGTTATGTATTTAAGCATTTGTTGATTTTGCCTATCCAAGTTGCTTCCAGTTTTGTGTACGTGTGTGTTTAAGACAGAGTCTCACTCTGTTGCCGGGGCTGGAGTGCAGTGGCGTGATCTTGGTTCGCTGTAACCTCCACCTCCCAGGTTCAAGTGATTCTCCTGCCTCAGCCTCTCAAGTAGCTGGGATTACTGGTGCCCGCCACTATGCCCAGCTAATTTTTTGTATTTTTAGTAGAGACGTGGTTTCACCATGTTGGACAGGCTGGTCTTGAACTCCTGACCTCGTGATTTGCCCACCTCAGCCTCCTAAGTGTGTGTTTTTTTTTTGTAATTTAGGTTGCTTCCAGTTGTTTTCTACTGCAAAGCTTGCCATGATGAACACATTCTTATACATATATTTTTGATCATTTCTACAATGTTCCCTCTTAGATTATATTCCAGAAGTAGAGTAATCCCAGATAGCACAAGCACACATTTGAGATCTTTATCACAAACTGCAAACAGAAGAAAAAAGAAACTTCAAGTCACCAGAGAAGAACATTCTTGTATCAACACCATAGAAATAAGAGTTATAAAGACAAAACCAGTACTAATATTATTACTACTACTCATATCACTATAGAAAATAAACATTGGTCAAAATGTATTCTCAGCATTTAATAAAACAAGTAAATTTCAGAAAAAGGAATGCTTAAAAGTCACTGGGAGGCTATGGAGCTGCACTCTGCTGCTCAGTATGTGATGGACTCGGTGCTAAAGTGGGCCC
The DNA here is from genome assembly GCF_000001405.40 of Homo sapiens. Taxonomy (NCBI): domain Eukaryota; kingdom Metazoa; phylum Chordata; class Mammalia; order Primates; family Hominidae; genus Homo; species Homo sapiens. Next base: position 47,425,582 of record NC_000007.14, on the reverse strand, counting down.
TTCTGTGTGTGACTGCCCCACCAGCACAGCCCCTTGCCTAGCAAATGCACGTAGCAAGTTGTCCATTTTATAGTATTCTGTGAAAGTCAAATCACACTCAACTTACTTTTGAGTATGTTTCTTTTTCCTCCTGCCTGTCTCTCTACCAGGATTTTTATGAAGTCCGCAGTGCTTATGTACATCATTTTTCTGGAGGGGCACAGACACATTTTTCTAAGTAACGGGCCCACTTTATCAGGTGTTGTTGTTGTTGTTGTTGTTGTTTTGAGATGGAGTCTCACTCTGTCACCCAGGCTGGAGTGCAATGGTGCGATCTCTGCTCACTACAACCTCTGCCTCCCGGGTTCAAGTGATTCTCCCACCTCAGCCTCCCAAGTAGCTGGGATTATAGGCACCCACCATCATGCCGCGGTAATTTTTATTTTCAGTAGAGCTGGGATTTCACCCTGTTGACCAGGCTGGTCTTGAACTCCTGACCTCAGGTGATCCGCCCGCCTTGGCCTCCCAAAGTGCTGGGAGTACAGGCGTGAGCCACCGCACCCAGCCTATCAGGGTTTTAAGGAAGCATTTGGCCCAAATGAGTTGGAATTGTTAAGACACTGCACTCATATTCCAGGATTTGTGCTGAAGTCATATCAAGAAATCCCATGAATGCCCTGCTGTGAGATTTCTGGAAGTTTCTGTCAGACACTTCCTGTGGGCACTGTGGACCTGGCATTGAAGGTCAAATATATTGTTGGAAAGCAGGGTTACTTTCAGTCACTTCAAAAACAATGCTGCAGCCCCGAGGCCTGAGACACCTTTCCAACCCCAGTGCCCTACAGCCTTCTCAAGCCCAGTCCTGGGAGTGACATACTGGCGGGGCACAGGCTGGCCCACTTGTGTCCCGAGGGTGCCTCTTGGGACTTCATGGGGGTGTCTGTTGACTCTCCTGCCCTGGGTTGCTCCCTGCATCCATGTGGTCCTGAAACTTGAGTCTGCCTGCTTGTCTTGCACAGAGCCCACTTAAAATGGTCTTCTTTATTTAGGACGTAGGGTGGCCAAGGGACAGTTTTGGACACCAGCCCTACCACCTGCCTGCTGAGAAGCCTCAGTTGGTTCTTCTGCAAGCTGGGTATTCAGCACTCTTAAGAATAATATCTTTAGATAAGGAGCTGTTATTTCAGATGAGAATTCTGACCCTGCACTATGGCTCCCACTTTGAGCACAGCATATTCCTGCGGGGGAAATGAAGTCTAACAAGGGACAGGTGGATTGGGTGTGCACAGGTGCAGCAAAGGGTGAAGCCCCTTGTGGGAGCTGGTCGCTTTGAACAGCCATGAGACACATCCCCCGTCAAGTACCCACGTGGTGTGGGCTCCACTGAGTTAACTCTCTTTCTCTCTCTCTCCCCTTCAGCGCCGACCAGGCCCTTGACAGGTTTGCAATGAAGAAGTTTTATGATGACAAAGTTTCAGCTTTAATGCAGCCTTCCCAAAAACGGTATGTATAGATCCCCAAAGCCAGAGTGAAGAGGTGAATGAAATTTTACATATAAAAATGTGAAAACAGAAGAGGCATCTCCTCTGTCCCGACACCTAAATGAATAGTATTCTTGGGTCATGCCAAAGACTGTGAAGGTGGTGGGGAGACTTGTCCCTCCCAGAGGTTAAGGACTTAGCCATCCTGTGTGTCTGTGGTGAGAGACAGCCCCCTATGCTGCTGGCTTGCACTGACAGGTAAAGGGAGGACTTGCTCCAGTTGGCATTTTCCTCTCTTGCAGTGAGTGAGTTTTGATTTCCATTATTATGTTGGAACTTGGTTCTATTGGCTAGACCAGGGGTCAGTGAACTATCTCTGCAACGGACTAGAGAGTGGATATTTTAGGCTTTGCAGGCTACAGGATCTTTATCGCAACTGTTCTAACATGAAAGCAGCCCTGGGCAATATGGAAATCAGGGAATGTGGCTGTATTGCAATAAAACTTTACTTACACAAACACATTAGCAGTTGCACTTGGCCAATTCTTGTAGCTCATCAGTTCCCTGAGGCCACGGAGTATTTTTCTGTCATGCTGCCCATCTCTCCCTTCTCTGCTCCTGGGCGTGGCCCCTGGAATGAGCTCAGTAAGTGATGGGGAATAGTCATGGTGGGGTGCAGAACTTTCTCCTTTTGCTGCCCACCCCAGCAGGCTGAGGTCAAGAACCTGAGCAGGGCTGGCTGAGAGGCAGTGAGAAGGACCCACAGCTGGCTCCCCATCCAGGTGCACTTACTTCCTCCACAGATGGTGACACTTAGAGCCAACCAGGTAGCTCCATGGCATATTTCAAAGCCCACAGCAGGGAATTTGTAGGAGAATTGCCAAGGTGATTGCCAAATGGTGTTCCGTTTTGGAGACAGGTAGTTGCACACCCGACCTTGTGTATGCAAGTTTTGATGCCTTGTATCTATTTTCTCCAGTGCAACTGAGGGCTATGTCAGCAGACATGGGGGTAGACGGGCAGAAAGGGATTTCAAGCATCACCAGAGGCACCTTTTCCTTTTGTCTTGCTATTTCCAATGGCATGGCTCTGTTTCTCTTGAAACCGGGTGTGTTGGAGGAACATGGGCTAGGGTGTAGGACTGTGGTCAGCAACAGGGCCCACATGCAATGCAAGTTGTGTGCAGAAAACCTAGCATTTTCTAAAATATTTTAGTTAAACAGTCACTTGGGTTTTTTTTTTGTTTTTTTTTGGAACCATTAAATGTTATTTCTTTGTTGAACAGTTTCCAAAATCGTGACATTCATATGACCTCCTGCATGGAAAATGAGGTGTAAATAGGGAGTAACCCATGCAGAATGCTTGGCACACAGGAAGTCCAGCTGTCGTCTTTTCTTTTTTTTGTTCTTATTTCTTACGGCACCAGCAGCTTGTTTATAACATTAAAAGAATATGGAAAAAGGGGGAAGATATCTCTTCATTTTTTTTTTCTTTTCTTTTTTCTTTTTTTGAAACAGAGTGTTGCTCTGTCACCCAGGCTGTAGTGCAGTGGTGCAATCTTGGCTCACAGCAGCCTCAACCTCCTGGGCTCAAGCAATCCTTCCACCTCAGCCTCTTGAGTAGCTGAGACTATAGGCGCACATCACCATGCTCAGCTAATTTTAAAATTTTTGTGGAGACAGTGTCTCACTGTGTTGCCCAGGCTGGTCTTGAACCCCTGAGCTTGAATAATCCTTCTGCTGTGGCTTCCCAAAATGCTGGGATTGCACGTGTGAGCCACCATGCCCTGCTCTTCTCACATTCCCATGCCCAGGGTTTTCATGCATCCTTCCCGTCATTGCACATTTGAAGCCAGAACATTTGCATTTTTTAATGCTTGCTGGATTCAATTTTACATTCCAAGGTTAATCCCTCTGCTCCTGAGATTAGGGAAATGCCCCTTACTCCTTGCTCTTTTCTTTTTATTTTGACCAGAGCCTGCATGAAAAGATGCTCACCAAATGGTAATCGAGCATGTAAACGAATGAATGCATAAGATAAATCTGGAGGAAAGTTTGAGACCAGAAGAACGTGTGAGGACAGCTTGTATGGGAATAGGCTCTGTGATGGGAGGCTTCTCTGTTGTCCTGAATGGCCTGGGGAGTGGGATGGGTGCGCTGCAGGCTGCTTTAGGACTGAGCTCAAGAAATCATTTTAAAGTCAAACTCGTAATAATCACTCTTGAGAATAATTAATTAGCAAGGAATTTGTGACTGGGAAGCTCAGAAGTCTCAACAGCAACTCTGATGGGAGGTCAATCTTTGTTACACTGAAACGCCATGGAGCAGTTGGCCCATGGAGCTGACCCGTAAAACTCACATGTGCCCATGTAAGTTTTCTGTTTTTATACCTTCCTTGTCTTCAGCAAATCATGAGAAGCAGCTTGTTGACACCCCAGTGTGGCCTCCTGTTGGTGCTCATGACCACCATTGTGTTATTGAGGCACCCCTGAACTTCCTTCCCTAAACTTGGAAGCCTTCCTCTTTGAGAAGTAGTTAAAAAGAAATACTGGGTGTGGCACAGTGACTCTAACCTGTAATCCCGATTCTTTGGGAGGCTGAGGCCGGACAATCCCTTGAGTCCAGGAGTTTGAGACCTGCCTTAGCAACACAGGAAGACCCCATCTCTATCAGAAAAAAAAAAAAAAAATTAGCTGGATGTGATGGCACACACCTGTAGTCCCAGCTACTCTGGAAGCTGAGGTGGGAGGATCCCTTGAGCCCAGGAGTTGGAGGTTACAGTGAGCTGTAATTGCCCCACTGCATGCCAGCCTGGATGACAGAGCTAGACCCTGTCTCCTCCTAACGCCCCAAAAATCCGGGTATAGTTTTGGTTTATTATCAGCATCATGGAAATAATATTAAAATTATTAACGTTTCTGACATCTCTTTTCTTTTCTGCCTTTCCTTTCTTTCTGAGATAGTTGAGACAGCAGCACATGTTTCTTGGCCCCATCACGGAGTTAATGGGGAAAGTGACAGGTAGCCAGTTGTTTCTTTGGGGAGCTGATCTCTCCTGAGTGTTGCCTGCCAAGGTGACCCTGGGAGGCCCCATGTGGGAGTCACCTAAGACCATCAGTCATGTTGTCTATGCACATTTGGGTGTCCCTTTGAGGTAAAGGGAAGACAGACCAAACAAATGTCTTGGCATACAGAAATCAGGATGTCCTAGAAATTATCCTATATAGTGTTACTGGTGGAAGGTATCCGAGTTACCAGCAGTGAATCCATAAGGGTCTGCAGGAACCTCAATTCTTGCCTGCTCAGAAGAAAGAATTTGACTGAGGGATATAAGGCAGAAAAAGAGACAGAGACAAGTTTCAGAGCCAGAGTGGAAGTTTATTTTAAAAGGCTTTAGAACAAGAAAGAAAGGAAAGTACGCTTAGAAGAGACCCAAGCGGGCACATGAAGGTCAAGTGTGGTGTTTAACCTTGGTCCTAGACTTTATAGGCTGGCCCACTTCCCATGTCTTGTGCCCCTTTCCCGTGATTCTTCCCTCAGAGGGGGCTGCCCGAATGCATAGTGCCCTCCTTTTGCTTGGGAAGTGAGCACATGCAGTATGTTTAGGAAGTTGTACGCATGCCTATCTGAGGGTTTCTTCCCTTTTCTGGTGATGTACCCTGAGAAGGTCATACTCTGCCATTTTTTCTGTTAATGCACGTGCCCAAGAAGTTGTGTCTCCCTGGAGCCTGCATTCAATTAACAGTGCAATAGGCGTGGACCATCAGGAAACGGCCTCCTCCTGGCACCAGCTGCCAGTGTATCACTTTCAGAGAGGCAATGTGATAATTGCCGAACCATTACCCCACATTCTCCTAGTGCGTGCGGAAAGAGCCCTCTGCTGCCCTGCTCATGCCTGTCTAACTGCCTGTAAAAATGGCATTATTTGATTTTTCATATTTCTGTCATTTTTGACACAGTACCTCAGGTGCCTGAAAGAATACTTTAAAGATACAAGGAGAGTAGTTTTCCACATTCTCTAAAGGATGAGGCTCCTCAGATAGTCTCTGTAACCGACAAATGGGTTCATTATTCAATGCCCAGATATAGCCGATTTACCAAGACAGGGGAATTGCAGTAGAGAAAGAGTTTAATTCATGCAGAGCTGGCTGAACAGGAGACCAGAGTTTTATTACTACCCAAATCAGCCCCCTGGAAAATTTGGAGGCTAGGGTTTTTCAAAGATATTTTGGGGAGAAGGGGGTGGCTAGGGAATGGGGTGCTGCTGAGTGGTTGGGGGTGCAATCATAGGGGAAAGTGACCCTTTTGCCTCTGAGTCCACTTCTGGGTGGGGCCAGAGAACAGTTGGCAGGTCAGGTAGAGCTGTCAGTTGTCAGAAATGCAAAAGCCTGAATAGACATCTCAAAAGGCCAATCTTAGGTTCTACAATGGTGATGTTATCTCTAGCAGTAATTGAGGAAGTTGCAAATCTTGTGATCCCCAGAGTAATCTTTTAAGTCTATACCTTGGCAGAATTCAAGCCGCTTTCATCCTACCAATGTGGTGGTCTTGCATTAGTTTTACAAAAGTGGTTTAGTTTTGGGCTATTATCATTTAAACTATAAACTTTACTTTCTCCTAAAGTTAGTTTGGTCCAAGCCCAGGAATAGCCAAGGGCAGCTAGGAGGTTAAAGGCAAGATGGGGGTTGGTTACATTAGATCTCTTTCACTGTCATACTTCTCTCACTGTTAAAATTTTTGCAAAGGCTATTTTACTTCATGCCCCTGTGGCCCCTCCCTGCACATCCTCCTTGCTGCCCACAGCCTGCGGAAAAAGGGTGACCATTCCTCAGGGAGCCACACACTTTGCCTGGGCCTGGACATCCCCTCTGAGCCTCCAACTCTGTGGGCAAAGCCACCTACACTCTGGCAGCATACCTCAGGAGAGCAGAGGCTGTGGCAGATGTGTTGTGGTCTACTCTGACCCTTATGTCCATGCAACTGACTCATCTTTGCAGCAATTCCAATGTGTAGGTCTCATTATTCTTCCCATTACATGAGAGGGAAGGGAATGCTCAGCAGAACGTTAAGAAACAGCCCAGGCTTGGCTGACACCAACAGGTGGCCCAGCTCACCTTTCCTGGCCGGTTGGTGCTGCCCCTGCAGCCATGGCTGACTCTGTGAGTGCTGGGAATGTAGAATGAGTAAGCTGTTGGGAAAGATGTCCTGTGACGATGGTTCCTGTTGCTTGGAAAAAGTAACATTTGAATGCTGATTTTTATGCACCCACCATTTCAGACAGATTTAAGCTAACGTCTAGTGCAACTCAAATGTTTAGGGAGATTTATGGAGATTCCAAATGGAAGTTTTTGCTGTTAGAAGTGGCTGTGAATAATGCAAGGGACAACTGAAAATTTCAAGCTGCTTTTATGTTCGTTTGCTTACAAGTTTAAAAACAATCCTTTAGTTTTTAAAATGTACTCACTGGTTTGAGAAGCAGCATGGAAAACATCATCTCCAGGGAGTTATTTCCTAAAAAGAAAGAAAAGATAGCAATGGGAAAATAATGGAGCTGTTTTTATAAAGTATCTGGTTTCTAATCTTTCCAGCTCTGAAAACTGTGTTGACTAAGTAGGAACATTTTATTTTGGATAAGGCTGTTGGGATGGTCTTTAGAGGGCATCTGATACCCTACAATTGATTCATTTATATCTACCTTTAATGCCACAGATAAATACTGTGTATACGAAGTTAAAGTTGATCCTTTCCATAGTCAGCTGGATGAACTAATTGTGCAATTCTGTCCTATTATGTTCATTTCCCCTTCTTTTCTTTTTTTACTTTGAGACAGGGTCTTGCTCTGTCACTCAGGCTGGAGTGCAGTGGTGCAGTCTAGGCTCACTGCAACCTCTGCCTCCTGGTTCAAGCAATTCTCATGCCTCAGCTTCCTGTGTAGCTGGGATTACAGGCGCATGCCACCATGCCCAGCTAATTTTTAAAATTAATTAATTAATTTTTTGTAGAGACAGGATTTCAGCATGTTGGCTAGGCTGGTCTCAAACTCCTGACCTCAGGTGATCCTCCCACCTCAGCCTCCCAGAGTGCTGGGATTATAGGCGGGAGCCACTGCGCCTGGCCTCCCTTATTTTCATCCATACCTGAATGTTCTGTTCTTTGGTACTGATGGTGGTTCTCTAAGAAGTCACTCACAAACTCAGTGCTATTACCTACGTTGGCTATCTGTCTGCAATCTCATAGCATTCACTACAGCTTATAGTTGCAGTGAACTTTGTTGTTTTTATAAGGCATTGCTATTTTTTAAAAAATGTTTTTTAAAGGCATGCTTTTATTTGGGATTTTGAACAATATGTTGGTTTTTTTTTGTTGTTGTTGTTAATCTTACCTTATTAAGAAAGCATGTGAAGGAAGAAAAAAAATTACATTTACCTTAGCATTTTATGTCTTTAATTTACCTGAAAATATGATGCATAAAAAGTTGTTTTCTATAAAGGACAGATGAGAATTATATTCCAAGAGGTTACTTTTTGATTGGTTAAGCTACCACCTGAGCAGCCCTTTGTAGACTGACCTGGGAGGTGATGACTGTTGAGAACTGGTTTTGGGGAGAAGACTCTGGAGTCCTGGGTCCCAGGCAGTGACAGCCTCCTTCCCTTCCCCTCTGACCACTACTGGGCTTGTGGCCCTGGACTTTGGCCTTCTTTGGGAGCTCGTGGCAAAACAAAGTTCTTCTGCTGTCAGCTTGGCCCTCCTCATCTGAAGGAAATACTTCTCGTGCTTCGTCTGGTGTCAGGGGCAACAATTTCGGCCAGGCCACATCAGCAGAAATGAAGCTGTGTGACCACAGTATGGTACAAGACCTGGGTCAGGGAGAGGCCATGGTTTCCCGGAGGATGGCTGTTTGCCCCTCATAGGACCTTGGCGCTAACTCTGGGCTTAGCTACTTGGACCCCTTATGCTGCCATGAACAGGAGCCCCTCAGGCCCAGCGCTCCAGAGTCTTCCATGTTTGCAGGAAGTCATAAAACAAACATCGACTTCACCTAGATGCCTGGTCCAGGTGCACATGGGGCACTGAGAACACCCCCAGGGAACAGGTCCGTCTTAGCCGCGTGGTCACTGCAGCACATGGCCAGGCAGTGTGGGACTCAGGGTGCCACTGACAAACTGGACGAGCTGAGGAAGCTGATTTCCCAGTGACCAGGGCTGCCCCGTGCTGGAAGGAGGGCGGAACTGCTCCAGAGGAGGTGACTCAGGCCTCTCAATCCGGGCATTTGTGGTTCCTCACTTTTACTCAAAACCAGGGAGCCAAAGGACCCATGAAATCCACAATGCGTAAAATTTGCATGATTAAACATATACAATTCATGCATTCCTCTGCCTACGTACAACTGAGGGTGAGAAGTCTTGTTGCCAGGGTAGAAAGTACCCTGCAGGAGAGGCGTGTGGGAGCTGCCTGGAGGTCCACTGAAGTCTGGTCATCAGCCTCACAGGGTCCCCACGTCTCCAGGCTGAGCATCTGTCCTCTGCGACTCTTGTGAGGTTTTGCCCTGTTCTGAGAGAGCAGAAGAGAAGTTTGCTGCCAGGAAGATGGAAATACTGACATGCCCTGTTTCTCACTACGAATTGTAACTGAACTGAAGCAAACTCGCTTTTCTAACATTTTCCTAGTGGGTGGACTATAAGTAGGGCTTTCCTTTTTTGTTAATGTTTAACAGAAATCTTCTCTTGTTTAGTTTGTTTGTATACAAATTTAACTGCTTGAATAAGGGACTGGGTGTGAATTGCCAGCGTAAGTGAGAGACTTTTGTCTTAACACAAGGTCCATGATGGCCGTTTCTGGCTTAGGGTAGGATGGTTGTAGGTGCTGGCAACACAGTCACCTGCCACTTCCTGCCTCAGTCTGCCATGGCAGTAGAGAGATGCACAGATTGTTAAATATTGCGGAGTTTTTGATTGTTTGGGTTTTTCTTGCAAAGAGTACAGTACTTTGGTGGAGACAGATATGGAAACACAGATTCCATGCAAGGTGTTGAGGCTACAGTGGAGGTTATGTGGGTGAAGTGGCCATGGTGAGGGACCTCAGGGCAGGGGCCACGCCAGGCAGGGCACCAACAGGCAGGACAGGCCAGGGAAGCGTCAGAGAGCTTGGTAAGCCTCCGGCTCATCCTGTGGTCACTGCTGCCACGTCATGCCTCATGAGGACCCCAGCAGTCAGATGCTCCTAGTGTAGAAGCTTCCCTCTTGACCACCAAATGCTCATGGAAGTTGTGTGCAGTCAGTGTTGGAAGCATGAGGCCGACTCCTAGAACTCAGAAAGGCTGATGGCCCACATGGCCTTCGCCTTTGGAGCTGGGCCTTGAAGAGGGGGACAGCAGGAAGGAGAGCCTCTTATCAGATGTGGCGTGGAAGGCTGCGGGATAGGAGGGGAGTATGGACTCCAGCCTTTTCTTAGGGCTCTCGAGTATGAGCAGAAAGCAGCAGGTGCAGTGAGTGGTTCTGGGCCTGGGTCATGTGACCCTGCCATAGGTGCAATGCTAGTGACAGAGCACACGCCCACCGGTGTGCCAGGCCTCTGCTTCCTGCTGCTCACCAGTGGGGATTGTGATGGCCTGTGGCCTGTGGCCTGGCTTTGCCTGGCGATAGGTTCAGTGGACAGGCACAGAGGCCTTTCAGGTGTGGGATGCTCAAGCCAAGAGGCCGGTTGTGCCTTGGTGTCTGGTGCTTGGTGCCTGGTGCGCTGGTGGGAAGCCCTCAGACCTGTAAGCGCAGCACCATGCTGAGAACCCCTGGCTGTGAGCAGTGGACCGATTCTCTCCCAGAGCCCCAGACTCAGCCAGGATGTGTTTCTCCTTGAGTTCCCTTCTCAGCAGAGGCTGAAGACACTTCTGGGAAGTGTAACCCAGCTGTCCGTTTTGCAGGTATGTTCAGTTCCTCAGTGGGCTCCTGTCCGGATCGGTGAAAATGAATGCCTCTCCCCTGTTCCTGCATTTTGTCATCCTCCACGGCACCCCCAACTTCGACACAGGTGGAGGTGAGTGTCCCCTATGACGTGGCACCTGCGATTGGCTGGCCCAGACTTGGAGCTGGTCCTGGGCCCCTCAATTTAGATAAGCCTCGGCTTTCCTTCCGAGAGGGCCCAGGATCTGCTCCTCTGCCTCCCTGGCGATTGACTGGGTCCCCCTTCAGTGGTCAGAGCCCCATGTTTATGTGGTTGGGCCAAGTTATTTAATCAGGGGAGGGACTGGCGGCCAGCAAGGGGGATCAGAAATACCCCTGTGTATATGCACAGTGACTAGGGCAGACAAGCATTGTTCTGGGCTGCAGCCCTAGTGGGTCAGCTGTGCAGTTGGCCTTGAGGTCACAAGCCATGGAAGAAGCCCAGTAAGAGGCATGAATGTGACCCAGTCTCCCCTGACGCATCTCATGAACCCATCTCCTCCTCCTCCTTTAAAATGACCCCACAGGAAAGCACACAGCATGTAGCTGAGGGTGAGGGCCCTGAGCCCTCCTTCCTGTCCCACTTAGATGAGCACAGCACACGACTGGGGATCACGGCCCTGTCTCCACATCCCCAGTTCCCCAAAGGTGCACAGAGTATATGGCCGAGGGTCAGCAGGGCCCTATCCCTCCTCCCTTGTCCCATGCAGGAGCAAATGGCACATGGCTGAGGGTCAGGGCCCTGTCCTCTCCTTCCCAGTCCTATGCAGGCACACACAGCACATGGCTGGGATTCAGGACCCTTGCCCTTCCTCGCCAGTCGCATGCAGGTGCTTGCTCAGAGGTTTCTATTGTCTCTGAAGTACATCTGTGCCTTCAGGTCCCCCTGGTCATTATGGCCAGAGTGACCTTGCCAAGCTGCTAGTTGGTTTTGAAGCAGCTTGGCTTCACTTCAGGAGCCTTTGGCACCCTTTGGATAAAGGTCAAACTGTGTTGCTCTGCAGGCTTCTAGGACCGGGTCCGGCCTTTTCCTGCAGCAACCCTGTGGCTCCATGCACTGCTTTCCCAGACCTCAAAGGCCGCAGGTGCAGTCTCCTGGTCTCCTCGTCGCTTTCTGTCTTTCTGATTGCCAAATTCCTGTTCGTTCTGTACCGGTCATGCCTCTACAGACAGTTGTGCCTTTCTTTCAGTGTGCCGGCCCTTTCTGAAGCTCTACCAAGCCATGCAGCCTGTGTACACCTCCGGGATCTAGTGAGTGCTGCTGCTGCTGCTGCTGCTGTTGTGGGACCTGGACGGCTCAGGGAACTGCAGCTGACCCTCAGCTGCCTGTCCCGCAGGAAGAGTGTGGGAGGGTTCAGGTCAGAGAATGCCAAGAAGCCAAAGAAGAGTCCAGTGGGGAAAATCCTCTCGTGGCCCGTGCTCCAGCATCACGCCTTGGCCCTCCCTCCTGCCCTGCACAAGTGTCTTTGGGCTGTCACACTAGTTGGCTCCATTAAAGGACGTGGGGGCTGGAATTTTGAGGGGAGAGTGGGCCATTTGCTTTTTGGAGTATGGTGGCCCCTTGGTTTTCAAGGGGTATTGATTCCAGGACCCCCTTTGATTACCAAATCCGAGGATGTTCAAGTGTGTTTTATAAAACGGCATTGTCTTGAACTCCTGACCTCAAGTGATCTACCCGTCTCGGCCTCCCAAAGTGCCAGGATTACAGATGTGAGCCACCGAGCCCCTGGCCATCATGGTGAAACCCCGTCTCTACTAAAAATACAAAAATTAGCCAGTCTTGGGGTCGTGCATCTGTAAACCCAGCCACTCGAGGTGGAGGCAGGAGAATTCACTTGAACCTGGGAGGTGGAGGTTGCAGTGAGCCGAGATCACACCACTGCACTCCAGGCTAGGTGACAGAGCGAGAGTCAAAAAAAAAAAAAAAAAAAAAAAAGGCCAGGCTTGGTGGCTCACACCTGTAATCCCAGCACTTTGGGAGGTGGAGGTGGGCTGATCACAAGGTCAAGAGATTGAGACCATCCTGGCCAATATGGTGAAATCCCGTCTCTACTAAAAATACAAAAATTAGCTGGGCATGGTGGCGTGTGCCTGTAGTCCCAGCTGCTTGGGAGGCTGAGGCAGGAGAATTGCTTGAACCTGAGAGGCAGAGGTTGCAGTGAGCCGAGATTGTGCCATGGCACTCCAGCCTGGCGACAGAGCGAGACTCGGTCTGAAAAAAAAAGAAAACAACAACAACAAAAAAACTGGCATTGTATTTTCATATAACCCATGAGCATTCTCCTGTATACTTTAAATCATCTCTAGATTACATAACAATACCTAATTCAATGTAAAGGCTGTGAAAATAGTTGTTACAATGTATTGTTTTTTAACTTCTATTATTTTTTATGGTTGCATTTTTGTTTTTTATTTATTTCCCACAATATTTTCTGTCCCCAGTCAGTTGAGTCCATGAATGTGGAACCCAAGAATAGGGAAGGTTAACTGTGAGCCTACTGGAGAGAGTCCTACGATAGGATCTCACTACTATGGTTTTTCTTTCTCGCTCCTTTCCATTTTGTTTTCCATTTTTATTTATTTATTTTTTTTGAGAGAGCATCTCGCTCTGGCACGATCTCCACTCACTGCAACCTCCACTTCCTAGGTTCAAGCGATTCTCCTGCTTCAGCCTCCCGAGTAGCTGGGATTACAGGCACCTGCCATCATGCCCAGCTAAATTTCATATTTTTGTAGAGACGGGGTTTCACTATGTTAGCCAGGCTGGTCTCAAACTCCTGACCTCAAGTGATCTGCCTGCCTTGGCTTCCCAAAGTGCTGGGATTACAGGCGTGAGCCATGTCTAGCCTCCTTTGCATTTTAAACAATACGTAGCCACACATCCCCCAAATTTGTACACATTCCTGAGTTTTCTTTGTCTTTTTGTATGTGGACAGGCATTTTATGAAAAGTCAGTAAAGGAAACAAATATTCTCATTACTCACAAAGAGCTGTTGTCACATTTCTGGGTTTGCTCTGGGCCCTCTGTGCACTGATGTCACTCTGGAATTGCACCCTCAGTTTGTAACTGAAACTGTGGCTGTGCACACCCTGGGCCCCTTCCTCTAAGCCTGCATGGTCGTCTCCAAGCTCGGGCCTCTGGAGTTGGACCTTAGTCACTTCAAGTCAGTCACTGACCATGATGATGCTATGAGGACCCTCCATGGCCTGGGAGCTTTCTTTACCTTTTTAGATTCATTTAGATTCTCAGGAATTAGATTCTGGGCTGATTGGGCATTCTGTGTAATTTCTGAGTTTTGGGTTGTAGGGTTGCTTTTCTCTACATGTATTCTTCCCACAAAATCATGAAGTTGCATAATGATCTACCTTCTTCTTCATCCCAAAGCAACGTTGGCCCAGAAAACCCCAGCAGGATCTGCATCGTCATCGAGCCGGCCCAGCTTCTGAAGGGAGATGTCATGGTGAGTGCCCGCTGTGGCCGCAGATGGGTTGGTGTCCCCACTCTCCCAGTGGTGATGACTTGAAATCATGATTCTGTGTTAAAACAGTAACCCTCACCCCCAAAAAAAGTACCCTGTAGGAAGAAGGAAAAGTAGCTTTTACCTTAACACTGGGGTCCCCCACGCCTGGGCCGTGGACCTTATCGGTCTGTGGCCTGTTAGGAACCGGGCCAGCGAGCGAGCATGACCACCTGAGCCTCCCGTCAGATCAGCGGCGCCATGAGATTCTTATAAGAGTGCGAACCCTATTGTGAACTGTGTATGCGAGCGATCTAGGTTGCACACTCCTTAGGAGAATGATGATCTGAGGTGGAACAGTTTCATCCTGAAACCATCCTCCACCAGTCCATGGAAAAATCATCTTCTGTGAAACCAGTCCCTGGTGCCAAAAAGATTGGTGACCACTGCCTTAAGGCATTTAGTTAACTTTCTGAATAAAACTATTTTAATTAAAGGGACGGAACAAATCTTCATTCTTGATTCTCTTTCATTCTAGAGCCCCTCGAGATATACAACCTGGAAATTAATGTCCTAACTCGGCCACTCACTTCTGAGAACCCCTGTGTTCTGACTATAATTTGCATTCTTCACATGATCACAGGCCTCCCAGAGTGTGGGTGCAGAAATAGAATATTTATGTATCATTAATAGCCAAAGTGTGAAATACAGCTGGTGCAATTACAGCTTGATTAATGATCAAAACAATGATTTCTCCAGATAATTTTGATTCTTATGTGTGTTGGTTCTTGGAGGAGATTAGCCATTACATTTTTGCCTTTTATCTTTCTTGAATACAAACAATTCATACATTTAAAATAATTTTAGGAAAATTTTTTATCTGAAATAAGGTAAGCTTTTAAGGCATATGTATGACTTTCAGCATGCATAGAATCATAGAATGTAAAGATTTCATGGCCTTGGAAGACCCACTTCTATAAGGCAGTAGGGTGACTCGAGAAATAGCTTTTCATTGTATTATAAATACCCTATACAAAGTTTTTGAGGATTTTCATTAATTTCCCTGTAACCCCTAGATTTTGAAATCTTAGCTTAGTGGATGGTGAACTCCCTACCTTGCTGGTCCTGAATTCTTACAAAAATCAAATCAGCGAGGATCGAAGGTGGAGAGGATTGAAGGTGGAGACAGTCTAAACCCATCCACGCCTGCGGGGTCCCTCTGGGGCCTCCAGGTCTGTCCTGTTTCACATGCTCACCACCTAATTGAGGGGTTCTTCAGGCCTGGAAGGCAGGTCTGGAACAACAGCTGGGCCCAGCCCTTTTCAAGGCATTGAGTAAGCACTTTATAAACATCTTGCCTCCTGTTTCATAGGCAAGAAAGCTGAGGTTTGGGGTGCGTCATACGTTTTTATAGGCCCGTTTCCTCAGCTCTCTGTTCTACTGTCCTAAGGAGGAGGACCTGGGCTGGAAGTCTGTCCTCAGCAGTGCTGTGCTGCAGCGATGGTGCAGCATCCCTGTGGCTGGAAGTGAGAGGGAGGACCAGGAGGGGAGAGAAACATCCGCTCTGGTGTTCCTCACATCCTGTGGTCCAGAAGGCAGCCCTGGGCTTGTTTCCTAGGAGGCTTCACCCTGGAGGCTCCTTCTCCCAGGACACTTCCTGGGATCGTTGGACGAAGGGCCTGAGTCTGTATTGAGCACCGGCTATGTTCAGCACTTTACTCCTCCACCCACTCTGGAACTGGGTCTAGTGTTCCAGCTTTAAAGAGGAGGCCGGGCTGGGCGCAGTGGCTCACGCCTGTAATCCCAGCACTTTGGGAGGCTGAGGTGGGCGGATCACGAGGTCAGGAGATCGAGACCATCCTGGCTGACACGGTGAAACCCCATCTCTACTAAAAATACAAAAAATAAGCTGGGCAAGGTGGCGCGTGCCTGTAGTCCCACCTACTCAGGAGGCTGAGGCAGGAGAATGGCATGAACCCAGGAGGCGGAGCTTGCAGTGAGCCAAAATTGCGCTACTGCACTCCAGCCTGGGCGACAGAGCGAGACTCCGTCTCAGAGGTAAAAAAAAAAGAATAGGCCAAGAGAGGCTGGGGGCGATGCTGGTAGGATTTGCACCCGCCCTCATCTTGTTTGCGTAGTGTTCTACCTGCCCTGGGAGGCAGCATCTCAAGGGCGGGTGCTCCCTGAACCAGGTCTTCAGTGATGAGTAGTTATTGCCCCACGGCTCCGTCCCTTTAAGATGACTCATGGGAGGCAGCTGAACAACTCAGTCATAGAGGGTGACCCTCAGGCTAAGATGTGTCTTCCCCCCTACCGCCCACCAAGAGCATGGGACGGCCCTCTCCCCTGGGCTGTTTATGGGCTGGTAGCTGCAGGGTCTTCCTGAGACCAGGCGGGGCCCTCTCCCCTGGGCTGTTTATGGGCTGGTAGCTGCAGGGTCTTCCTGAGACCAGGCGGGCGGGGGCAGTCTCCTGGGAAGTGCCTGGCTCCTCTCCTCTCTTCCCAGCTACCTCCTCCTCCTTCCTTCTCTTCTCCCCTCTCTTCTCTCCCACCCTGCCTTTACAAACTTCTCCCTCCTCCTCTTGCCCTTCTTCCTTTTCCTCCTCTCTGCTCCCTCCCTCCTTCCTCCTCATTATTTTCTGTGGCCCCTTCTTCCTACTGTCATTCATCCAGTAGTCTTTTTTTTTAATGTTTTGTGCTTTTGGAGTTGCTATGCTTGCTCTAGGCCCATGAGTGAAGTTTTTGCCCTAGAGGATCCCGTTGGGGACATGGGCTTTCTGGCAGGAGGGAACCTACTGATACCGTGTAGCCTACAGAGGCCTTGATGAGACGGGGTGGGAGAGGTCACAGGAGGACTCAGATGGACGTGTCCTGTGAGTTGGCTCCAGGTTGGAAGGGGTGTTATTATACAAACAGATGAAGCATCCCAGGCTTGAGGCACCCACAAAGGCTGATGCTGTTGTAAGGATGTCTGTCTTGCAAGGAAAGTCGTTGTCTTGGAAGGTTGAAACCAGATTTTGTAGGGCTTACATATTTGCATATTTTGTTTTGGGAAGTGTTAGACCTCTGCCTAGTGCAGGTTTGTAAGGATTAAATGTACTCAGTCACATAAGTCTCCCAGGACAGCGCCTGGCAGAGGATGAAACTGCATCGATGTGACCCTGCGGCATCACCAGGTCACTTTCCTCTATCGGACCAGACTGTGGCTTAGTCTTTGGGGCAGCCACTGCCTCTTCCCTCTGGAAGAGCCCCCAGCACCCCACCCACCCCATAGGCCCTCTCCCCATGGTGCTGCGTCTTATCCTGTCCCACCCTGTAGTGGGCACCGCAGCCCAAGCGTGTGGTCTGAGTAGACATTACATGCATCTCTGTTGTAGCAGTTGGAATGAGGCTTTGAGTGGGCGGTGTGGGTGGGACTTGGAAGGGGTGTGGTGGAGGTGTGGGTTTGGCACTTGATAAATGAGGCAGGCCCAGGAACAGGGTGGGGCAGGGCAGAGAGGGGCCGTGAGTGGGTGAAGGAGGCGGTGGCCTCCTTTCCTCAGTGTCCCACCTGCAGCCCTTGGGAGTGTTCCCAATGGCCTCCAGGCCACCCTGGGCTGGCGTTCTCCAGCCTGCCATCTCCTCCTGGTCTTCTACCTGTTGCTGGCTCTAACCTGCTTGGCATTCAGACTCTGTGTCCCTCAGGCCACTGGAACCCGCCAGCCGCCTCTTGCTGCCCCAGCTGATCCCGCCATTCTGTCCCCAAGCCCTGCTGATCTAGCACTGTCCACCCACCCTGGCCCTGACCTCTCAACTCAGGCTTCACCCTTTGGTCTCAGCTTAAACAACAGAGGTGATTCTCCCACAGTCCTGGAGGCTGGGAGCCTGAGATCCAGGTGTGGGCAGGGTGGTTTCTCCTGAGGCCTCTCTCCTTGACCTGGAGGTGGCTGTCTTCTCCCTGTGTCCTCACCTGGGCTTCCCTCTGTGTGTCTATGTCCTCATCTCTTCTTACAAGGACACCAGTTATCATTCATTCGGGCCCAGCCTAATGACCTCATTTTAATTTACCTTTGTGAAGACCCCATCTCCAAACACAGCCCTATGCTGAAGTGCTGAGACCTTCAACTTATGGATTTTGGAAGGACACCATTCAGCCTGTAACAAGTCTGTTTATTAAATAAACCTCTCCTAGAAAGTTTAGTAAGATTACTAGCGCAGTCAGGTGCCATTGACGGCCCAGTCCCTGTGGCTGTGGTTTGTCACCAGCCTTTATCCTGAGCACGTTCAGCGTGCGGCCTGCATGAGAAGATGCGGTGGACACGTGAGTGGGCAGTGCAGGGCTCCTGCTCCCGGGAGTCTGGGTCCTTCAGGGAGATGAGCATGCAGATAGCTAGGGCAGGTGGAACTGAGCATGGCAGAAGGTGCGCGGCGGCAAGAGCTAAAGGTTAGGTGGGAGAGATGATTTCCAGCGTGTCAGAGAAGGAGTGGCTTCACAGCAGAGCTCACATCTGTGGTCGACCTGGAGAGTAGAAACCCAGGGTGTCACTGCCAGCACTCCCATCAGAGTCGGGAGTGCATCTTTTGCCAAAGCCCAGAAATCTCAGTGCTGTTGACTCCCTCTGAAAACGACCTAAGGGAACAACACAGGAAGAAAAAAATGCGGTTGCACGTTTCTCATTATTGGCAAAGCATCCCTAGAGAGGAGCGGGAGCCATCCCCTCCTCCCGTTCATGCTTCTTCTGGGTGTTCTGAGGGTGTGCAGGGCAGGAGCAGCACCGGATTCCTCCTCTCCAGCCTCTTCCGACCTTCCAGTGACCCACTCTGCCATGCTCAGCACAGGATGCCCACGCCGCCTTCACTTTGCCCTTCCTTCAGTTTTTCCCTGTGCCTGCGTGACGTGCCCTGCTGCAGGTTCACTGAGCAATCCTTAAGTTGAGAAGGCTGTAGTGGGGGAAGAAGTTACAGGGCCTTTTCTGTGTAAAGTTCAGATATGCAGGTGGTTTTATTTCTTTTGGCAACAGTCATGGCTTGGAGAGGATCCTAACGAGCAGAAAGCATGTGCATAGATTTACACCCTGAAGACTGCAGATGGCTTGGTGCCCTCAGTCTGGGTGTTTTCTGAGGCTGTCTGTGTACTTTTGAAGGCGGAAAGTGGCTTCCCAGGCGGGGTAGCCATCCTTAATCCTCCTCCTTCAAAAGGCCTCTTGTCCTCTTTGAGTTTTCCCCTCCGTGGTTCTGGTGTCTGCCTTGCCTGCAGGGACATCTGCCTGGCTTTCCTCATGAGGGCCTCTGCACTGGGACTTACTGGCAAAGATCACAGTGGTCAAGTTCACAGAGAAGGAAGGGCCAGAGTCAAGTCTAACTGCAGAAAGTGACTTGGGAAAACAGAGCCCCACTTGCCACTCCCTGGACTCAGTTACTAGCAGATGGAGCTGCTGCAGGCAACAGCAAAGCTGACCTTGACCCACCGTCTGCCTTCGCCTCGACACAGCCAGCCCATCCCTGCTTGGCCCCTCCCAGCTGCACACCTGACCCATCCCATCTTTGCAGTGTGCTTTTCCCAAAAGGTCAGATTCTTAAGTCTGCTCCTTTCAAAAGGGCAGAACCTCAAGAGGTTTAGTAAATATGGCATTGTCAGACAGTGCCATGGGGAGGGCAGCCGAGGCGTTATGTAACCCTGTTCAGGAATTCATGCGGGCAGCGGGCTCATCAGGAGTCTGGCAGGGCTCCAGGGGCCTGATCCGGCTTGCTCCCTCCCTGGTCTCGGCTCTCAGGTCCACAGTTTGTAAACACATGCTTCATCTTGCTGCCCCTGCTTGGACAAATCCACGGCCACTTGAATTTTGTGTTCATGGTTGCTGGCTCTAGAACCTCGCTCCAGTGACCCGACTTGTAAACAAAGGTGTTGCCTGCTCAAGAAGTTTTCACAAACAAATAGTGCTGTTGCTGGTTGTTTCTTACCGAGGGCACTTACATAAGGCCAGGGAAAATGAAAGTGTTCTCCTGAGACTCTGCCCCAGGAGAGGTTTCTACAGATCTCTGTTGGACGCATCACAGCATTATTTTGTGATTGCCTTTTCCTCTCCCTTTTAGACTGGGCTGGGTCTTAATCCATGCTGTCATCTCAGCATAGTGGACTTGGTTGTGTTTTCGTTTGCAGCCAATATTTACCCACCTTTCAATTGCTTTAGGTCATGAATTACAATATTGCGAACATCTGAAGTCATTTTCAGCTCCAAGTGAAGAAATCATGGTTAGTGTTGGCCCTGCCTGACTTAAGTCTTTGACCTATGGGGCTTAGCTATCTAACTTTTTACCCTCCAAATATGCGGTTGTAACTCATTCTCTGAGTTCACAGATTCCTTGAGGCCTGCGTAGACAGTTGCCTGGGCCACCAGTGGAGCATTGAGTGAGAATGTTACTCTTTTCTGTTAGGGATGCTTTGAGGGTTCTGCTCTTTTGCTTAGTAAATTTAGGGGAAGCAGAGCTGAATAGGAGCTGCCCAGCAACGGCTGGCATTGGGGGATGATAGGAACCTGAGGGCTGACTTCTGAATTGGGGACTGGCATTCCTGGGGCTGATACCTTAAGCCTTGACTCTCTTGGTACATGGTGCTTTTTCTCTTGTTGATGGAGAGTTTGAAATAAAAATACACTTATGTGGCCTAAAGTTAAGCAAGTCATCAGTGTCTTTAAACACTGGATTGAGGGATAACTTCTTTGAGAATTCCATGTGTCTGCCTTCGACTTGGTGTACTCCAGGAGCAAATGAGGTCAAGGCAGGGCTCCGTTCCTGGTCACCAGCAACTTGTCCAGTCCAGTCAAGGGCACAGGCATATTTTTATTTTTATTTTTATTTTTATTTTTTGAGACTGAGTGTCTCTCTGTCACCCAGGCTGGAGTACAGTGGTGCAATCTTGGCTCACCGCAAGCTCCACCTCCTGGGTTCATGCCATTCTCCTGCCTCAGCCTCCCGAGTAGCTGGGACTACAGGCGCCTGCCCCCATGACCGGCTTTTTGTATTTTTTTAGTAAAGACGGGGTTTCACCATGTTAGCCAGGATGGTGTCGATCTCCTGACCTTGTGATCCGCCTGCCTCGGCCTCCCAAAGTGCTGGGATTACAGGCGTGAGCCACCGCGCCCGGCCGGGCACAGGCATATTTTTATACCACTATTAGAAAATAAATTTTGGCGATGGTTTCTGAATTGCCTCATCAGACTAAAAGAAAGCAAGAGTGCTTACAGGCCTTCCCATTGAGATCATCATTCACCCTATATGTTTTTGAGTACCAAGTGCCCTCTCTCTAGAAGCTTATGCCCTTTAAATAATATATTCATATAAATATAGCATATCATTATTGGATAATGAATTATATTAATATGTAGTGCTAATTTAATCTTTATAACAACATAGCCAGGTCAATATCATAATACTCATTTTGCAGTCAGAGAATTTAAAGTCTAAAGAGGCTGCAACTTTCTCAAGATCTGAGTGCTCCCAGCGATTTGTGATGTCAACATCACACCCACGTACTTTTGTGGTTGGCTCTATGATAGCATGGTGACAGGCTGTGCGCAGCCTTTGTTGTGGTGCTTGCTATTTCTTATTTCATTTTTCTATGCTACAAAATTGTGACTGCACATCTTTGAGTTGTTATTTTAAATGCAGATATTCTAAAATCTGAAGGCAAAGGATCAACATATTCTAGAAACACTCTGGGGAGACCCAGGTAAATAAAGTTAAAGCCGGAGGGATGAAGGGAAAATTATAGACTTGAATCAGTCTAATCTTTACGAAATGTTTGCATTACTATTATATCTTAAAGGGAGGCATTTGGGGGCCCTCGTACCAAGTACCATGTTGATTGTTCTTTCTGTTAAGTATTACAAGCATAATTCTGATCTCTTGCCATTGCTCCTAAAAAGATTTGTTGATGTAGATAATGCATAATTATTGCACACTATGGAGGGCTCCTGGTTGGTGAGTGGATTTTGTCTCAAGATCTGACCTGCTGTGTTGATGGTGGTTGCTGGGAGCCCCGAGTTAGGGAAAATCCTGTGGTTTTCCGTGTCTTTCAGAAGAAGCTGGAGTCAGTTCATGATTTGGTCAGGAGGACTGGGGAGGGTGGTGTTTACCTCCATTAATCAAGAGGAAAGAGGTTTAATATGAAACAGGGATTGTGTATGATGAGGCCGTTAGGATCTCAAGCCAGCAAACAAAGTTAGCATTAAAATACACAGAGAAACCCCTGAAGGGAGGGCCACGTGATTTCAGGCAGCAGTTGTTCTCTGCCAGTGGGATAGACCGCTCTTTCTTTCACTGTGGAGCCTTAGGAGTATTTGAAAGCTTGTGCTGTGAAAAATAGGAATCTTACAGGAGAATCATATGGGGCCTGGAGAGGAACCTGTTTGGGACAGGCCGATTCCCATCTCCTGCCACTCTGTACCTCCTGGGCACCGTGGCCTGCCTTCTCCTCCCTTCTGGTATGTGGAGGGAGCTGGGATTGCTGCGGGAGGAGCAGTGTGTTTGTGTGTAGCTGCTATGAGGAGCAGTGGGGGGACCTGGGGGAGCATCCTGGATTCCTGAAGAGGGAGGGCAGGACCTGGCCTGGAAGGAGGCCCTGCGCTGGGCGGGGCGGTACTGACGGGAGGGGCACGGTGAGCTGCGGTTGGGGATATTCCACTGTGCCCCTTATGTGGCCCGTACTGGAGCCCACAGCTCCCTCTGTTTTCACCCAGGACACTCCCTGCCTGCCAGGACTGAGCCCACAGCTGCCTCCTGAGGAGTTTCCTGACTCCTGTGGGCAAATGTTGGCGCCCATGGCAGCACAGGCTGCGTGAGCTATCAGCTGACATCGTGTTGTTGTTTTTATTTTTTTAAATCTCTGGTTCCCTTAAATATTTATAAAATTTGAGAGCAAGACTGGCTTGAATTGGGGCATCTCTTTTCCTTTTCCCTTCCCTAACCACTTTTCACTCCCCATTTGCAAGGCACTAGTGGAGGCAGACAGGCACATTTGAAGGCAGACAGGGAAAGGTGGGTGCTATCATCTCTATCAATGGGGGTGCATGTGTGGATTTACCCTTGGCCAGAAGGACCTCCCTCTGGGGATCTCTACAATATGCCCCAGGTTGAAGCATTTGATGGGTGGTCAGTGTAGTGAGTGTGGGGCATGGGGAGCTCAAAGGAGGGGCCCAGATACTCTCAGAACATCCTGGAAGGATCCCTGCAAGGGCAGCCTTTGATTGAGTCTTGCTGAGAAGTCAGTCTCGGACAGAGGTGGTAGATTTGTGGCCAACGTGCCATTGGCTGTTGGAAAGCAAATTGAGGCAACATTTCTTCACAATGCCAGTTTTCTACTTGCAAACGCCCTGGTTCCTGGGCCCCTGGAGGCCAGGCCTGAGTCTGAGCCCCATGTTTACAGCACCGCTGGCCAGCGCCAGGCCGTACAAGGGAGACCCAGTCATGTTTGTCAACAGGGAACATCCTTCCACAGTCTTAATTATATTTTTTTGGTTTATTTACCCGTCCCTTTCCTTGTAGATAGCACAAAGGTAAACATCTTCTGGGTCTGCCTGGAGTCACAGCTCCCTGCCTCCTGGGCTGGGTTTCTGGGCTTTTTGTTCCTCTGGTGGATGTTCATCTGGTTAGGGAAGACCCTCCCTGCAGAATTCTCCCGCATGCTGGTCCGGATCATACCTGCTGCGGTGGCTTCTCATTTACTGTTGTGAGGCATGTGATATTTTAAAGCCATCTTTCTCCAAGAAAAGTCTCTTTTATGGGAACGTGGCTGTCTCTGGTAGTCACTACCCCACAGCCTCGGGGTTGGGGAGGTACCTGCCTGTGCACGATTTGGTCTGAGAGCAGAATCCAGCCTGTCCAGGGCCTTCGGCCTTCTGGGGATTTGGGAAAGTGCCACTACCTGGTGGTCCTGCCCCTGATCTCTGAGTGAGGGGTATCCCTGTCCCTGCAGCTCCCCCAGCTGTGGCCTGAGAACCCTTCCAATGATGCCAGTGCTGCGCACGGTCACAAGAAGCAGGGGGGACCTAGTTATACAGGCAGGTCAGGACACTCAGGCTCCTGCTCTGCCCACCGTTCCCCACATGCCAAGCATCTGCAAGGAGGGGCTTGCTCTACCCTTTGGCTCATTGGCACAATCATTTAGGGTGCTTGAGCTGCACCCTGGGGACCTCATGAACCCCAGCTTGAGTTCAGATCACATCAGGGTGATTCTGAACACTTGTCTAAATGCCAACACCCTCTCTGTCTCCCTCTCTCCCTTCCTCCTTCTTTGTATCTCTGTCTCTAAATTACAGCATGCACATAATCATTTAGGATAGTACACACAGTAATGACCGGCTGCTGCTTTTTGGAAAACAAAAAGCTTTAAGTTGCAACATGGAGCATTGAGATCAAAGAAAAGCTATCACAATCAGTTGTTAAAGTCTAGAAAAAAGAGACCATGGAATTCTATTTTTCGGATGTGTTCCAAAACAGGGCACATTCACGTGGTCTGAAAGGGTTTAGGTGTGGCCTCTCTGAGGACTAGCGATAGTGGTGTTCAGAGCTGCGGTTCCACAGGAGCAGCACAGGGAACACATTGAAGCCTCCAGTGGAGCCCCGCACCCAGCAGCAGCAGTGTGGTGCCTCTGCCTGCACCCCAGCTGTCTGCAGGCGCCTGTGCCCCAGGGCTGAAGTTCCACTCCAAAGCGTGAACTCCCAGCCAGAGTCCAGAGGGGAGGCCCTGCTGTGCCGGCCTCCGCGGAGTGTGTTCCTTGCCGGGAACGTGTGTCCCCCGCTGCAGCTACTTTGTTTTGTTTTGTCTCTCTAACCCAGGTGAAATGCTACCACAAGAAATACCGCTCGGCCACCCGTGACGTCATTTTCCGCCTGCAGTTTCACACTGGGGCTGTGCAGGGCTACGGGCTGGTGTTTGGGAAGGAGGATCTGGACAATGCCAGCAAAGGTGAGGCGCGGAGCTGGCGGCCCTGTGCTTGTGGGCAGCTGCGGTTGAACCTCCTTGGTTGATTCTTTCACTATCCCCTTTACCCTCTTTCCAAAATTCAGCCTACTGACAAAATTGTTCCCAAAGTAGGAGAAAATGATCATTGATCCCTGGGGGAAAAAAATTATGGATAACCAATGAAACTGCCTATACTTTCTGTATCATGGGGTGTCTTTATTGCAGATTTGGGAGTGGTGCTGTACTGGTTGGAATAAAGGACAAAGTCAGTCCATACTTTTCCGGTTAATTGTCTCCACAAATGTGTTAAAATACATTGTTTTTTTCAGATGACCGTTTTCCTGACTATGGGAAGGTTGAATTAGTCTTCTCTGCCACGCCTGAGAAGATTCAAGGTGGGTAGCTTGGTGGAATACTGGGTGGTCCTTGCTGACACTGGTGAAAGGTGCATGATGGCTACGCTGGGGCTGTAGTACTAGTCTCCTGCCTTTGTGCATATTTGGAGATTTCTGTGATTAATTTTATTTAAATGTAGGATATTGGATAGTGGAACAAGAAGGCCCACTTGTGTCAGTAAGCCCCAGAAGTGGCGTGACTTGCTCACAACCACTCAGCCAGGAGAGCCTTGGGCATGACTGGCCATTCTTGTAGGAGTAAGGTGGTATTGCATTGTGGTTTTAATTTGCATTTCTCTGGGGGTTAGTGATGTTTAGCATTTTTTCATGTGTTTGTTGGCCATTTGTATATCTTTTGAAAAATGTCTGTTCATATCATTTGCCCACTTTTTGATGGGATTATTTGTTTTTTTTTTTTGAGGATTTGTTCGAGTTCCTTGAAGATTTTGGATATTAGCTCTTTGTCAGATGCATAGTTTGCAAATATTCTGTCTCACTCTGTGGGTTCTGTTTACTCTGATGATTATTTCTTTTGTGGTACAGAAGATTTTTAGTTTAATTCGGTCCCATTTACTTATTTTTGTTCTGTTGCATTTGCTTTTGGGGTCTTAGTCATGGATTATTTGCCTAGGCAAATGTCCAGAAGAGTTTTTCCTAGGTTGTCTTCTAGACTTTTTATGGTTTCAGGTCTTAGATTTAAATCTTGGATCCATCTTGAGTTGATTTTTATAATATAAGGTGAGAAATGGGGATCCAGTCTTATTCTTCTACATGTGGCTAGCCAGTTTTCCCAGCACCATTTGTTAAATAGGGTATTCTTTCCCCAGTTTATGTTTTTATATGCTTTGTTGAAGATCAATCAGTTGTAGTCAGTTGTATTTCTGGATTCTCTATTCTGTTCCATTGATCTGTGTGTCTACTTTTATACCATGATGTTTTGGTAACTATAGCCTTTTAGTATAGTTTGAAGTCCAATAGTGCGATGCCTCCAGATTTTTGTTTTGTTTTGTTTTTAGGATTGCTTTGGCCATTTGGGCCCCTTTTTGGTTCCATATGAATTTTAGGATTTTTTTTTTCCAATTTCGTGAAGAATGATATTAGTATTTTGATAGGAATTGCATTGAATCTGTAGATTGCTTTGGACAGTATGGTTGTTTTCAGTATATTGATTCTTCCAATCCATGAGCATGGGATGTGTTTCCACTTGTTTGTGTCATTTCTGATTTCTTTCATCAGTGTTTTGTAGTTCTCCTCGTATGGATCTTTCACGTTTTGATTAAGTATATTTCTAGTTTTTTTTTTTTTTTTTTTTCAGCTGTCGTAAAAAGAATTGAGTTCTTAATTTGATTGTCAGTTTGGTCATTGTTGGTGTACAGCAGTGCTACAGATATGTGTACATTGATTTTGAAACCTGATACTTTACTGAATTCGTTTATCAAATCTAGAAGTCTTTTGGAGGAGTTTTTATTGTTTTCTAGGTATATGATCATATCATTGGCAAATAGCAACAGTTTTAATTCCTCTTTTCCGATTTAGGTGCCCTTTATTTCTTTCTCTTAGCTGATTGCTCTGGCAGTACTATTCCAGTACTATGTTGAATAGAAGTGGTGAAGGTAGGCATCCTTGTCTTGTTACACTTCTCAGGGGGAATGCTTTCAACCTTTCCCCATTCAGTATGACATTGGCTATGGGTTTGTCATACATGGCTTTTATTATTTTGAGGTAAGTCCCTTCTATGCCTAGTTTGTTGAGTGTTTTTATCATAAAGGGATGCTAGATTTTATCGAATGCCTTTTTCACATCTACTGAAATGACATATGGTTTTTGTTTTTAATTCTGTTTGTATGGTGTATCACATTTATTGACTTCTATATGTTAAATCACCCCTGCTTCCTGGGATGAAATCCACTTGATCATGGTGTATTATCTGTTTAATGTGCTGTTAGATTCAGTTAGCTAGTATTTTGTTGAAGATTTTTGCATCTATGTTCATCAGGGATATTTGTCTGTGATTTTCTTTTTTGTTTGTTTGTTTGTTATATTCTTTCCTAGTTTTGGTATCAGGGTGATACTGGCTTCATAGAATGAGTTAGTTAGGGACAATTCCTCTTTCTCAGTCTTTTGGAATTGTTCAGTAGGATTGGCACCAGTTCTTCTTTGAATGGATGGTAGAATTCAGCTGTGAATCCATCTGGCCCTGGGCTCTTTTTTATTGGCATTAAAAAAATTATTGATTCATTTTCACTGCTTTTTACTAGTCTGTTCAGGGTTTCTATTTCTTCCTGATTTAATCGAGGAGGGTTGTCTGTGTCCAGGAATTGACCAATTTCCTCTCAGTTTTGTAGTTTATATACATAAAGGTGTTCATAATAGTCTTGAATGATCTTTCGTGCTGGTTGTAATGTTTCGTTTCATTTCTAATTGAATTTATTTGAATCTTCTCTCTTCTTGGTTAATCTAGCTAATGGTCTATCAGTTTTGTTTATCTTTTCAAAATACCAGCTTTTTGTTTCATTGATCTTTTGTATTTTGTTTCAATTTCATTTAGTTCTGCACTGATTTTTGTTTTTCATTTTCTTCTACTAGCTTTGTGTTTAGTTTATTCTTGCTTCTCTAGTTCCTTGAGGTGTGACATGAGGTTGTCAATATGTGATCTTTCAGACTTTTTGATGTAGGCATTTAGTGCTATAAACTTTCCTCTTAACACTTGCTTTGCTGTATCCCAGAGGTTTTGATAACTTGTGTCACTATTATCATTCATTTCAAGGAATTTTTAAATTTCCATCATGATTTCATCATTAACCCCAAAGTAACCAGCATTTTAAAAAGAGAATTAGAAGTATAGTAGGCTGCAAGTATTATGTGCGAAACAATTTTTTTCCCTAAAAAATATATTTCAAAAGAAACCAGTCCCTTTATCATCAAGGTGAATTGTCCAGATCCATCACCAAGATCCACATGCATGGGAGTTTTGTTTCCCTTTTTAATAGCTGTGGAAATAATCATGCTTTTTCTATGTTCATTGTCATAGATTTAGGCAAAAACCTTTAAATACATGGCTTGTGTGTTAAAAATCCCCTTGGTATTCCTAAAAAGACTTGAAGGGAGGAGTGTGGATCTGAGAGCCTGGAGCCTGGATTCAAATCTGTGGACTCTGAGGCTCAGAGACAGCTTACCGGGCCTCTGTGTCCTCATCAGTGAGGTGGTCTGAAGACTCGTTTTGCAGAAGTGTCCAAGCCTGGTTCACAGTGGACGAAAGATCAGTGCTTACTTATCCCTTCCCCCTCGTGGCTTTAACTATGGTTCTAGTTGTGGAAAATCCTCCACAGTCTCTGATTAGTGTTGTGGCTCCTGGCAGGAGGGTGGAGGATGGAGAGGCTTCTCTCTCCTGCTCAAGTCAGGCTGCTCACCTGTCCTTATGGTGGAGTCGGTTGGATGGAGGTGATGGGTTTCACTGGGACTAATGTTGCTGCCTGTGCTCTGTGCAGGGTCCGAACACTTGTACAACGACCACGGTGTGATTGTGGACTACAACACAACAGACCCACTGATACGCTGGGACTCGTACGAGAACCTCAGTGCAGATGGAGAAGGTGCGTGTGTTCATCTTGTGTGCAGTTATGGAGGCAAAGGGCACAGGGAAGACAGCCCACTCAAATATCTGAAGTATTTTGCAGTCTGCTAAGAAGAAAAAATTTCCCCTGTTTTCTCAGAGGTCCAGAATCACACCTTCGTGTGACACAGTTGTGAGTTTTGAGGGTCTTCGTGAGAATAAGGCATGGTGAGTTTGGGTCAGGGCTTTTTGTGAAGCTGTAACGGGTGGATGAGCTGTCAGTGAAGTTATATCCAGGAGCTCCTTGGCCTGAACTTGTGTGTATGTATAATGCCAGGGACCGTTCCCCCTTCTTCCGTCCCTTCCGTTTTGCATATGGGGATGCCAAGCGCTGGCCACAGCCAAACTAGCTACTGTTGTACGGCCCCACATGCAACAGACATCTTGTTTTAATTTCTGTTTGCTTGTTAGTCTAGTGTTCCTGATTTATGGCTGTATCATTTAAATCTCTGTTTTCGTGAAACCGTCTCACCCAAACATGTCCTCTGTTCACCTGTGTAATATGCACATTGGGTCATAGCTAGGAGCGTGAAGGAGGAAAGGAAGGAAGGGGCAGCTGTGTGCTGGAATCTCCACAAGACACAACTGGAGGCTGATTTCAAAGGAGGGGAATTGAGGCTTTTCCTAGCATGTCATGCTGATCCCTTGTCTTTTTCAACCACCGATTGAGAATCAGACTTGCTTTGGGAAAGAAATTAAAACACTTTTTGTCAGATTAGTTACATCCAGATGTAAAATAGCTAAAAGCAAGTGTTGTGGAAAGAACTGCAGTAGCGCCTCATCTTTGTGGATCGCTGAGCTTCCCATGACTCCAGGAAGGGGGTGTCTGTGGTTAGTGAGAAAGGACACCAATTGTGTGTCCCAGGGCAGCACATGGCTCCTCTCTGTTGTCCTGGGGAAAAGCTTGCTCCTTCATAGGCCTTGTGGGATGGAATTTCAACTCAAGGAATTGTTGCAACCCAAATACACCTAGACCAGAGGTGGAGACCCACAGATGGAATGTTGATGGTAAGGACATTAAAACACAGATGATATCTGGGGCTAGTGGGCAAGTTGTGGACGGGGAGAGCTTTGCTCTGGCCTGTAAAGTAAACAGAGTGTTCTTTGCTGGTGTGAATTATTCAGCACACCAGTCCTTCCAGATAACCAGCACGTTAAAAGAAATGTAGCTGAAAACTCTTGCAAAATGATACATTGTCTTTCAAAAGATCACAGTGCACACTGGAATCTTAAAGCTGTGAGAATAATTTCATAAGATTTATCAAACAACAGTTATCAAACTTTTTGATCACAGAGCTCTTTTTCCAGTAACGTCTGTTTGCATCTGCATAGCTATATTCTGTCCATCACATGGTGATGTTTTCCACTGGAGGAGAGAAGGGTGAAGCGGTGGCTGGTGAAGTGTGTAAATAATCATCGCAAGGCAAGATGGGGAAAGGGGCTAATTTGGAGAGCTGGATGGGGACTCTGAGGACAGCTGACTTAGCATCCTAAATTCCAGGCTGAGGCGAGTGGATTTTACCAGAGAGGTCCCTTGCTGCATGGGAGCCAGTGAGCAGCGCTCTGTCCTGAGGTGATGAATCAGTGGCTGTGCCGAGTCTCATGGAGAACAGGGAGGCGAGTTGTGGAAAGGTCATTCTCGTGATGCTGGGAGGTTCCTTGCTTGCCAAGGGAGGGGCGAGCCTGGAGGGTTATTGACCATGAGGGAGGCAGGGGTTCTAAAACACAGGTGGGTGTTCTCTGTGCCAATGCCGTAAGAGGGGAGCAGTGAAGTCCGGTGGACAGTGTGGAGGAGCCCCAGCTCCTGTGAGGAGCATGCTCTGGAGGGCAGCTCTGTGCTCAGTCCCTCATTGGGTGCCCCGCTCTTGTCCCCAAGCTGGCTCCCAGCTAAGCCTGTGACCTGCCTGCGGGGCAGGCTTTATCCTTCCCATGTCACAACCAGGGAACTGAAAGCTGGGCGCCTGCAGCATGTCACTCACAGGTGGTGAAGGACCTACGTTGATTTTATGTAGAAAACATATAGACAGAAAATCAGTTGAGTGTTCACCATCCTTTAGGGGTTACATGAAACTTTACGGAGAATCTGTGGAATTATGTGTGTGAGCGTGTGTGTATAGATCCATACATGTGGAGGACTTGCCGTTATCACTGGGTGAAATAGACAGAATTCAGTCTTAAAGACTCTCAGCCACCGCAGTGTCTCCTGAAGATGCAGAGGGAGATACTTCTTTACTTTGAGGCCCTCTCAGCCCATTCACGCTGCCTTGACAGATGACCATAACCTGGGTGTCTTAAACAACAAGCGTGTATTTCTCCTACTTTGAGAGGCTGGGAAGTCCAAGATCAGGCAGCCAGCCTGGCGGATTCTGGTGAGGGCTGTCATCTGGTTGCCAACTCCTGCCTTCTTGTGTCTCCACGTGGTGGTGAGGAGAGGGAGCTCCTTGGAGCCTCCTTTCTGAGGGCATCAATCCCACTTATAGGGGTTCCACCCTTATGCTCTGAGCACCGCCAAAGGTCCTGCCTCCTAATACCATCACTCTGGGGATTAGGTTTTGACATATGAATCTTAGGGGACACAAATATTCAGTCCATAGCAGATACTCAATGCGTGTTTCTTGAATGAATGATTAGAGAAGCAATTTGAACTTTAAATATCTAAGGCCCTGACATTACAAATCACAATTCCCATTGGTGTATTTTTCATGCAGCATCTTCTGAGCCAGTGGTGTGAGCAGGTGGGAGACTGCTATGGATTGTGTGGTTGGAGGTGGTGGAGCCATGCAGGTGATGGTCTGGGCATGCACTCGGGACTCTGTGTCACCGAGAGTTGGGTCTAGGGGCGAGTAGAGAAGGTCTGGCATTGCCATGCAAAAGATGGAGCCAGTTGGGAGTGGGTGCATAGGAGTTCTGGAAAGAAACTGAGAAGGACAGGGCAGAGTGGGAAGGACACCCGGGAAAGAGTGGTTCCCAGACAGGAGGGTGAGGAGTCGGATAGGGCGCCAAGGCAGCCAGGTACACTTTGCAGCCAGATTCACAGCTTTGTCATTACTGCTTCCAGGCTTCATAAAGCAGCAGAGACCCCCTTTATGGGCAGAGTCATGCCCAGACTCCTCAGGGATATAGTGGGTGAGAGTGCAGCCTCCTCCCAGTGCCTGGTTCATCCCTTGCAGCCTCGATGATATCTGAAGCCCATGAGCACCCCCAGGGAGGTGGAGTGACAGGGGAGGACTCAGAGCGAGCTCAGGACTGGTATCCGGATGCTTAGCCCAGAACCCGCCACACGGAATCTGAGTCCTCTCCCAAAACTGGATCTCAGCAACCTTCCCTTGAACCACTGCCTGAGTATTCTTGAGAATTCCAGCTCCTGAGTTACAGACAAGCACGGAGCCTTTCCTCAAATCTGCATCCCCTCCTCCTGACCCTCCATCCCCACGTGCTGTCTGGCGTGTCTGGGGTACCTGATTCAATGGAATGAGTTTTATGCTTTTCTTTCTTTCTTTTACATACATTTAAGCTTGTATCAATATTTTTTGAAGATGTAAATTATCAAAAAGAAGGAATAATTACCGCCATCTTACTGTCTAGAGATGAAGCACTCGTCATTGGTGTATTTTTGGCATGATTTCTAAATATCATGTAATTTCTCATAGTAGGATCAGCCTGTGCATTGTTTTATAGCCTGAGTTTTTCACTTAACCCACCTCCTTTAGCATCTGTGCACATCTTTAAACTTTCTTCCCATGTCCTTCTCACTGAGCACACTGGATTCCCTTAGAGGGGCTTCCAAAGTGCGTTTGATCTTATTGCTGCACTCCTGCAGGGTTTCCAAGTTCTCCCTGTGAGACACGAGGCTGCCATCACCACCTCTGCCATCAAAGTTCTGCAGAATCCCCAGGCTTGGGTCCTTTTGAGAAGGTGTTCCCCAGAAAGAGTAGTCACCTTTGGATAGAAAACTCATCCTTGTTGAATTTCCCTCCTCTCTTCCACTCTGCAGCCCTCCTCAGCCCCTCTTTGGCATGGAGGCCGGTGTGCTGCATTGGTGAGCTATTACTCCAGGCAGTCTTCGCTCTTGCCTGCGGTCAGCAGTGCCTGGCTCAGGTCCCTGGACTGGACGCCGCCTGGCGGGTGAAAGGCTGAGTCCCAGCCGCATTCCCACCAGGGCTTTAGTCTTCAGAGCTGTCCAGTGCTTTGAGGAGTTAAGGAAGGTTTGGCAGCCTCTGAAACATTCTCTTTTAGCTGGGAAAATGATGTATTGCGGCACTCTCTTTTCCACCCCTGCCCCTGCCTTTTCTATCCCCCCGCCGCCTGGTTAAAAAACCCCAAAAATGTTGACTTAAGCCGCATTTATCTCTAGCAGTGGTTGCCGTCCTGGAATGGAGCCCTCTGCAGCTGCCTTCAATCTGGGCCTGTTAGGGGAGCGCTGGCTTTGATGTGTGAGCGCAACATTCTGCTTCTATACTCAGAAAGGAGCCGGCCTTGAATCCGTTCCAATGTGGGCAAGTGATTACAAACGCCCTGTCTTCAGCACAGAGAGGAGCACATGGTCCTGGTCTCCCCGTGGGTCTGTGGTCCTGGCAGGTGGTGGCTGCGGGGGACGGCAGTCGTGTCAGTGTTCCCTGGGGTAGTTGCTGTCCCTGAGGAGAGGGAAGAATATCTCGCGGCACACAGTGTGGCTGCCTGCCGGAAGCCTCACTATGGTGTTTTAATCCTCGAGAGAGCCTGTGAGCCCATTTTAGAGATAAAGAGAGCAGATCCAAAGAGAAATCAAAAGCTAGTAACTGGCCAGGGACCCTGGTAGCCTTCTGGCGTACACTGTCGGCGATGGCAGCTGTGGCTCAGAGTGTGTCTTGTGCTCGAGACCGTGCGGGACAGGGCTCATACCCTTGACTTTCCTCTTTGAGACTTTGAGACTCAGTGAGACTGGGCTGAGTCTCACTGGGTGCCCCACCTCCTCGTCACACAAGAGGGCTGTGGGTGGGGGGATTTCTTACCCTAGCAGGATGTACCTGCTCTTTCAGGATCAGACTTGCTGTGATGGTCTAAGGGAATGCCCACAGCAGCATATGTGTCCCTGGATTTGTATTGTCACCACCAGGATTGTCCCCACAGTACTCTTCAGGGAGGCTCTGCAAAGCTCTGGACCCCCATGTTGCTGAGCCCTATGGAGAACATCTCATTTTCCTCGCTGGACATCTCTGGAGCGTCGGTGTCAGTGGCCACACTCCCCATTGGGGTGCTTTCTACTTGCTCTCATAAGCCTCATTCCCTTTCACTTTCCCAGTCTGTAAAGTGGCCTGTTGTAATTGGATGACTCTAAAGATACCTCCCTCCAACTCTGAGATTTTTGTTATCATACACACCATTTGTCATATTCACGCATCTCATATTTTCTTGGGAATTGCCATGGCTCTGATGCTGGGGTGGGCGCAGGAAGAAACACAGCAGACCCTCTAATTGGGAAGACACAGATATACATCAGTTGTTGCCACAGGGTGCACCGTGTACCATAATTGGGTACCAGGAATTAGGAAAGAATTGAAGAGAAACAACCACTTTGCCTGTACAATCCAAGGAGATTCACGAAGAGGACAGCCCTTGCAGGTAGGGAAGGCAGACAGGGTATGCCTAGCCCTGGGCATGGGGCATAGGCGAGCAGCACATATTCACGGGGTGGAAGTGTGTTCCGCCTGGCTGGTGTGTGCAGGAGGAAGTAAGAGGTGCTGTGTGTGGTGGATCGTGAGATCGGGGGAATGTCAGCTTCCTTTCCTGAGCCTGGCTTCTTTGCTGGGTGACAGTGAGGATCCCAGGTGCCACATGACTGGAGGATACAGAAAGATAACAAAGAGGCTGGAGGACGCCCTCTGGGAGGCAGAGTCTGGAGAGGAAGGAGAGTAGAGAATGGGCTTCTGGACTCCCCAGCTAAGAACTGACGGAGGCCTGGACTTGGATGTGGCTCTGGCGATGGAGAGTAGGGGCCTTTAGATATTTAGGAGGTAGATGAGTGAGACTCTATGACAGATTTAGAGGAAGGGTTGAGCAGCAGGGAAGCTTCAAGAATGTCTGAGGGTTGGAGATGAAGGCCTGCTCTGTCACTCTTGTCCTTGGTTTCTTGCCTTGACCTAGGACTTTTTGAGTGCAGCTCAAACTTACCAATCCAAGAGTGTGCAGGACGAGGGCCGTGGCATTGCCAGGCCTGGGCTCTGCCACTTTAAGTGGATACCTTGATGAACATTCCCAGAATCCACGCTTTGGGGCTCCCATGGGGCTGCTAGAGCAGGCAGACAGAGGAGATTCACATTTGTCTGCAGCCTTCGCAATAAGACACAGTCCTGAAGTGGCCATACCGCGTTCTCAGAGTACTGTTCCGAGCTCCAGGAATGGGCTACCACGAGGACATGTTGGGTCAGGAAGTGCTGGCTGCAGTGTGCAGAGCTGGCCCGGAAGTGCCAGATCAAGCTGAGACCATTCAAGTATTGCCACTTTGAAAATGGATTTGAAAACTTTCCTCCCCAGACATTGTTGGGTTTTAAGATTTGGAAATTGAAGTAAACTTTGACAACTTTAGTGGAGGAGGGGGCCGATGGCACCTGACAGATCCTTCAGTCTTGGCTCTGCTTTTTGCTGAGTGCTTGGGTATACACAGTGCCTTGTGTCTGCAGCCTCGGTCCTTGTTGGCAACGTGGAGTGCTGTCCCCCAGCATTGAGAGCTGCTCCAGGGCTCTTTGCATGGTATTCAGCCACCCTATGACATTTGACTCTGCACCAGGCAGAAGAATATTTCTTTAGGTCTTGTCCCCAAACCAGGCTTTTCTAAGCATTGCTTGCTTAGATAGCTCCAGTGAAAAGCAGCTGTCATCAGGCAACTGAAGTTGTATGAGACAGAAACGGGCCAGATGGGCGGGTAGTCCTGTTCTGAGCCTGAGATTTCCTCCCTCTGCATCTCTTGATTGTGAATTGAGGCAGCAAGCCTTCAACCCACAAACACCAAAGGACCCCCTTGCAGGCGTGATCGCAGACCAAACAGCAAATCTTCCTCAATGTCACCTGAGAGAGTGGCCTGGGGGCGCCGGCTTCCTCCTGTCTCAAGTGCGAGAGGCGTACCCTCTGTTAAAACCAGGATCAAGTCATGTGGGTGTTACTTTCAAAAAATTGATACACTCCATCAGAAGAGGAGGGTGGCATTGGGGGCAGTCAAAAGAGTTGTTCCAGTCCCTGAGCCGCCATCTCATTAAGTGTTCGTTACTTTTCGAATCCGACAGGAATCAGAGGAATTGGCTCAAGTTGTATGTTGTCCTGTACAAGTTTGCAGAAATCAGCCCACAAGAGTGGCCTTAATAGTTAAGTAGCATCACCCCCTGGGACAGAGAAAGAGGTGCTGAGAGTTGGCTGGATTTGTCCTGGGTCCTCAGGGTCCTCCCAACCCCCAGTCGGCACACAAACCTTGGGCCTCCTCTGCTTCCTGGGAGGAAGGGTACCCCCGATATCCCACTGGACGGGGTGTCCTGTGCATGCAGACGGGTCTACAAGGTGGATGGCTTGTTTGTATTTCTGTAGTTACTGTGTCTTCTCCCTCTTCTTCTTCTTCTTCTTCTTCTGCTTCTTCTGCTTCTGCTGCTTCTTCTGCTTCTTCTTCTTCTTCTTCTTCTTCTTCTTCTTCTTCTTCTTCTTCTGCTTCCGCTTCCTCTTCCTCTTCCTCTTCTTCTTCTTCTTCTTCTTCTTCTTCTTCTTCTTCTTCTTCTTCTTCTTCTTCTTCTTCTTCTTCTTCTTCTTCTTCTTCCTTCTTCTTCTTCTTCCTCTGCTGCTTCTTCTGCTTCTGCTTCTTCTGTTTCTGCTTCTCCTTCTTCTTCTCTTCTCCTCCCTCTCCCTCTCCCCTTCTTCTTCTTTCTTCTTCTTTTTCTTTTTTTTCTTTCTTTGAGAGGAAATCTCGCTCTGAGACCCAGGCTGGAGTGCAGCTGCCCAATCTTGGCTCACTGCAACCTCCACCTCCCGGGTTCAAGCAGTTGTCCCTGCCTCAGCCTCCCGAGTAGCTGGGACTACAGGTGCCTGCCACCATGCCCAGCTAATTTTTGTATTTTTAGTAGAGATGGGGTTTTCACTATGTTGGCCAGGCTAGTCTCGATCTCTTCAACTCAGGAGATCTGCCCACCTGGGCCTCCCAAAGTGCTGGGATTACAGGTGTGAGCCACCACGCCTGGCCTACTATGTCTTCTTAGAGTCCAGAGGAGCTGTGCTTCTTAATCTCTTTTCACTTTCCTCTGCTGTTTGTGATCAGTATCTCCATTGCTCTTTGGTGACCCTGCCCACTTAACCAACATGCATGCAATGATTCATGCCCCTGCCCTACATTCCTTCCCCAAAGCTGCAGATCTTTGGACTCTAATTCCCACCTATGGGGACTACAACCTTGACTGTTCTTCTGTTGGTGGATTCCCTGAGACATGAACCTGGAAGAGGGCTCCATCCCCACAGTCTCCCTGGGACCCTGAGCCACGAAGCTTCTCACACCTAGCGTGAGCAGCAGTGTGTGTGTGTGTATGTGTGTGTGTAGACCCTGGTGTAATGAGGGTTTGGTCCTTATTCTTCTTACAAGGCCCTTGCTGCCACCCCTTTCTAAGTCACATCTCAGTCAAGCCCCTATTCCCAGATGTGCTCTTATGTCCATCTCCTGGTAGGAGTAGGGGGCCTGAATGGCAGGCGATCAAACCTGCTGAGTTTCCATCTGTGTCTTCCGTGCGTAGAACCTTTCTCTCCATTGCCTGGAAGAGGCAGGGCTGCAACTTCATTGTGCCTGTCTATAAGAGCCTGCAATTGCACTTGTGCCAAGTCGGGGAAAGAGAGCACCTGCTGACTTTAAGTATTTGATATACAGAACCAAAATGTGAGAGAGAACGAGGCTGGGACTGAAGAAAAGCAGAGTCTCTTCCTCACATGAACATGCTTCTGTGTGCCCGGCCCACAGGGTCATCCTCACCATCTTCCTCAGCCCTTGGCTGGAAGAGTAGAACTTGTGCGTGCTCTGGCTCTTCTCTTTCAGCCTTGAAGGAATGTCTGGGGAGGCGTTTTAGATTATGCATGCAAGACTGTCTCATCTACTTCTTTCTTTGGAAAGTGCTACAAGATGGAGCTGCCAGGGCCTCCTAGGGGAGGGAAAGGTTGCGGATGACTTAGTGGAAAAGGGAGGTGTTCATACAAAAGGTGCAGCTGGGACAATCTCTTTGACTTGGGTCCTTTGTCCTTATGGGGACAGGGACCCTTACATGGAGGTGCACCCTCATGGCCTGCATCTCTGGCCCCATTCGGCCATCTGGGCTAGGAGACCACCATCCACATGCACGCTCCCTTTAAGCAAATGATTCTTCTGCCTTTTAGAGTGACGTTCTTGGTGCTGGCGTTGACCTTAGGAGTAACAACACTCTTGGGGTCAACAGCTTTCAAACTCTATGCCTGTGGCTCCAGGATTCCAAGTTGGTTCTTAAGGAGCAGCCCCAGTCTCTCTCCATCCACTCCTGTAAGAACCCTCCACAGCCCCAGCCCCACCTTGATCTTTTTCTGTTTTTATATTGGGTTTCTGCATAAAGATTTGTTTGAAGATCAAGTTCTGCTATTGAAAGTTGGGCACTCTGGCCCTGTACAGTTGATTCTGGGACTTTAGATAGTTAAAGTTGTGTTTAAATGTTGACAAGCAAGCTACTTGATGTTAAACATGCATTCAGTTGCATATAAATTGTCACTTACTCTCTCTGTAAGTCCAAGGACAGAGGGGATGCAGTTGTTGTATTCTGTTACTGTTATCTAAGATGCCATGGAGGGCAGGGCATGTGAGGTAGAAGGCATAGGTGTCAGAGACTAGTGGGTGTGTTCCTTACTTAAATTTTTTAACATAGCACAGATTGCAGGGATATTTTATGTAAAACATCCAGCTATTTCTTGAAAAACAGGGTTGATATAATGGCAGCTTGTGCTGTTATGTAAGAAAAGCGAGCTTTAATGGATCTTCAGACTTGCTCAGTTTATCTTGCCGATAGGAGCAATTCTGACCTACTTTGGGGATGAAAGCTGGTTTTCACAGCACTCCTTTCCCCCTGTGGACACTGTGCTGGATGGGGACGCATGCCAGGCTGAGCAAAGCTGAGACCGCCTCGGCTCGTTGCCTCAGCACAGCCATATACCTAGAGCCTGCCTGGCTGTCTGTCGGGGAGACCTGGCATGGAGGTCCATGGATCGGGGTAAGAGACAGGGTGACCACTTTGCTATGTGAGCCAGGAGTGTTATTAGAGCATGTCACAGAGAGGGAGCCAAGGTCAAGGCCTGTCGAGGGTGGACACCCAGTGACAGTTGCTCTGGAGCTGGGAGCCCAGATTTAAATCCCTAGGGCCCGAGAGACTGATGCGAAGTGCAGGGAAAGCCATTGACCCCAGGAGCTGGGAAAACAGGTTTCTGTGGACAGGAGGAGGGCGTCCCCAGCAAATGTCCTGTGTGCGCTCCGCCTGCACCTGCCTGTTGTGGATGTGGGGGGACCCCCTCCAGTTGATAGGGCCTAGGTGGAGGGTACAACTGCTCCCAGGAAGTTTTCTTCCACATAGCAAGAGCCAGAGATGTGTTTAGTGTTTCTTTATAAGTGCATAGTGATGATTTCTTAACAAGGAAAATACACCCTTTGACATAGTAGTCTTTCAGACTTCACTATGGAAAGTTGAATTAATTTAGGATTCATGGTGTTGACAGTCTATGGGAAATTATACTATGAAAATTCAATAGTATTTATTTTTGTCAGTGTGAATGTGAGCTAATTTATGACCTGGGATATATTCTCACTGAAATTAGGCCAAACGGTTAGAGCAATAGCAAGATTTGGTGTTGATTGATTGTGGGAATTCTGCCAAGATCTCAACAGCCGTCCTTTGGTGGCAGCAGTAGCCATACATTGCCCCTGAACTCGTAGCAGTGAGTCTGGGATGCTGCTGGGCCCCTGACTAGGATGAGGCAGAAGGAAAAGCGGCGGGGGAGCCACCGAGTGATGGGCACTATGGGTGCTTTCCTGAGGGTGGGAAGAGGCTGCGAGGAAACCATCTTTCTCGTAGTATTGGGAGTTCATTCTTTATTCCTGTACATGTAATATATTGCTCTCTTGTTAATCATAAATCGGAGGATTCCAATAGGTCACCTGGGGAGTGAAGGCAGAGTGTCACCTTCTGGGAAGCTCATGAAAGAAAACCAGAGGCCACGTGTGCTTGTCAGGCAGGCTCTGTAGGATCCAGGATGCAGTCTCCATCTCCTCCCTGCCTCTCTGAGCATCGGCAGTGCTGGATGCTGCAGATACAGAGCTGAATTGGATGGCACAGCTCCGTGCAGAGGCCAGGACAGGGCTGGAATGGCTAATGGTTGTTGTTGTCAGAGCTCACCCTTGCTGAGTGCTGCTCACGAGCTGCACAACCTTCCGAGCATGCAGCTTG
Organism: Homo sapiens; assembly: GCF_000001405.40. Lineage (NCBI taxonomy): Eukaryota > Metazoa > Chordata > Mammalia > Primates > Hominidae > Homo > Homo sapiens. Next base: position 47,385,326 of record NC_000007.14, on the reverse strand, counting down.
CATTAACATATCTAATCTTTACCACACTGAGGGGTCAGAGGGCTAGTTGGTGAAGCCAAGAGTGGGGGCTTGGTCGCCGGCTGTGAATCTCCTTCTGCTGATGTGCTGAGCTCAGTTCAGGCAGGGACTGGATTGACAGAGGCAGGAGACTGAGAGCACCATGAGTGTGTCCAAAGCAGGGTGCCTGGTGCAGGAGCCAGGATGCAGAGAAGGGTAGAGAGCAGACTGGGAGTGAGTTCACTGGCTGTGGCGTCACTTGACCTGTACAAGGCAGGCGAGGTTGTCTGTTGGGAGTGGACAACAGTCTGGGGAGTGGAGGTGTTGAGAGCTGGGACAGCTTGGAGGAGCTTCCCCTGGCAACAGGTGGTTGTTGGGTGAGCAGTGTGGTGTGCCCAGTGATGTGTGGACGCCACACTGTTACGGCCTCTGTGATTTCAGAGGCATGCACATCAGCAGGGGCATGGACGTGGGCCACAGGCGAGGGAGACAGCAGGCCTTGTGGGTCTAGATGGGCTAGGAGAGGAAGCACCATGGATCTGTGTTGCCCTCGATGTCTTAAATTTGGTGCTGGAGTTAAACATACATTGGCTGTGACTCCACTGTGCTGAGGGAAGGGCTGGATACATGCAGAGAAGAGCAGGAGCCAGGGAGCTGTAGCGGCTGCTAGAGAAAGGAGAGTCCTGGCCACCACTCCTGAAGAGCTCAAGGCTTTCAAAGTTTGGTGGAAGTTGAGGGTATGTCATGAGAAATTCTAAAGTCAAACCAAAGAAAGTTATCTAAAGTCCAAAGAGTCAAGGCCAGGGCCTCAATAAAATGTTGATGGTTTCCCAGGAGAAGCCACAGAAATGCCGGTGATGAGAGTGTTTGAACCTGGACCAAGGGAGGCATGGACGTTTGGGGGATGGGCTGGGAAGTGAGGGGCAATGGCAGCCCGCAGGGCTGGAGAACGCTGTAGCCAGGGGTACCAGTTTCCAGAGAGAAATGAGTTTTGGGTGAAAGTGTTCTGAAGTGGAGTGCAGGAGGCACAGGCTGCCCCTTCCCGGCCTCTAGGCACACAGCTGCCCCTCCAGAGACCCCCTGGGACGGGCCTGTCTGCCCATGTGGGTGGGGAGGGGCCTGACATTGGAGCAGGGATCACACAGGCTCAGTGTGGTGGACAGGTAGGGATGTCAGCTCAGGAGGATGAGTCCTTGGAAAGAAAGTTGGGAGAGGAGCAAACGGTGGAGACAGTGGGGGGAGAATGGGTGGTCACGGGCTGGAGGGACCTGCATTTGTTGAAAGTTGGTGGTGTCATGTTTTCAAATCAGAACTTTCTACCAGAAGCTATCTGAATTTAGATGTCACTTTCATGTGTCTCTCCTTATGAGGAGGAACTTCACAGGAGGCCCTGCGTGTCACTTTCTGACCTGCAGTCCAGGTAATGGCCTCCTCAGAAGCCACACCCTGATCTGTCTAGGTGGACAGCTTTCTTTTGGCCTGGAACCCTGCACTAGAGGGTGCAGCATGTGATCACAGTGTCGGTTTCATTCCGGTGACCAGTGCACAGAAGAGAGTGTCTTCTCTCTCCTTGAATGTTGTGTGCCCCAGGCTCCCTTGCAGAAATCCCCTGTCTACCTGGGGTCAGAGCCTGCCTCTGTCCCCAGACGCTTTGTATAAAACCTGAGTGCATGTGCGAGCCTCGGGCTGGTTGCCGTTGCTTTCTAAATATGCCCTTGTTACCATGTGGTTTCTAGCCTGAGAATGTTCTTACTTTTTATTTGTTGAGATCAGATTCATAGCACATAAATTTACCATTCTAATCATTTTAAAGTATACGATGCATTGATTTTTAGTACGTTCACAAGGTTGTGGAACTGTCGCCATTATCTAATTCCAGAACATCTTCATCACCCCAAAAGAAGCCCTGTACTCATTAGTGGTCACTCCCAGTTCCTCCTTTCCTCAGCCCCTGGCAACCACGAAGCTACTTTCCTTCTCTCTGTTTCCCATTCCGGACATCTCACTCACTGGAGTCGTGCAATGAGTGGCCTTCTGTGATTCGCTTCTTTCACTCAGCCTGTGTTCCAGCTGCATTCCTGTTACGCTCCATCCTTTCATGGCTGTGGTGTGCCACTGTGTGGACACACCACACTCTGCCTATTCATTTGTTAGCTGGTGTGCATTTGGGCTCGTAACACTTTTTGTCTAGTATGAATAACGTTGCCTGTGAACATTCTTGTCTGTGTTTTGGCCCTAGGATATTCTTATACCTCTAATCTTTCCCACTACTTTTTGAAATTTCCACATCTTTTCTCATCCTTCTAATTGGTTTCCCATTCTGGAATTTTCTTCTGCCTTTAGGGAGTCCCAAATAGGAGTGGCACTAAACATACTGCCAACCTCCTGTCCCGCTTGCTATTTTCAGAGATATTCGGGAAACTCAACAAGTCTTTTCTTCATTAGCTGCACAGTGGTCCCTTGAACGATAATTGAACTGTGTGAGTCCACTTATATGCAGATTTTTTTCAGCCAACACACAGATTGAAAATACGGTGTATTTAGGATGAGAAATCTGTGTATATGGAGAGTCCACTTTTCCTATACTCAGGTTCCTCGAGGTCGACTGCAGGATTTGAGTATGTACAGATTTAGTATACTCACAGGGGGTGGTGGGGGACTGGGGGGTGCTGGTGTCTTGGAACCAATCCCCCGCACATACTAAGGGTGGACTGGCCAGCCTCCTGCACAGAATTACAACCCTTCAGGGTGAAAAGGCTTGGGGGCTTTCAAAACACTCTGAGCCACAGAACTGCCTTCTGGCCAAACATCAGCAAAGCTTCAAAAGACCACGTTGTTTCAAGAAAGGTTAATACTAACAGCCTGCACAGGCTCCATATAATCAAGACCCATTAGCAGGGAACCTGTAGAAAATGAGAGCGTTCTGAGCCTGCCTGCTCAGTGGCTGCCAGCTACGTAAACAAGATCTGAAGACCAGTGGGTGCCTGTTGCCATATATTCACAAAGGCTTATGGCAGCCCGTTTACAAAGCTGTCATCCACATGAAGAAAATTTGCCCTCAGCCACCGAAAAACAAAACAACAAAAACCCCAACCCCACCCAAATCAAGCCCAACCCAGAACAACATGAAAGGAAACACTCCTTTTGAACATACAACTAATCCTGCTGCCTCTTTCCATTAGAAATGGATAAAGGTACCTTGGCCGTTGCTTTTCTTGCACAGTTTTGTGATGCAGTGGTCTGATTTTAAGATTTGTATCCTGTAGGAGGCTGGGACCCCCTAGCCATATCTAGACATACAGTTAGCTACAGTTTGGAAAGACCCCGGTGCTCAGGAGAGACTCGGACATTCATTGCGTTGTATTCACTACTTCTAATCTCTTTTCGTTTGATGTGTATTCTTTAAAGCAAAGTATTTTGTGATAAATTAGTCACTGCCTTTATTGCAGTGATCACATCATTTGCAGAATGGTAACAATAATTTCGGTTCTCTTGATAGGAAGGTGGGTTAGCCAATACCCTTTAAAGAATACCAAATTTGATAGAACTTTTTGCACAATAAGTGCATTATGTCTCATCATAAAAGAGATTGTTTCTCCCAAGGGTGCGCTGAGTTTTACCTTAACCTCCTGTAAGCGACATATGCCAATGTGGCCATCTCGGGTGATTTAAAAGATTTGTTACCCTCTGCGTGCACTTATAGCCCAGGTATGTCCTGTCTCCCCTGGATGGCTGATTGGTGATTTTTAAAAGGGTTTCCATTGTGCTGTGGGAACCTGAAGGCATCAGAACGGGCTTTTGCTTGTTTGCTGTGTCATATTCTGTTCATTTAAAGAGTAAAAGTGTGTGGTTGGTATTGTGGCCCATGTTGAGCCAAAGCAAAGAGTAAGCCACTGTCTGAAGCCCACCTACGTTGAATGTAATGAGGCTGAGATGAAAAGGATCTGCTACACTGAACACAGAACGTGGAGGTCTGGGCTAACCACACAAAATATGCTGTGTGCAGTGAACATTCACGCTGTACTCTTAGCCACATCCCGCACAAAAGACAGAGAGACAGCTCCCAGGAGATGGAGCATGTGTGGCAAAGATTTTCCGCCTGGTTACTTTGAAGAAAGCAAAAGGAGGCTGAAACTGTGCTTTGTAAGCTGCATGGGTTGGTGCTGGCTCCTGGACGTCAGTTCAGAACACTCAGGAGTGAAGGCAGAAACCTGGTGAGGGACTCCCAGGAGGAGCTTCTTTCTCCACCTTTCAGCCTCTGGAGTTCAAATTTCACTCAACCTGAGTGCACCAAACCCCACCCTCTTATTTACATTGCCCTGGCCTTTTTGGCGGAATCAAAGTCCCTACATAGCCAAGGAGATCTTTTACCTTCTACACTAGTGGGAGGCCAGGTGCCTGGGAGGGAGGTGGCACGCCCCCGCCCTCCTCTGGCATGCCACTGTCCTGCTGTGAAAGCCTGTGTCAAGGAAAACTGGGCTCAGAGGTGCAGACTGAGAGAGCCGCTGGGCTGTTTTGAAGGAAGGTAAGCAGAGAGCATTTGTGTGTGTGTGTGTGTGCGCGCGCGTGCATATGTGTATGTGTGTCTGTGCCTGTGTGGTGAGTGTGTGTGTGCATGTGTGTGGCTTCTGTAATGCTACAAAGACCTGAAACTGAGCTGTGTGCCTGCTGAGATTTACCAACTTGCCAAGACTTCCAGAGGAAAAGAGCTGGTACTAGCCAGGAGGAGAGGGCGTTATGGAGTGGAATAATCAGCAGAACGGATGCTTTAACCGGGCAAGAAGGAATGTCGCTCAGGACTTGTCCAGGAATGCCTTTATTGGTTTGCAAGCTGGAGGAGTCTTAACTTACTGACTTCTTTTTGGGGAAGAGTCAGTGATGGTCTGACATGCTGTTTGCAAGCTCTCTGGCCGCCTCTGTGGCCAGCCGGCGTGGGTGGCCTCAGATAAGGCCAACAGGACCTCCTCTTTTCCTCTGGGCTTGGGCCCCTGTGTTTTCAGTTAGGAGTGCCCAAAAGGGAACTGAGCTGCCCAGTCAGAGGCCTGAGATAGGCGCCTGCTGAATGCTGAGCCTGCACCGGCGTGCTGGTGTGAGAGGTCTGCCCGGGGAGCCGCCCTGGCCTGCCCTGCTGTCAGTACGGCTGTGGGGGCACCTTGGCGGCGTCTGTGACACGCCTGCCACAGCCCCACTCGGAGCACAGTGCTCCTTTATCGCCACATTCCAGAGCCTCACCCAGGAGACCGCGGGAGCGCTTGGAATCTGGCCCAGCTCCTGAGTCGCTCCTGCTCTGCAGTGGGATGCCTTCCCTTCCCAGAGAGGCAGTGTGTGGCTGGGCAGGCGTTTCTGTGTGGAAGGTTCTGCTCTGGTTCTTGCTTTTGTTAATTTTTTTTCTGCTCTATATTTCTCTAAGAATTTACAGTCTGCCTCATTTTTAGAAAGCGTGAGCAAGCAGCTCAGCTTTACTTCAGAGGGAGGGATTTTCCAGCGCCCTCCGGCAGTCTCAGCAAGGTGTCCTGGTGCTGCCGCTGCAGCCTCTTTCCTGCTGGGCACCTCCCCTCCTGGCAGCTCAGAGGGTGATTTGGGTTTGGGGGCTTGGGAAGGAGTTAACTCTCAAGGTGAGACTGATGCACCAAGGGAGCAATGCCTTAGAATGGAGTTATTCTGCCTAAGGAGAGAAAGAGTTGTCCCTACAGAGTAGAGTTTATTACCGTCTTTTATTTTTTGTAAAAACAAAAATAAAAAAAGAGGAAAAGGGCACATTTCATCGCGTCTTGAAATATATCAAAATCATAGAGTATCTGATTTAGTAGATTAAAAGCAGTGTTCTCAAAGACCCAAGTGTAGTCCTCATTTCTTAGCTCTTGAATTTTCTGTGGAATAGAAAATGATTTAATAAAAACTCCAAAAATCATTAATTAGCAAAGAGTCAGAATTCTATTGTAATAAAATTAAAGCAGACCTTGTTTGAGTGAGAGGTTATACATGCTCTAATTATAAATGTCCACATGGAAAAAACGAGAGTGATTTTTGCATATGCTATGGGTAAGATAATACAACGCCCCTTGAGAAGGAACCTCTTGGCTCAGATATCGCTTCCTGACTGGGAAGGTCTTTCGGTGTCTGCAGCCCCTACCAGGCCTCCAGGGATCAGGTACCCTTGGGACACTGCCCGGGCTACCCGTACCTCCCCTCCTCGCAAATGTGAGAATGCCCCTTGCTTCATTGTTAACCCCATTCAACCCTGCCTTGTGCTCTGGGCCACAGCCTAGTTTTCAGCCCTCCTGGCTTGGTGATGGACTCTTCCATGCGCCGGAGCCTGAAATCCAGGCAGTCCCTTAGCACCTGTCCTCACCAGCACTGAAACCCCCACTGGCTGTTCCACATTGTGCAGCACCAGACCCATCAACTGAATGGTCTGCTGGAAAACTCACAAGTCCAGCGCCGGTGCCATGGCTCATGTGTCAGTTGACCTAGCAAATCCAGGAGAAATGTTCTCTCACTGCTGAGGGGAGGTCATGTGATGCAGTGATGGGAACCCTGGGTGTGCATGACACAATCTGCCAGAAAACCCTTAGCCCTCCCCCCATGAAACTTGGACATGCTTCGGTCCCTTGCAATCCCCCTAACCTTGTGGGTTAAGCAGAGGAGAATCCATACCCCTTCTGGGTTTGGTTTGAGCCTAATGAGACAATAGGTACGAAGTGCTTGGAAGACAGTGGTTGCCCAGTTAGCTTATTACTGCTGCTTTTGCCATCATTGCTGTCAGTCACCGAGGAAACAAACAAAGTATGGGATGGGAAAACTGTTTTACAGCTGGTAAGATCCTGAGCTGGGCAGCTTGGCCATAAAGTCGCACTGGGTGGATGGTTAGCAAAGTTGGTGCCTGGGACAATTTCAGTCATATCAAAAAATGACTTAGGGAACTTCTGAATACGTTTTTTTAAACCCATCTTTCACCATAGCTTTATATTAGAGAACAGTTCCTCAGTGTAATTCTCGAGACGGGAGGTCAGTGGACCTGCGTTCTGTGTACTCACTGATTAGATGTTCATGGAGCACTCCTCTGTCCCTCAGCTCTGCACCCAGAGGGTCCACACATGAATCACTTGTGAGTTCTGGGAATTCTTCACTTGACCAGAGAGGGGGAAAGCACAGAAAGGAGGGTTTGCCCAATGCCTGCTGTGTGCCATGCCTTTTGTGTTGAATCCCAGTGGTCCTGGGAGCTGATATCAGCAAACACCCCCTTCTCCAGGTTGCTTCTCTGCAGACAAGGACAGTGAGGCACAGAAAGGCGGAGTGATTCATCTGAAGTCACACAGCTATGATCAAGCCAGGACTCAAGCCTGGATTATGCCAGAACCTCTAGAAGGGGAGGGAAGGTGTGCACATGAATCACTCCAATGGAAATGTCAAAAGACGCTTTATGTGACAATGAGGCGCAAAGGGACTATGATCGTTATCCCAAGGAGAGAGGGTTTCCATTGTCTCATGGAATTTAGGAAGAGGAGGGAAGGCCTTTGAAGAGGGGGAGGAGGGCATGGGGGAGAAGGAGAAGGAGGGAGGGGAGGAGGGAGAAGAAGAGGAAAGGGAGGAGGAGAAGGAGGAGGAAAGGGAGGAGGGGGAAAAAGAGGAAGAGGGAAGGAAGGGAGGAGATCAAGAGGAGCCACCTCAGGTTGGGGTCTAGTCTGCTGTGAGTCTCATTTTTGTCTTGATCTCACAACGGTTGTTTTAACTGAGATGCAATTTACATGCAGTAAAATTTGCTCTGTTTAGTATATAGTAGTCTGAGTTTGACAAACATTATGCCATGACACTCCCACCACTATCAAGACGCAAATATTTCTATTGCCCAAACCATCCCTCACACCCTTTGCAGCCCCACTCTTCTCCTGGCCCCGACCACACCCATTTGTGTCCAGACACAGTGTCTCCACCCCAGAATGTCACCTATGTGGAGTCGTACAGTCGAGCCCTTTGAGTCTGGCAGTGTTCACTCGGCATAGTCCTTGAGACCCCTCCAGGAGACTGCCTGCAGATGAGCACTCGTTTTTGAAACCGAAGCCTCTCTGTCTTCAGCATTTTCCCTGGGCTGTGGTTGTCAGAGCCCACCATGGGCACTTGCAGCTGCAGACATCATTCCAATAAGCCTCCACTTATTGGGACTGTTTGGATATGGTGAATTGATTCAGCTGGACGGCCCCAAGTGAGTCATTTGAGGGTGACCTAGGGACAGGATGGTTCCTGGCTGTGTCTGGAGAAGCTACCTGTTCCCTGTGGTGGTCCAGGCACAGGCAGGACCTCTGGCATATCCATGGCTCCTGACCCCGATGGGGCTGCTGGTACCATGGGTGTGTGGGAGAACTGAAGACTCCATGCTAGGAACAGCACCCGATCCACTAACTGTGAGGATAGAAATGCACTAGCTTTAAGAAACGGAACAAAAACTGTGACCATCACTGCAGCGGCTGTGACACCACAAGGGTCTGTTCCTGATAATGAATAATTTTAGGAGTTAGGGAGGAAAGCACAAAGCACTTAATAGTCTCTGAAGAGTGAGTGAGGTGTATATGAGTTTGTGTGTGTGTGTGTGTGTGTGTGTGTGTCTTGATCTAGATAGTTGATCTGTGAAATATAAAAAGTGATTGACTAGGATTAGAATTTTATCTTTTTTTGGAGTGGAGGGAGGTTGGTTTAAATTTCAGATATTCTATTCAGTAGGCTTGTAAAAAAAATCGTTAATGTTAGTGCAGGCTCTCTCAGCCTCTGATTTCTCATCTGTAAAATGGACTTCCCGTTTCCTGCTTCACAGGATTGCTTTGGGAATTGAGTAGGATCCCTGGGGCCTAACAGTGTGCTGGGCGCATGGGAGGAGCTTGCACGGTGGCCTTGTCTTTAGGAGGTCAGCTGAGTTGTAAGAGAGGGGTGTTTCCAGAATTCTCTCTGTTTGTCAGGTGATGAAGATGCCAATTCCTGCAGCCTCACCTGGCTCACCTGAGGGTGGCTGCTTCAGCATCAGTGGATGCCTTTCTTCTCACACACTGCTCCGTCTTTCCCTTGCCTCTGTTGATCTGTCTATTCGGATGCCGTGAAATGTGCCCACCACCCTTTCCATCTCTTGTTTCTCTCTCTGTTCCCCAAGGGGGCTTGTCCATTCTCCAGCACATCATCAGGACTGGGCTGAGTATTGCTTTTAAGTCCCCGTTTATGACTAGCAATCATAGCAAGTGCTTAGTCAATTCTAACCAACTTTCATGGAGAAGAATTTTCTAGTTTCTCCTTTGAAACTAAAAAATTGCAGGGAGGATACTGTTAGTTCTTTTGAAATGAAAAAGTTACTTTTTAAGCACACCTGTCACAAAAATAGAACATGAGATTCTTAGCATCAATACCTAGAAAAAGGAAAGGTTCCACGTCGCTTCATAAATCTATCAGATTTGTCCTTCCTTTGCTTCAAACCAACTTCTGTTGGAAGCAGGGCCAGTGGACAGTTCAGTGGATTACACATCAGTGATGAATATTTTTGGTTGCTGAGTGATTGATGATGGAGGGTGCTGAAGTGTGAGATCAGCTGTCCCTTTGGCTATCTGATTGTTAGCATGCCGGGGAGCACAGTTGGGCATTGCCTAATCTGTTTTCAACCGGGATGGAAGGGATGTTTTCATATATTTTTTTGGTCTTCTCCATTTTTTGGGTGACTTTTGAAATACTTTCTGAGTGCCTCTTAACCCTCTTACCTCCTTGTGGGAAAGCCACGTTTCAGTAGCAGGGTTGGGTTGGAAAGAGAAGGATCCCCTGCAGGGAAGGTGGGTGAGGAAGTCTGTTGCTGCAAGTCCTCCAAGGAGACAAGAATGTATGCTCTGTATTTTCTTCCTTCTGGTCCTTTTCCAGGCGATAAACCTCACTGGTATGTCATGCAGTGAAAGTCATTCAGGGCTGTATTTATGTTTGTTGGATTTTTAACTAAGATCTGGCCACCAGGAAATCGTTGCCAGACAGTGGACAGCCTCCCTTGGGAGGGGAGGTCCTTGATGCTCGTTGGCTGGGTCTGGTGGCAACGCAAGGGAAAGGGGACACCGAATGGGATGATTTACCCTGGACTGAGATGTGGAAAGGTTCTCCTCCTGCATCCGCAGCTGAAGAGCTATGGCATCCCTGCAAGTTACTTCCTCCCACTCTAAGATTAGGTTCTGAATTTGCAGAATGAGGGTTGATTCAGACTTCCCCATGCTCCCTTTGAGATGGAAGCAAAATGTTAAAATATGTTATTTAATGATATAAAAAGATGGAAGGAGCAGACGAGTGGCAGGACCCCACCTTTTAGAACTCTGTCCTTACCCCACCACCTCCTCACAGCAGTGTCAGCCCTAATAGCACATCAGGTGCCAGAGACAGAGTGGAGACTTAAAGCCCTGCAGCCTCCCTCATCTGGTGGGGGCTCCTCACCCTGCCTGCTCCTAGGAGCTCATCAGGGCACCAGGAACCCCACCCACAACCCATGTCCAGGAACCACAAATGGGAGTTTAGTTGGCTATGTCATTTCTGTGGTCTTTCTACATCACTTTTCCAAACCAGAACCATATTATCAGTAGCATTCTCTCATCAGTTAAGGAGGGTATTCTTTAATGATGGATCAGCGCCTTTGGGGGCTGCAAACAGCAGGGTGCGGGCTCCTGTTTGGTTTCTCATTGGCGAGACTGGCAGTCAGCCATGCAGTGACCCTGCTTCCACACCTCTGTTAGGTGTCTTTTCTAGTCATGATTCTCTTTTTATTGCTCTTATCCTGCAGCTTTTGCATTGAGTCTTAGAAAGCATAGCAATGGCAGAAAGTGTTTAGATGAGGCTCTTTCCTATGTGCCCAGTGTAGAGGTAGCAGTTTCATAGGTGAGAAGATAGACGATACAGAGGTCAGAAGACAGATATTTACCCAGCCCTGCCACTTGGAGCTGTGTGGGTTTGAGCAACGAAACGCCAGCCTCACAGGTGGCAGGAGGATAAAGGAGACTGGAAATGGCAGATAGCATGGTGCCATTTGCTTGCAGCTGCTGTTTGCCAGGGCTCTGTCTCATTAATCTTTGTGCCCCTGGTTCCAAGCACACTGTGGCCAGATAATGTTCAAATGTTCCCTGGATCTCTGGCCCATGCTTCCTGCTTCATGGGCAAATGGGCTAACCTTTAGGTCATGACTTTTGTTTTCTTTGGAATTTAGAACCCTTAGATTGGGTGACTTCAGTTATTTTTCCAGTTGTGTTCATTATCAGTTGGAGACCAGCCAGGTCAGTAGTGATGGCTGCCCTGCTCCCGCCTCTCACGGATGGCTGGACCTGGCTGTGCTGCCTGGGAAGAGGCCCAGAGAGTGGGGACACCTGGGTTGCAGGTGGCCAAGCGCTGCACGGCTCTTCTACCTTCAGATCCTTGTGGGCTGTGTGTGTGTTTGGTTTTGGTTGGTGATTGTTCTTCGTTTGCTTGTTTTGCCTGCTAAGGCAGCTGAGCTTTCCAAAATAGCTCCCCACATTTTGTCATGTGTGAAAAAGCTCAAACTTTTAGCCTGTCACTCAATATTCACCGGGTGTCAGAGGCTGTTCACTAATGCTAGAAATGCAAGGGAGAGCAAAATAAAGCAAACTCCCTGCCCTCAGTGAGCCTGAGTTCCAGTGGGTAAAGGTGCAGTTCTTCTGAATGCAAGTATGTGCTGTGGACAAAAACTCAGTGAGGAAAGGGTGGTAGGGCAGCACCTGTTGAGGAGGTGAGGGAGCTGAGATGCAGAGAAAGACAAAAGCCAAGGCCACAGGGCAGGTGCATGCCTGCAGTGGACTGCTAGGAACAGGGCAGGCGGTAAAGAGATGAGCCCAGGGAGCGGATGCAAGGCCCTGTCCACTATGGGAAGAGCCTTTAATAGTAATTATGAGTACTCTTACTTGGAGCCTATGAGCTGGGTACTTTATGTCCATATTCTCTAGTTCTCATAACTTTAAGAGAAAAATGGATGGCATCTTTGTATCTTTCATTCCCTTGAAAGATAGGAAGCATTCCATTTTGTAAACGTAAAACCAGGAAACTGAACAGCCTGAATGTCATGACCAGGAACACACACAGAGTAAATGGTGGAATGGGGATCCCATCTTCAAAGATAAAGGGAAACGGCCGTCTCCTTTGTCCGACTGAAGTTCAAGCTCTTCCTTTTGCAAAATGATAGCCCTTTATGAGAAAACAGGATAGGAACGGTGTGTTCCAGAGGCCCCTTCTCCTTCCCTCCCCCTGAGGCTGACTCTCCTGCCCCCACTGAAGACCACGGAGGTGTAGGTGCAGGGGGTTGTCTGTGGAGCTCCTGGGATGGCCTACCCAGAGCTCTGCACCTTTAGGAAGATCTGTGCTCCTACAGAGTGATTCAGAAGCTTGACCAGTCCTATCTTGGAATTCACTTGATATGTTTCATATTCTTTTCCTGTACGTTTAACATTTATTGGGCATTTTCTGATGTAGAAAACTACCTATGTATGTAGCAGGAAGTTTAGCAAGAGTCCAGCCTGGTCTTTGGCACTGGACACAGTTGGATTGGACTCTCTCTGTCCCATGGCTGTACTTTCATGTATTAATAGGAAGGTGGTTGAACGCCACCTGGGCTGTCAGGATTCGATGAGACCCTGCTCTGAGTGCTCAGAATGGGCCTGACGTAGATGGAGTGTTTAGTCAATGGTAATGGAAAAGTTGTTGTTTTTAATGCATCTATTATTATTTTAAGATTTCTACTACTAATAAAATAGGATTATTCATACCCTCCCCCCAGGAGAGGGACTATCCTGTGCCTTACCATTTGGTACAGGGCCTTCTAATCAGGTACTGTTCTTAGCATACGGGGCAGGGAGCTAGCTGAAGGATTCCACCTCAGACTGATTAATAAGCACTTTTTGACAGCATTTTAATTTAGATTAGAAGAATTGTTTTACAACTCATTATTGGGCTTTTTTTTAAGTCATTGTGCCAATTTATTTTAACTCAGATTTAGGGAGAAGAGTGTGGGAAGTCATATAGACTTAGCAGCGTGAAATCTGTGACCGTAATGGGTAGGCTCATGCTCTGGGCTGAGTGGCCCTGCAGTGTGTGTCCTGGCTGCCCGCCAGGCGTGGGAGGGACTGGGCTGATGGCCATACAACACCTTCCATCGTGGGGAGGAGGAGTAGTTTCTGTCATTCTCACGGAGCAGAAGCCGTTTATCAGCACCTCCTTCTCACACGCTGAAAACAGCAGGAAGGATTTACCAGGTTCTTTCATTTGTTAAATTTTCCTGGTAACAGGAAATCTAAACAGAAACCAAATTAAATTGATGTTTACTCAGGGCCTATAAAGACACTCACCCGTGTGCTATGCCATTTAATTCTCAGGTCAACCTTTACATAGAACCATCTACCCACACCCTCATTTTATAGCGGGGAAGCTGAAGGTCAAGGTGAATGCACCAGTTGGTAGAACCCTAAGGGTGGACTCAGGATGGAGCTGGGATTTGAACCAGTGTCCATCTGATGCCAGAGCTTCTTCAAGGGACCACTCTACTTCACAGTCACCTAGTGATGGCATTAACAAATGCATTGCATTTTCCATTTTTGAAATTGTAGAGGTGATATTTGCACATGCCTTATAGTTTAGTCCAGTCTTTCCAGTCTTTCCCTTTGTTTAATTTGCACAGAGCTGGGCGAAATAGGTTTTTTAGTCTCTGCCTAGTCTGAAGCCTGGTCACTCACTGATCCCTGGTCAGAGCAATGTGAGTTCAATGCCACCTCTTTGTGGGCAGGGCCACTGACAGAGCCTCCAGGTGTGTGCCCTCCTGGTGCTCTCTGGGCAGGTGGGCAGTGGGCCAGCAGGAGCACACAGGTTTCAGGGCCAGTGCACCTGGGTTCTAGGCCCACCTCCACCTCCTAGCAGCTGCCTGACCTTGGGCAAGTTATTTATTCTCTTTGATCCTCAGTTCCTTATAGATAAACAAGGAATAACAACATAGGTCATACTGTGAGAATTAGAGAAAATGCACGATGCTCCTGCCCTGTCAATAAAAGGTACTCAGAAAACAGTAGCTGTCACTGAGACTGTTACCTTGAATTAATCCCATGGCATATGTTCTGTCATCACTTTCCCTGCCTTGAAGCCTTGGTTTATTTTCAGCATTTTATGTAGCATTTCTACTCCCAGACCCTTCCTCCCCTAGGCTTGACTTTAGGATGGGAGTCAGGGCCACTGCAGACGGGCCCATACCCCTGTGTCCACTCTCCCCACTCCCCACTTCTCTGCGTGCTTTCCCTTGGGCACTGTTGAAACAAGAAGAAAGCCTGGCGTGGGCGCGTTTTCAGCACCACACCCCAGGACCCCTTGGGACTCTGTCCCAACACGTTGTCCCAGTGTTTTCAAAAAGGCCAGCAGCTGCTGACCATGGTGGTGCATCAACCTGGAGCCCGGGGCTGTGAGGCACATGCTCAGGGCAGGTCCCTCCAGAGGGCTCCTGGGCCAGGCTCAGTGACTGCTGTTAGGTAGTGGCTCACGTCTCTCAAATTCCAGGTGCCCACGCAGCGTGGGCTTCCCACCACCAGCAGCTCCCTGGCTGTGGAATGCTTGCAATTTCACAGTCGAGGAAGTAGAAGAAAGTGCGGGAGGCCCATGGGGTGAGGCATGTGCTGACTACAAACTCCCGCTTATTTTAGGAGGCTCTTGGTAAGGACCTGCTATGTGTGGTCGCGGCAATTGGCCAGTCAGCAGATTGAGGCTTGGGAGTCCCCGAATGCCAGAGCCATGGCCGTGATTAATAATAGCAGCTGATGCTTCAGCCCTTCCTGCCCACACTTTAGTTCAAAGTTTCATTTTCCTGACATTCCATGTATGGAAATCAGCGCATGCAGGTCAGCCTCAAGTGTCTGTGATCCTGAGACATTCACCCGGCACCTACGTGGCCCAAAGTTGCTGTGCCAAACAGGAAGACCCAAATCAATTCCTGCACTTTCTCTTTTCATTGAATTTCGTATTGACATTTGAGCAGACATTCAGTTTTTTTCTTTTCTTTTTTTTTTGAGACGGAGTCTTGCTCTCTTGCCCAGGCTGGAGTGAGTGCAGTGGCATGATCTCGGCTCACTGCAACCTCTGCCTCCCAGGTTCAAGTGATTCTCCTGACTCAGCCTCCCGAGTAGCTGGGACTACAGGCATGCGCCACCACGCCCAGCTAATTTTTGTATTTTTAATAGAGACGGGTTTCACCAAGACATTCAATTTAGTAGGAGTTTGCTACCCAGCACCTAGCTGATGCTCAACAAATGTTAGACAGGTCTATGAACGGAAGCTCTTCTTGTCTAAGATGAACAGTCCATTCTTGGGGATTTATGATCCAAGCCGAGCTCAATGTTCACAATCATGATGAAATTAACCATGAGCCCTAAAGGCAAGATGATTCAAAAGGTGAAGAATCCCAGAGTTCAAAATGACAATTTGTTTTGCATGGAAAGGTAGAAGTGATTCTAGCACCTGAAGATGTTTATTTGAATGCCTTTTCATTGGCATCCTCCAGAGTATATATAGAACTTTGTGATGTTAGAGGAATCTTTGTCCTTGTTTATTGTAAGTCATATTTTGAATCCATTTATTTGTTTAGACAGATGCACACGCCCATTCAGAGGGTGTGAGGCTCACTTTCATCCCTGACTGAAAGCCTCTCTCCGGTTTTCTCCCCCGCAGTGCTACACACGCAGGGCCCTGTCGATGGCAGCCTTTACGCGAAGGTGAGGAAGAAAAGCTCCTCGGATCCTGGCATCCCAGGTGGCCCCCAGGCAATCCCGGCCACCAACAGCCCAGACCACAGTGACCACACCTTGTCTGTCAGCAGTGACTCCGGCCACTCTACAGCCTCTGCCAGGACGGATAAGACGGAAGAGCGCCTGGCCCCAGGAACCAGGAGGGGCCTGAGTGCCCAGGAGAAGGCAGAGTTGGACCAGCTGCTCAGTGGCTTTGGCCTGGAAGATCCTGGAAGCTCCCTCAAGGAAATGACTGATGCTCGAAGCAAGTACAGTGGGACCCGCCACGTGGTGCCAGCCCAGGTTCACGTGAATGGAGACGCTGCTCTGAAGGATCGGGAGACAGACATTCTGGATGACGAGATGCCCCACCACGACCTGCACAGTGTGGACAGCCTTGGGACCCTGTCCTCCTCGGAAGGGCCTCAGTCGGCCCACCTGGGTCCCTTCACCTGCCACAAGAGCAGCCAGAACTCACTCCTATCTGACGGTTTTGGCAGCAACGTTGGTGAAGATCCGCAGGGCACCCTCGTTCCGGACCTGGGCCTTGGCATGGACGGCCCCTATGAGCGGGAGCGGACTTTTGGGAGTCGAGAGCCCAAGCAGCCCCAGCCCCTGCTGAGAAAGCCCTCAGTGTCCGCCCAGATGCAGGCCTATGGGCAGAGCAGCTACTCCACACAGACCTGGGTGCGCCAGCAGCAGATGGTTGTAGCTCACCAGTATAGCTTCGCCCCAGATGGGGAGGCCCGGCTGGTGAGCCGCTGCCCTGCAGACAATCCTGGCCTCGTCCAGGCCCAGCCCAGAGTGCCACTCACCCCCACCCGAGGGACCAGCAGTAGGGTGGCTGTCCAGAGGGGTGTAGGCAGTGGGCCACATCCCCCTGACACACAGCAGCCCTCTCCCAGCAAAGCGTTCAAACCCAGGTTTCCAGGAGACCAGGTTGTGAATGGAGCCGGCCCAGAGCTGAGCACAGGCCCCTCCCCAGGCTCGCCCACCCTGGACATCGACCAGTCCATCGAGCAGCTCAACAGGCTGATCCTGGAGCTGGATCCCACCTTCGAGCCCATCCCTACCCACATGAACGCCCTCGGTAGCCAGGCCAATGGCTCTGTGTCTCCAGACAGCGTGGGAGGTGGGCTCCGGGCAAGCAGCAGGCTGCCTGACACAGGAGAGGGCCCCAGCAGGGCCACCGGGCGGCAAGGTGAGCTGGGTCTCCATGGGAGGTGCTCCACGGGAGGTGCTCCACGGGAGGCTAATGTGTGATGAGAAATCAGCCTAGTAGGTTAGCTTTTGGCGAAATCCACAAGGGAGGGACATTTCCCTTGCAGTTTCAACTCTTGTGAATTTTGGCCTAGGATCCAAATGCTGTCATGCTGGTGTGGTCCCTTGGTAGGAGATTTGGAGGATGGGAAGAACCAGGCAGAAGACTTGCTGTTAACGTCAGTGCAGGGGCAGGGACAGCATGCTCTCTGCTGGAAAGGGCCGGTCATGCCTCCATTGCAGAATGGGCTTAACAGTGAAACCATTCTTCCTTCGTGAATGTTGGTGGATTTACAAAGAAAGCATACTTACTTCTGTCCCTGCGGTATAGGTCAGGGCTTTGTGGAAGAATGCCAGGTACTTCAGTGGGGCTGAAGGTTGGGGATGAAGAAGACTACTGAGCCCTCAGACAGCTTTGGCACAAGGAATTGATTAAGCAGTCGTGGTATAAAATGTTCTGATTACAAATACACCTGTCAGAGTTGGCCGTGGTGGTGTGGGGAGACTGGTTATGGAAGGCAGTGGCTGGGCAGAGGCCTGGGGTCCACAAGGGGTTCTACTGTGGAGAGCAGCTCAGTGATGGGAGGGGCTTGGGGGAACAGGCCCAGGGGTGAGGGGACTGAGAGCTGTGGTGGGACCCAAAGCCATGGGACCCGGTGCGGGGGCCTCTGGGGATGCCCCAAAACCAGGCCGGGGTCATGCTAACTGCAGGGAGGCCAGGACTGCACATGTCCTTTTCCCGTGAGGCTGGTGGTTTGGAAACCAGCACAGTGCCTTTCTGTGCAGCCTTGAGGCCTGGGAGGAACCAGGGCTGAGAGTGGTGGACAGGCAGTGACATCTGCCTGGGTTACAGCAGCACTATCTTCAAGCTGCATCGATGTAATGGGGCAAGTTGCATGTTGGGACCAGGTTACTATACAGTGTTCTTTCTGTTGGGAAAGCATGAAGGCTGAGGGGACCAGAGAGCTGGAGGTGGTCAGGTCGGCCAGGGAAACACTCAGCAGGCAGAGAGGGGCATTGGGACGGAGCAGGGTTGTCTCAGGTAGGGGACTGTGTGGGTGAGATCATGTGGTCTGGAAGCTCCTGCACAGAGGTGCACGCCAGGAGAGGACGGCCAGGCTGTAGCGGCTGTGCCTGCGGGCACTGGGAGGCTACAGAAGGTGGAGAGACAGAGCTGTGTTCTGGGAGCCCTGGCAGTGCCATGCAAGGACCAGGACCCAAAGGATAACCTTGGGCCAGAAAGTGTGGCATCCGTGTGGTGCCAGGGCCTCCCACATTGGCACGTTGGGGTGTTTTGCCATCTGGGGGCTGCTGGCTCCTTAGAGGGACTTGCCTCTAAAAGTGAAGACCAGAGAGGTAAAGGACAAGGGACATGGCTGTGTGACGCCGTGCATGTGATTCCCACCATGTGCTGGTAACACGGATGAGAGATGCTACCATTTATGCTGGCGTGGTTCTTGGTTTAGGTGTGCTGGCCCATGTCATCGTCCTAAGCACCCCGGCTGCAGGCACCAGTCTCTGCCTTACAGTCGTGTTGATGGAGGTGTCAGTAGATTATGTGGCCTGCCCAGGTTCACATGGGACCTGCATAGTAGAGCAAAAGTCAGTGCCCTGAGGTGTGGACTCAGTGTCTCCATCCTCTTTGGAGTCACACAGGTGAGGACTGCAGTCCCGACTCAGGTCTGGGGTGGCCTGGGCGAAGGAGCACACACCCTGCAGATGTTGGTCCTGGCTTCAGGTCTGAGTGTGCTGTGGGTTGCCTGAGTGATGCAAGTGGGTAAAGGGCAGCGTCTCTGTGAATTTCTCTTCACTCCATCTGTGAGAAGGAAACCCTATCCCAGTGCCTGGCCCGGGGAAGGTGTGAAGAAACGCTCGTTCACATCCACCTTTCATGTACTAGGTGTGTGACTGAGCAAACAGCTGTCATTCCAGCTTGCCTGAGTAACTCCCTCTTTGTATGTCATGTGCTGGGAGTTGGAAGGAGCCTGGAGAGTCCCCCATGAGTAGATTATTGGACTTTACAATACAGCCGTATAGCAACCACAACACCACAGCAGGGTAGCAGTCCCTGAACAATAGGTCCAGGTCGATGCATTAAACAAATATATTTGGGAAATTCTGAGTTTACTAAAAAGGCTCTAATGGGAAAAAACTATCTGCAGTATCATACCTGACTTACTTCACCAAACCTTCTTAAAAGAAGTTACTTGGAAACATTAAAATCAGAAGTCTTTTCTCCTGGATAACAATCTCATGTAGGTTTGGAGGAGGCTGGAGGCATCTGAGTGTATGTGGAGAAGAGGACTCCACATACTTAGGTTAACATATAGTAGTCTCTTGGCTTAGGTTAACATATAGTAGTCTCTTGAGGTTAATATGTCTTCCAATTGATTGAATTCAATCCTTAGTGATTCCCTGTTCTTGCTGCAAAGAAACAGTTATAAGGCCTGGAATTTTCGAAAGCCACATCATATTATCCACCCTCAGTTTGGCTGTTTTTAAATTACTTGGTAAACTCATTACTTTATTTTTTTATTTATTTTTTTGAGACAGAGTCTCACTCTGTCGCCCAAGCTGGAGTGCAATGGCGTGATCTCAGCTTACTGCAAGCTCCACCTCCCGGGTTCGCACCATTCTCCTGCCTCAACCCAGTAGCTGGGACTACAGGCGCCCGCCATCACGCCCGGCTAATTTTTTTGTATTTTTAGTAGAGATGGAGTTTCACCATGTTAGCCAAGAAGGTCTCGATCTCCTGACCTTGTGATCCGCCCCCCTCGGCTTCCCAAAGTGCTGGGATTACAGGCATGAGCCGTTGCTCCCAGCCAAACTCGTTACTTTGAGAACACTTTTTTTTTTTTTTTGAGATGGAGTCTTGCTCTGTCGCCCAGGCTGGAGTGCAGTGGCACAATCTTGGCTCACTGCAACCTCCGCCTCCTGGGTTCAAATGATTCTCTTGGCTCAGCCTCCCGAGTAGCTGGGACTACAGGCGTGCACCTCCATGCCTGGTTAATTTTTGTATTTTTAGTAGAGATGGGGTTTCACCATATTGGCCAAGGTGGTCTTGAACTCCCGACCTCACGATCTGCCCACCTTGGCCTCCCAAAGTGCTGGGATTACAGGCATGAGCCACCGCGCCCAGCCCAATAACACATTTTGATTTTGATTTTAGATACTCTTTAATGCGTTTTATTATAAAAGTTATTTAATTATCATTTTGAAGTCTAAGGACTTTCATATCTCAACAACAGACCAGTAAAATTCAGTGCATATTTGGGTATTGACAATACAAATTTAAAGTATTTATTAATCTATTCATATTTGACAGGCATCTGGGGCCATTGGTCCATTTTTTTCATAGCTTCAGAACTAAAAAGATGTCAGAAGATTAGGTATAAGCAAAACTGGTTACCAGTCTCCCCAGAGCTTTTTAAAATTGGGAAGTGACCTTCTTGTAGGAACCCTGCCACACATGAGCAACTGTCCATGAGCAGTGATGAATGGACACTGAAGGGTTAGCCGCAGCATTGGAAACAGGGCAGAGTGAGCCATGCCCTTCCTGGGAGCTCCGCTTCCTCTTCCAGGACGTGCCTCTTGTGCTAGGTAAGCACCAAGCTGGGAGATGGAGCAAGCCTTGAGACTTGCACTTCATTTAGTGTCAAAAGCCTGCACAGTGTAGAGGTGGTCTCTGAACAGCCTGCATGGCAGGCTTTTGGATCTCAGTCCAAGACTTTCTGACCTGATAGAAATCCCATTAAAAGATGCTTACTGGGCCGAGGCAGGCAGATCACCTGAGGTCAGGAGTTCAAGACCAGCCTGGCCAACATGGCAAAACCCTGTCTCTACAAAGTTACAAAAATTGGTCAGGCATGGTGGTGCATGCCTGTAATTCCAGCTTCTTGGGAGGCTGAGGCAGGAGAATCACTTGAACCCAGGAGGCAGAGATTGCAGTGAACTGAGACCGTGCACTGCACTCCAGCCTGGGTGACAGAGCAAGCACTCTGGCCCAAAAAAAAAAAAAAAAAAAAAAATTATTGCTTACTTCTGTAGCTCTCAGGCACTGCAGCTAAGCAAGGAAGGAATTGTTTCTTCCCTCACTAGCAGGTATAGAAAACACTGGAACTCTTTTGATTTTAAAATTTAAATTTCAGTATTGACATTTCTCAATAGGAAATGGCTACTTTGGCAAGCGGCAGAAAACAAAAATTACTAGATCCTAGCAGGGACACGCGTACAAGTGTGGTAGCAAAGCAGCTAGTTCCGAGTCCCTGGGACATCGTCAGAAGGTTGGGGATGCTGCTGGAGTGCCTGCACTTTGAAGGTGTCCTAGATCCCTCAATCCATATCCGTCTCCTCAGCCAGCCAAAGGAGACCAGGGCTGTTGAGCTGGAGCCCTCCTCTTTCAGCTTAGATCCATGTGTGAATAGGAAGGATTCTGGCACGTCCAAAAGGCTCATGACATGCCCAGAATGGTACCATCACCTAACCCTGCAAGGGGCATCATTTCCACATCTGTGTGCATGAGGTTCAGCCCCATAGATAGTGTGGCATTGCCTGACTGACTGGAGACTACCTTGAGTCTCGCTCACAAGGGGAAACCATAGACTGGAAGTTCTGAGAGCACTATGTCTACATGAGCCCCTTCTTGCTGGCCTGCCTTCCATCTCATCCCTGGACACAAACTGCTACACAACTTTCTTAATTCTGACTGTGGATGAAGGTTTGTCACAGAGACCTCAGCATCCTGAAGTTACCAGAATCTTTCACTATTTGCAGATTATGTCCTCATTATGAGAAAGACCACCACTTGTGGTAGAGAGTTGGGAATAGCATTGCCCTGTGCTCCTCCGGGGGACTTCTGTGCATCCTGCATTATTTATGAGATGAAAATTATATGTGAAGGCTAAGTATTTCCTGAGAAAGTCTTTCATACCAGCACCATAATAATAATAGTGGTGCTGCTGCTGATGGTGGTGATGATCACAGTGATGGTGATGGTGATGATGATGGTGATGGTGATGATGGTAATGACTGTGATGATATTGATGGTGGTGATGGATATGGTGGTGGTGTTGATTGTAATGATGGTGATGTTGATGGTGGTGATGATGTTGATGTTGATGGTGATGACCCTTATGATGGTGATGACTGATGATGATGATGGTGATGATGACAGTGATGATGGTGATGATGATGATGATGATGATGGTGATGACTGTGATATTGATGGTGGTGATGGTGGATGATGACGGTGATGGTGGTGATGATGTTGATGGTGATGGTGATGACCCTGATGATGGTGATGACTGTGATGATGTTGGTGATGGTGATGGTAAATGACTCTGATGATGGTGGTGATGTTGATGGTGGTGATGATGTTAATGGTGGTAATGGTGATGTTGATGGTGGTGATGGTGATGGTGATGACTGTGATGATGTTGATGGTGGTAATGGTGATGGTGATGATGACAGTGATGATGGTTATGACTGTGATGATGGTGATGATGCTGATGGTGGTGATGATGCTTTGGTGATAGTGATGATGACGGTGATGACTGTGATGATAGTGATGATGTTTATGGTGGTGTTAGTGATGGTGATGTTGATGATGTTGGTAATAGTAAGAACTGTTACTCTGAGTGCCTACACTGTTTTAGGTACCTTCATTTCACCAGGACACGTAACAGAGCTCTCGTCTCTCTGACTCTGCACCCCATGGCTATGTCCTAATTCCACTAAACTCACACTCTTACACCAGCCAGTAAACCTGTTGAGGGAAGTGCTCATTATTTTTTTTCCCTGGCATGCAGGAAGAGTTCGACATATGTTTGCAAATACAGGGGTCTGGGACAGGCGGAACTGCAAATGATCCTTTTGAGACCTGAACTACTCTGCTGAATGGGCACTGAGGGGAGATTTATCGCTGGACAGTGTAGAGTAGCCCTGCCCACCTACAAGATCAGAGAGAGGCCCTCCAGAGGTGGGGTATCACAAAGCTCTGGTGGCTGAGACCTGGGTGCTCTGTGTGCCAGTGAGCACAGTTTTGTATCCTTCTTGTAGAATGGGTGAGATTCAGGGAGTTGGTTTGGGGACATTTTACTCCCCACAAGTGCCTGCCAGCCATGAGGCCCTGCTCCCTCACTCTGGTCTGACTTCTGCTGCCACTGGTGTTTTGTGGAAGAGCCCCTGGGTGCTGCTGCCAGGCTCATTGTCCCCGCCCCACTCTGGGTCTCAGCCTGGTTTCAGCCTGCACGTGGTGGGTTTTTTGTATCATACCCTTTTAAGTGGGAGAATATTTCAACTGATGATATCCCAGTAACAAAAGAAATGACTCAACCTGTGAAATTCATGATTCCGTGGGTGGCAAAAAGCCAGTTCTGTGGTTTTTTTTCATACCTTGAGGGCTCTTTGCTTCATGTTGTCAAAATATTTTATTCATGTTACATCAACCTCCACCCTGTGATGACAGCAACCTGGCAGGCCCTGTTCTGCTTGCAGATAGTGCTGTGGCATTCCCACCAGGCATTTAATGTCCCTCCCAGACTCGGCATCTGCTCTGTTAGTGCTAACCCATGGCTGATAACCTGTGCATCCTAAAGAAAGTTCAGAGCAATGGAAACTGTAAGCTTTTAATAATTGACCATGGAGAGCCCGTTGATTTAAATTGTGTGCTAAACCCCAACCAAAGGAACCAAATGTGAAAGCTGGAAGAGCGCTTTAGGATTCAGAAAGCAGCTTATCTGCAAGCTCTGATTCCGTGGCAGAAGGCTCACAGCCTCACAAAGTGGAGACAGGCAGACAGTCCCACCTCATTTCAACTCCAGAGTTGGGGAACGTGCTGGGGGTGCTCAGCCAGAGCCTCTCAGCCAGGCCTTGTGAGGCAGAGGGATCCTTACCAGGCAGATGGTCTGGAGGAGAGGCAGACCGGGAGAAAGCATAGTGTGCCAGGGAAGTTCAGTGCTGGGGAGTGAGGCTGGAGATGCAGATAGGCCCCACCATGGAGGGCCAGGATGGGGGCCAAGGAGTGTGGCTCTTCCCTGAGGGCAGAGGCGAGCCTTGGGGTCTTGGGCTGGGCCCTTGCTTGTTTTTTTTTTTTTTTTTTGGCATGGTTACTGTCTTACCAGAAGAGAAGGCACTGAGAAGGTGCACTGAGCCTGGGAGCTCTATTAGGGTCCCAGAGACAATGGAGGATAGCATTTAGGCAGGATGGGGGTTCCATGGGGTGGCATTGGCCTCCAACTCTGCAGAGGAAGAATCTCAGGAGGGAGGGAGGGAAGTAAGCAAGTGGGCCCCAGCGCCTGCGCCCGTAGCAGCTGGACATTGGAAGAATGAAGGGGCCTTGAATTTGGCTATTAGTGATCTGGGTATGGGGGTTTCAGATCCGTGCTAGGGACACAGGGGATCCATGGTACTTTCTAAAAGTCCAGGTGTCGTTATTTCCGTACTGTGTGTTATAACTGAGCAGTGCCCAGTTATGGGCATCATCCTGCCAGTGCCGGGCCCTCAGAGCATGGGGGAAGACAGCAGCGTGCGCATCTGAGGTGGAGGATGGAGGAGTGACCGCAGCACCAGGCATAGACACTCCTGGAGCCCTCCAAGGACTCAGGCGTCAGCAAGAGACCAGGGCTGATGGCAGCACCTCTGCCTTTTGGGGGCTGTCTCTGGATGGTCTCAGTCAGCCCAGGGTCACCTTTATTCTGAGATGCTTCCCTTGGCCACCACCCCCTCCAGGGAGCTGAGTGAGGTCCTAGGACCCAGGTCTTATAAAGGGACTTCCTGGTACTCACATCAGAGAACCAGGATAGAGGAGGTCTGGGAGCCAAGGAGCCAGGGCCCCGGGCGCTGGACATGCGTCCGTGAGGGACTCTTGCTCTTTGTTTGCTACCACTGGCAAAACAAGGCTTTTTCTCCATCTGTGAGCTTCAGTCTCTGGAGGTTTCTGAGAGAGATGGGATATTTATGTGCCTTGAGAACTCTGAAAAGAGACTCCTGCCCAGGGGTCAGGACTAGACACAGCTCCTCTCCACCTTCAGACCCCGATGCTTTAGGGCCGTGGGTATGAACAGGTCATGTGTATGTGAGTGCACATTTAATAACCGAGTCAGCCCACTGCACTGCAGGGAGCTCTGTGGGTGTCCAATTCGGAAAACGTTTTAGAATGAGAAACTCCAGTCTGCTTGGGGAAACTGCCATTGCAATTACTTTCTTTTTATTGCATAAAACCAACTTTGAAATTTTAGAGTTGATGAAGCTTTCCATTTGCCCCAGATACTCTCACTCTGCAAAGCAGGGGGCCTTGGTTTCCCACCCTACCACCTTGGTGGGCGCTCTGAAGACACTGCTGAGAGGCTAGGGCCACAGAGGAGAAGGTGCTATCTGGGCCTTCTGGGACTTTGAGGTGTGGATTCCAGCCCACCTTCTGCTCAGTCCACACTGCCCGTGATAGCTACATCAAGGGACCTTCACTGGTTCAGGCCCAAAATGAAGTATCGTTTCTATAACAGATACCTTCTAGCGCCATCTTTACTCTTCTGAGATGAAAGTCATAGCGAATATAACCTCCTTAAGCACATACTGAAAACTAAATTTAACACCCTAACACTCATGTCAAAGGAAAAATAAAAAGAAAGTAATTCACAATAAAGTCATATGAATTTTGAGATGAAAATCTTTGGTCCGGCCCACAGTAGAAAACAGAAATCATCCCTCAGGTTTAAAAAATACTCATTAATTTTTTATTGTGGTGAAATACATGTAACATAAAATTTAGCATTTTAATCATTTTTAAGTGTACTGTTCAGTGGTAGTAAGGACATTTGCATTGCTGTGCAACCATCATGACTATCTAGTTTCAGAAATTTGTCGTCATCCCAAAGGGAAACCTTATACCCCCTGAAGTCACTTCCTGTCCACACCTCCCTGCCAAACCCCTGGCACTCACTCATCCCCTCCTGTCCCTGGGGATGTGCCTACTGTGGACATTTTACATAAATGGCATCACAAAGTATGTGCTTTTTGTGGCTGGCTCCTGTGACGTGGTGTGTGATGTTTTCGAGCCGGACGTGTTACAGCCCATGTGGGAACTTCAGTACTGCTCCTGGCAGAGTAATATTCCACAGCTGGGATAGAGCACAGTTTGTTTATTCATTCCTCTCTCGATGGAGACTTGGGTTGTTCCCACCTTTGGCCTCGGTGAATGGTGATGCTGTGATCATGGGTGTGCCTGTGTTTGTCTGAACACCTGCTTTCAGTTGTTTGGGGCGTTACCCAGGAGAGGGGTTGCTAGGTCCTGTGGCACCTCTGTAACTTGCTGGGGAACTTCCCCACTGATGCTTGAAAGTCATTTGGTATCACCAGGTCTCTGGGGTGTTTCATTTGTCCCCAGAAGCTCTGCCTAAGCTGCACTGGGAGTGGGCTGATCTGTGTGACCCTAACGGCCTGAGTGCTGGCTCAGGGGAACTGCTAATTTATGGAATCCTAGGTAGGTGGTGGTAGAATTCTCTCCCTCTGTCAGGGTGGAGCAGTTACGACAAATCCACAGTCTCAGGGACATAAAGCAACATGGTCTTTTTCCAATCATGCCACATGTCCACTGCATTGTGGCTTGACATGGGCCTCATGCCAGGACCTGGGATGAGGGGTGAGCCCTCTCTGTGCACCCAAGGCTGCCGACACTCCCGAGAGCACTGCCGGCTCCCACGGCTTCTGCCAGAAGTCACCGGCTGCGTCGCTCCCCACAGTTCATCAGCCTGGTGGACCTGTGGCCACACTTATGTTCAGCGCAGCCCATGTGGCCCTGAAGGTGGACAGCTTTTGTATCCGTACTGAGGCATGGGATAATAAACGCCACAGTGATTAAAAGAGGAAATGTTGGCCAGGCGCGGTGGCTCATGCCTGTAATCCCAACACTTTGAGAGGCCACGGTGGGTGGATCACGAGGTCAGGAGTTCAAGACTAGCCTGGCCAATATGATGAAACCTCATCTCTACTAAAAAATACAAAAATTAGCCGGGCATGGTGGCACGTGCCTGTAGTCCCAGCTACTCGGGAGGCTGAGGCAGGAGAATCACTGGAACTGGGGAGACAGAGGTTTCAGTGAGCCAAGATCATACCATTTCACTCCAGCCTAGGCAACAGAGTGAGACTCCGTCAAAAAAAAAAAGATGAAGTGTTAGTGGAAGAGGCCAGTAAGGTCACGTGATGGGGGGTGATCCAAAAAGAAAACCAATGCATGTGAACAGGCAGGCATTGAAGCCTGTACAGAAGCCCCATTGATGAGGTATTTGGGGCGGGGCAGTGTGTGAGGCAGGCGGGGGTCCCCCTTCTGTGGTTTGCAGCTTTTCACATCTGCACGTAAGGTTACAGTTGACTTACAAAACATGGGGTATTGCTGGCATTTCTCATGTTGGAGGGCTTCGTTGTGTGGACGTATCATTTCCCTTTTAAATATGCCTTTTTAGAAGAAATGCCACCACCTAGCCATGGACTTCAGTGTTTCCCAGTGGAAAGAATTTTCAATTTTGCAATCTAAAAAATGGGATTCCCCCCTTCCGCCTTCTGTTGCAGTTTTGCCGGCGCCTACCCGTTCTCTTAGAATCAGGGTTAGACATGAAGACAGCACGACTGAGGGAGGGTGGGCCTGGGAGGGGAAGGCTCTTCCCTGGGTTGGTCTTGATATGTCCGTCAGAACCCTGGCTAATGATTTCCTAACACATTACGCTGTAAAAAACTGCAAGTTGTGCGGCTCTTTAAGGCTATGCCCTCCACGTGGAAGGGGCTGGTCAATCAGTCCTGTTTCAGTTTTGGGAGAAGACTCCTAAAACCATTTCTGGGAGCATTTCAGCTGGGAGGAGTGTTGGGGCATCCTTGTCATGCCACCCTGCCTCCTTTTACACACTGTCTCGAAAAGATTAGTGTGTGTGTGTGAATGAGCTGAAGTCTGGAGGCCTCAAGCTCACCGTGAAGCAGTCTTTGCCTGTTATTTGTTTTCACTCCTAGGAATGCAAGGGAGCTTCCAGAACCTATCAGGCACACCTGTGTGATGTCGCGCTTTATTCCTAGAAGATCACATCAAGATAAATCAGTAGCTTATGGGGACTTTACCTTCTAGTGCCCAGATAGAAAATGAAAGAAGGCATGTTTTAAAATAGGTAATGTTCTAGCATGTCATGAGTTTTCACCTGTTCTTATTTTTTAAGTTAATTAATTAATTTATCATTTGAGATAGGATCTCACTCTGTCACCCAGGCTGCAGTGTAGTTGGTGTGATCACAGCTCACTGCATCCTTGACCTCCTGGGCTCAATTGATCCTCTCACCTCAGCCTCCAGAGTAGTTAGGACGACAGGCATGTGCCACCATGCCTGGATCATTTTTTTTTTTTTTTGTATTTTTCTGTAGAGACTGGGTTTCATCATGTTGCCCAGGCTGGTCTGGAACTCCTGGGCTCAAAAGATCCACCCTCCTCAGTCTCTCAAAGTGGTGGGATTACAGGCGTGAGCCACTGTGCCCGGCCCCTGTTTTTTCTATGTTTTAATTAACTTATTTATCATCGTATTTATTTAAGGTGTTTAACATGATATTTTGTTTGTTATATCTATACATAGGGAGAGGATCACTACAGTCAAACCAATGGACATATCCACCACTTTACCTAGTTACTTTTGTGTAAGAGCACCTAAGGTCTACTGTCTTAGTCAATATTGCATCCTGAAGATTTGCTCAGGGAGCGGATTCCGTCTCTTTTAGAACAGAGGTTGGACACTTTGTCTTGCATGTTGGAGTCACCTGGGGAGCTTTAAAAATGCAGACGCTAAAAATGTGGGTACCTGCTTCTACCTCCAGAGGGTGGCAGATTGAGTTGGCCCTGGTGGGGCCTGGATGTCAGACTTGCTTTAAAAATGCTCCCCAAATAATGCAGTGCTAATTCAGGGTTGAGACCTGCTGTGATTCTTGAGCTTGGTTGTGTGTTGGAAACACTAGGGAGTTTTTAAAAATACTGACACCTAGGTCTCACCGCTGGAGGTTCTGACTTCACAGGTGAGGCCCGAGCTTTAGGATTTTAGTGATAAAAGGTGGACAATGGCCTTTGAGAACCACTGTTGTATATTTGCAGTTCTCAACTTAGGTGCGTGTCCCAGCCTCCAGGAGAGCTGGCCCTTGGCTCATTGAGGCTGGAACGTGCCGCAGGGTGGTTCTAAGATTTGTGACCCTGCTGTGGAATTTAGAGGACAGCCAACAGTCACGTATTGGTTATCAGAGGCAGAGGCAGGCGACCCCATGGGCTGCCTTCCACCTGGGTGCTGGCTTTATTTCACCAGGGCAGAGTGGGCTATGTGACCCCACAGTGGAGAGAATGCAGTGACATGAAGTGTGTGAGTGGGCAGCATGGTGGGTGTCCGCTCCTGAACACTTGACCCATCTTCCTTCCCCTCCCTCATCCCACTTCCCAGCAGAGCCTCAGGGCCTGGGATCTGCCAGGCCGTGCGCTGGCAAAGATCAGTCTCCAAGAGCAGTCTGAATCACAGAATCACAGCTCAGGGTCAACATAAGTACTGACTTACCTATCAGGATGTGTTATTTTACACTCTCAATTAGTTTACATAATTGGGAGTTCAGTGTATTTGGACAAGGTGGAAAGTTGCCGAAGAGCTTTGTGGGTGTTTTAAACAAAATTTAAAAAACATTTTCTGGCTAAGCGATCTGAGAAGCCCTCTCCTGCACTTCAGACTGCTCAGGGGTGAATTGATGGCAACAGTGCTGACCCCCAGGCTGGGCTGAGTTCAGTCCCACATGTGTTTAGTACAGCACCCAGTGTCTTGGCCTGAATCCCTGATTCTCCAGGGCTCTGACGGCGATGCATCCCCTTCTCACGAGGCCCCTGGGTGCCCCCAGTCAAGGACTGGCTTTCCTGCTCTTTCCTCAGAGCACGTGAGGATTCCCTGTCAGGACCGTCCCCCACCCTGTTGTGGTGGCTTTGGATAAGGTACGTCATAGGATGCACCTGGGGCTGAGGCCCCACCATCCCCAGCTCCTCCTGTGGGGCCGGAATGACTGAGCGTCCTCCTGCCTCGCAGGCTCGGTGTCCTTTTGCACCCTGTGGTGAATCCCAGATCCCGCTGGGCGTGGCGGAGTCTCAGGTGACCCTGCGCAACTTGCTGGCTGGGCAGCCCTCAGCACGTTTCCTTATCTGTCCTTGACGCCGGCTCCACCCGTGAATAACAGTGAGACTGCTAAATGAGGAAACATGCTGGTCTTTGGGAGTGGCAGTGTAGGGGACTTTGGGGCATGTGTCCCATTTTATACTCAAGGTCACGTGGTTCCCGAGGCTCTGGGTGGGTAGCACCCAGTGTCTGGAGGGAAGGAGGCTTGGGCGAAGACAGCTAAATGCCTGGTGTGGGGACTGCCCAAAGAGATGGGCAGCGTCCAGTCATGTGACCTTTGGAGACCATGTTACCATGTCATGTTTTGGTGGACAATGAGCGTGTCACCGCGACAAGAGGGGCACAAGACTGTGTAAAGAAAAAGCCACTGCCTGTCCCTCCCTCCACAGAGACCCCAGCTGCATGGAGTGGGTGAAGCTGCACATCACCTGCAGATCACCGGGGTCTGTGTTCACTGGGGGTTTCAAGGGGCCTGAGATTTCTGCACTGAGTACTCATGACCTTTGTAAGGAGAGGATGCAGGATTTTTTTTTTTTTTTCCTGGCTGGGAACTGGCAGGGAAGTAAGGGCAGCTCTTCCCCAGCACCTGGGCCTCAGGCTGGGAGCAGGGTGGGCACAGGTGTGAGAGATCAGGGTGTGTGTGCCATGGGTGCAGCCAGATGCAGGTGCCCCCCTGCCCCACCCCAGGGCTTTGGGAGCTGCCCTTTGCCCGTGAACATCCCTGTGTGGGAGCTTGGGTTTTGTTCCCTTTCTCCTTGGTTTTTCTGAGAAGGGGTACGTTGGGGAGCTGGGGGTGGGAGGGCGGATCGCCCAGAGCCCTGCAGGTGCTCTCCAGTGCTGGCAAATTCCCTCTTGTCCCCTTATCAGCTCCTTCCAGAGGTGACAGCCATCTGTGTGGTGGCAGCTCTCTCCTGCTCCCATGAGGTCTCCTTTTTCTTCTCTTTTCCTGGATTTGACTTCTTAACTGAACAGAAAAATATATAGGCATGGACAGTTTTGTAGTAGTGTTTGGAGAATAGGCCTTAACAATATAATTATTCAATTCATGATTTCATTGTTCAAACTGCCCAATCTCATTGCATTACGGCCAGTTCTTTGTCGTACCTTGGAATTTGTGTGTGTGTGTGTGTGTGTGTGTGTGTGTGTGTGTGTGTTTTGTCCTCTGTGTTTGTTTGTTTGTTTCCTTTTGATGCATATAATGTAATATTCTTGGTGAAGGCCATACCTCCCCTTTCTGCAGGTGTGAGTGGGAGGGCTGCAGGTTGCGGAGTGAGACCTGAGGCTACACTGCTGGCCCCTGCAGTTTTACCAGAAGCTCAAGGATAGGATGGTTGTAGGGTGAGGCCCCTTGTGGTCCCAAGCAAGACCAGGGCAGCTGAGGAGGGTGGAGGAGGAGGGGTGCTGGGCTGTGGTAGGAGGGAGGCTAGGGGACAGGAAGAGACTGCTTCAGGTGCTGGTCATTTCACATTGATGTGAAGTGTGTAAGAAGTAATTGATGGACTCAAACAATTAAATGATTCCCTCGGGGAGTGCTCAGGAATTAAGCCTCAGTGAGGAAAAAGAAATGTAAAAGTCATGTGTGTCTTCATTGAGATATGTGGCTCTTCACAGGTTCCAGGGAGCTTGGTTTGCTTCCATATGTTTCTATGTGTTTTTCTAATCTTCTGCAATGATAGAACATCATACTAAAGAAAACCATAAATCAGTCACTTTGGAAGAGAGATTTGGGGTAGAGAGAGAGTGTTTTACCAAGTGCTAGGGCCTCCTTTGGGTTTAATTCAGAAGTCAGTGCCTCAGCGCCAGGGCTCCTAACCTGTGGCCTGGGCTCACCTGTTCACCCCTCACCTCTTCACCCCTTCAGAGCTCACCGACTTAGCAAAGAAGTACTGAACCCGCAGGGTGTCTCAGCTTGGACAGACTTTGGAGCTGAATAAGACCTGATCCTTGTCCCCACCTGGGACAGCTGGCTGCTACTGCCTCTGTCCTCAGAAAGCAATCCAAGAGCTCTCTGAGCTGGCAGTGCAGAGGTACGGAGCTTGCTGTTTATGCAGACCTTCTCTGGAGAGGTGAGCATTGATCCTGGTAGGCAGCGTACCAGAGCTAGCAAATGAACCGCCTGAGGAAATGTCCCCAAGCTGTGGCCTCTCATAGGTCACCCAGACATCAGAGTGTGAAGCAAAAGTGCTTTGCTTCTCCCACCTCTGCCCCACCTGTAGCCACATGAAAAGAGTGGTTCTGGAAGTCCCTGGTGTAACTTTGGTGTAGCACATGGGCTGTGGGCTCTGTGTGCACACTCGAGACCCAGCGCAAGTCACCACTGCCATGGAGTCACCTGTGGACCCAGGGGCTGGGCTAGTCAGAGCAGTAGATGGGATGAGGATCTGGGGGCCTTGAGTGGAGGGGCAGCTCTCAGTGAGAAGAGGGTGCCTTTGGCTGCATCTGCCCCTGGAAGGGAGCCAGGAACCAACCCCTCTACAGTGGAGATGCTGATGGGTGGCCTCGTCCTGGAGAAGGGGCCAGGATGGAAAGGACGGACCTCCAGGAACAGCCAGCGCCCTGGCTTCCTGACAGGCAGCTCCCAGGTGGGGAGAAGGGCTTGTTTGACACAGGTGTGAGGTTTGCAGATACAGGGTGATGAGGTGGGGCCAGTATTCAGAATGCAGAACCTGACCCTCCACCATCACGGACCATCCGTTTGTGAGCAGCACATGCAGCTGTGGGGCCGTGTTGGAGCACAGGGTGGGTGTGAGTGAGCGTGTGAGACTGTGCGTGAGTGTGAGTGTGAGAATGAGTGTGAGACTGTGTGAGGCTGTCTGTGAGTGTACAAGACTGAGACTGAATGTGAGTGTGACAATGTGTGTATCATGAAAAACACTGTGAGAGACTGCACGTGTGTGAGTGCCAGTGAGTATAGTGTAAGTATATGAGAAAGTGTGAGAGCATGAGTGTGTGTGTCTGCTTGTGACTGTTGTGTGAATGTGGGTGAGAGTGTTAGTGCAAGGGTGTGTGAGTGTAAGAGTGTGTGAGAGACTAAGAGTGTGAAGTATGCAGGTGTGTGTGACGTGGGTGTAAGAGTGTGTGTGCAAATGCATGAGTGGCTGAGTCTGCATGAGTGTTATGAGAAAATGTGTGTAAGAGACCACGTGAGAGTGAGTGTTCATACATGTGTCTGCAAGTGTGTGGGTGTGAAAAAGTGCCGGAGACTGGGAGCACATGAGAGTTTGACTGTGTGCATGTGAGTATGTGGGTGTGTTCCTGTGAGAGAGGTGCGGGGTGTGTGGGAGGGGCAGCTCCAGTCTCCAGGGAGCACTCCTAGCGTGGTCCATTCTTCACGGACAGGAGCCCGTTTTGTAACCCCACTCTGAGCTTAGTTCCTGCTCGCTGTTGCACCCGTGCCCTAGGGCCTTCCTTGGTTCTTTCTTGCACACAGCAGACATAGGTGCCGTGGCCTGGCTTCCATTGCCATCTCTGCCCTAGACGTTGTGCACGGGTTAAAGGGAGGCAGCGCCTGGTGGAACGTCCTGGGCTTGGATGTGGCACCGGAGCCTTGACTGGATTCTGTTCCACTACTGGGCTTCCTGGGCATCTACCTTGGACCTAGCGTGGAGTCTCACGTTCAAGTTGTCTTGCCTGAAGAAGACAGCTAGTGGGCCTGCCTTGGGTCTCTGTTGAACAATTAAAGGAGCACCGAGATCCCCTCTGTTGAATAATTAAAGAAGGGAGAGAGAGACCCCTGCTGCAGGACGCCTTGCATTGTAACCTCTGGGAAGCATAAGCCCTGCTCGCTATAAATGAGAATGTCACTTCCACATCTCCTCTGAGCATATTGGTCCAGAAAACTACCTCCCACATTAATTTTCATATGGCTATCAGACATGGGAGATTTATCAGAGAGAAGGAAAAGTGTAAGGATCAAACACGTGAGTTTGGGAGAATACAGGAACTAATACTAATGCAAAATTAGAACGGGATTTAGGGAAATTCAGTACAGCAGCACAGAGTACTACAAAATAAAAGAAGCTTTGTTCCTCTCGAAGGTAATCTGTGTGTTGTTTCCCTAATTTTAAAAAGTAATACATATTACTGGCGAAAACCCTGAAAGATAGAAACATTTCCGAAAAAATATGAATGGTGCCTAGAATTACACAACCCAGAGAGAAGCTCTTATGAGCATTTTAGGACATTTTCTTAGTTTTTAAAATAAAAATGAAACCACACTACACATGCATCTTTGCCCACTGTCTTTTGTCACTTAATGTTGGAGCGTGTTTGTCCACTTCAAGTTCCATAAACTTGACTTTTAATGACAACATGAACAGCCCATTTTGAGTGTGGCCCATTATAACACTTACTGCCTGCAACTGTGTGCCAAGCCCCAGCCTTTGCTGCATTATCTGTAGGATCCCCTAAGCCAGCTTTGTGTTGTTCTTATTTCATTCTGGAGATGGCTTTGAGGACTCGTCCCCTGTGAGCAGAGAGGCAGAGTCCACCCCTGCCAAGTGGCCCCTGGGCTGGCCTCTGAGTGAGCATCTACTGCTGGTGACAGGACATGGGTTCAACAGCAGCTCCCGCCAGCCCGGTAGCAACGCCTTGAGCAAGCTGCCCTCTCTCTTCTTCTCTGACCTTCCCCGTAGCCAAGGACTCTCAGATGGGAAGAACTTGAAAACTGTCCCTCCTTCCTTTTCTCTAGACTGCTGTGCACTCAGACCCTTTGGAAATGCACCCCCACCAGGTTCTCTGCTGGACCCCATGTATTTACTTAGACACTTGGCAGATTTCCTAAGACTGGGAAGAATAAACCATTGTTAAATCTGAAATTCACACGAGAGACAGAAGAATTTGTGAAGCCTTTGCTGGCTGCCCCATCAGGACATGTCCGGGAGGAAGAGTGCCCCTTCCTCAGCAGGATGAGGGTAGCCATCTTGTTCCCAGGGGCCCCTCTGTCACCACAGGCAGTGGAAGTGGGCAGTGCCTCCCAGGGCTCATGGGGCCCCTGTCTGCCCCGTGTAGGCTTTTTGGGGTGGGAAGGGATGGAAGGGAAGGAAAGGCACCAGTGGGTAAGGAAGAGTGACCACAGAGGAATAGAGTTGGCAGTTGTGGATTTTAAAGTCAGATACATGTGGTGACAAATCATTGCTCTCTGCTGACATGCTGTGTGGTGTAGGATGAGTACTCAGACCTGAGCCTCCATTCTCCTTGTCTGCAAAAAAGACGTAGCAGGCCGCCTTAATGGAGTGATAATGGGCTTTTCTCTATGAGAGCACCTGCCCAGGCTTAGACTGTCACTGTTGCTGGATAAACGTTGGTCTCCTGTTTTTCTTTCTTTTGTAACTACCTCCTGGGCAGATGTGGGTGCATCCTAGCACGTAGTGGTTTTGCAGTATCTTAAACCCTGTCTCATTTTGTCCTGTTTTTTCCTGGCGTTTCAAACTTCTCATTTCCAAGGTTTGCAGTCCGAGAGGAAGGGATCTCCACACCCCACAGAGGCCTGAGCCTTGCTGACCTTGTGTGCCTGTGTCTTTTCCCTTTTGGGAATGGAAAGCAGGACCCTGCAGGGCTGAAGCCACACTTTCTGTACAGGCCACATCCTGGAATCCAGGGCCCGGTGGCCCTGCTTTTGCAGGTGCCTTGACTCCCCCATTCTTCCTGCGCTTGCAGAGCCTCTTTCTGGCCTCAGACCCACAGCTGCTCTCCGTCGCTGAGTTCCCTCCATTGTGGAAACCATCTTACTCCTGGTGGTCCCAGTGGCAGGATACTGAGAAGTATTGATCCATCCAGAGGGAGAGGCATGTAGTTCTGCTTAACCAGACATGGTGCCACACAGATTTGAGCACAAGCACCGGAGGTGGGACAGTAAGAACATTTTTTTTGAGACTTTTTTTAAATGAAGATTGATTTTTTTTGAGACTTTTTTTAAATGAAGATTGATTTTTTTTTGAGACTCTTTTTGAATGAAGAACATTGTTTTTCGTTGTAATTCTTTGGGGAGAGAGAGAATTGAGGAACAGTTTCAAATCCATGTGTTCAACAGGAACATTTCTGGGGCCAGCTCACAGAATGCCTGTGTTTCAGAGCCTCCTCTGGTGTGGGAGGCCCAGAACGGAGCCCACTGTTGGCTCTGTGTCAGCTCATGCACAGATTGTATTCCCTAGCTGCTCTAAAGGAGACATGTTGAAGGAAACTTCCAAGTTGAAAGGTTAGAAGAAGTCTAAGCGTCCTGCATTGAGACTTATGTTTTAGTCCTGGAAATTCCTTTTCGGACCCTGTTACGACCTGGTTGTGCCTTCGAGTGCAGCTGCAAGGCTGTGCTGGCTGTTGTCAGCTAACCCTAATGGGACCTCAGTTTCTGAAGCCAGTGAGTTTCCAACCTCAGGCCTGAGATCAGAGTGCGTTAACATGCACTTCCCATCCTCCTTCTCCAGATCAAAGAGAACACTTGACCACACTGTCCACAGTTTTATTATTATTACTATTTTTAGTTGAGACATAATAATTGTACATATTTATGGGGCACAGTGTGATATTTTGATAAATGTATACAATGTACAATGCTCAAATCGGTGATTTGCATAGCCATTTTTTCTGTGTTCTTCATGCAACACTGCATGTTGGAATGATACTGCCATGTCATTTTTGATAAAACACCACATATTATCTTGCATGTTGAACAGAAGTACTATTCCCTCCCCTTTGAAAATTACCTCTCTAGAAGTGACCTCTGAAGTTCTAGGCAGTGAGTGGACTGTAATGTCAGTACAGGGCAGCGGAGCTCCTGGTGCTCTCCAAAGATAGGTCCTCCCTGGTGGAATGATTTCCCTTGAGGCCAGCTGCATGGCTCCTTTTTCCAGGAAGGGGACCAGGCTCTCAGTCACTTGTCTGTGGCCATGACACTTCCTTTCCGTCACTAACACCCAGGGCTATCGCCTGCCACCTTGACTGCTTCAGGAACAAACTCCACGTCTGAGCTGAGTACCAGGTGGTGCGTGGGGCCAGCCCAACTTTGTGACCTCACACCTCTGCTAGCCCTCTTTAAACTCATTCTTGGAATGGCTGCAAATGCATGTGTGTGTTGAAGAGCACTGGAGTGAGGGTGGTCCCCTCCCTGGCCTGCAGCACTTGCGTCCTGTGGAGGGTGGTGAGTGTGAGGATGAGGACCACTGCACCATGGGGATGAGGATGCTGTAGTGAGGGGCTGCTGTGTGAGTAGGACTCTCAGATATGCCATTTCATTTCATTTAATCCTCCCCCTTGTGGGAGGGAAAAGAGAGCAAGCATTATGCTCATTTTACCCATAAAGAAATGGGGGCTGAGGATGTCCTGCAGCTGGTGAGGGATACACGTGAGACCCCAAATCCCAGGTCCTAACGCACACTTCTTCCTCCTTCTTTCCCTGGATCTGTGGAGGGAGCTGCTGGGAACCGAAGAGAGGATGGAAGGAAGAGGTGGAAGGTTGCTTGGAAGGACCTGTGTTTGGATCTCCCTTGCTTGGTCGCTGTTGTGTGGTGCTGAGCAGATGTCCCATGGGACAGGGAGGGTGGTGTACAGCCTGGCTCAGCCCAGGAGCCTCCTTAAGCCTCACCTGAATGGCATCTAGTAGCTGGTAGGGTCGGGCAGTGGAGCCCCCCCATGCTGCAGACAGAAACAAGAAACCTTACAGCGGTCCTGCTGCTCCTCTCAGGCAGGCATGGTGGGTTGATGTCTTGTCGCTCTCTGTGGAACCTTCTCTTTATCATGCCGACCTTTGCATTCCTGTGAGCTTCTGAAGTCTCTGGATGTAGGAGGTGTCAGTGGCATATCATGGACTCAGCACGACTGTATGTCACTATCATGATGTATTTTGGAGGGTGGCCATCAACCAATTTGGAACAAAGTCATTCTAAGAGGAGCCTTATGTGGGCCACTCATGTTTATGAATCAAACTCCATCTTTCAGTGAAATGCTACTCTGCACTCTACACTTACAGGGACTATGTATTTATAGTTTAAATCTAAACTGTAGGGGACAGTGTTGTTGGGTTTGCATATTCAGACTATGTCATCAATAGAAACATTCCTCTTTTAATAGCCGGCAGCAGGTTTTTCCTAACTGCCAAATGATAAGAATCCCTGGGAAGAGGTTTTAGAAAATTAGATCCCAGCCCGACCCCCATTTTCACCAACACAAAAAGAACAGAATTTGGTCAAGAGTGGGGACCCCAGGGATCTGTGTCAGGAATAACCGCCTGTGGTGTTTCTGGCAAGGAAAGATTGGGATGGTGAATATTTATTGTTGATGCTTGAAATAATAGGTTTTTTCCCTCTCCAGAATTTCTCATTGCTAAGATTCAAATTATCATAGTCGGGCCATGCTCTGCCCAAGGTCACCGCAGGTGTGTGGTCCTCAGGGCACTCTGGTCCTGACAGGACACCAGGGGTGGCATGTGGGGGCCTCCTTCCCAGCTGGGTCATCGTCAGTCCCACCCAGCATTCCATCCGGGCACTGTCCTTTCCCAGCACTGAGAGTGAGTCTGGGTGCTTGGTCCTATCTCCAAGTGGCCTGTTCTGGAAGGAGCATGCTGGCCTGGGGAAGCTGCACATTTCCAAGGCTGTGGCCTTGTTCATCCCTGAGAGTCTGAGAATGCCCTGGGTTTCCCATCAGCTGCCTTCAGCAACCACAGCATCTTCCCAGAGCAGTGGTGACCAGGATGCAGCATACAGCACCTTTGAGAAGCAGCAGGCAAGATTTAAGGAAGGGGCGCCTCACTCCGCCTTGAGGAAGCGCCCTGCAGCCTGCTTGTCTCCCTTTTAACAGGCTCCTCTGCTGAACAGCCCCTGGGCGGGAGACTCAGGAAGCTGAGCCTGGGGCAGTACGACAACGATGCTGGGGGGCAGCTGCCCTTCTCCAAATGTGCATGGGGAAAGGCTGGTGTGGACTATGCCCCAAACCTGCCGCCATTCCCCTCACCAGCGGACGTCAAAGAGGTATGTGCCACAGCCAGGTCCCAGTTTCTGGGCCCATTCCACTCCCTTTCTTGTCCTGGAACCCCGAGTGAATGGGCAATGACCAGGCCTTGTCCCTGAATACAGCCCACATTATCCTCCGCACCCACCTTCCGTCCTGGTTTCACAAATATGGTCGTGGCTCCTCTGTACCTGGCAAGCGGTGTGGCTGGGAGAGCACAGTGTGCAGTCAGCTGGCCTGGGTAATGCACCCCAGAGATAGCTATGCTGGTGAGGCCACCTCACTCAGGGCACTCGAGCCTCTATGTTCTAATCTGTAGAATGGGCACAAGGAGCACAGCATGTGGGTGGGTTGTGTGGGTTCGAGGTAGGGCTCTTATAGGCCTGGCCTTAGCCATTCTCCATAGCCCGACAGCAGCAGCCAGTGGCACACACAGCCTTCCTTCAGGGTCATCACACTCACACAGGGTCCTCAGTCCTCCCTCCGAGACCTCCCTAGGAGGTGACCCACAGATGAGGGCCACAGATGAGAGCTTCTTGCTCTTCCAAGAGGCCTAGGTAAGGCTTCTAGTCAGAATGGATGTAAAGCAGGTCGGTGTATCCAAAACGATTAATTATTTTAGACTTGGGTGGGATTTCTTTTCAAGTTGGCAAAGTTGGAAGCTACAGAATTCACAAGAAAAAAAAGCTATTCATAGTCTTGACTCACAAAGGAAACCACTGTTAATATTTAGAATATTTCCACCCGGCCTTTTTTCTGTGCTATGTATTTAAAATACTATGTGTTTTTATGCATCTGTGAATATATTAATACCATGGGTAAGGACTGTTTTATCCAGCTTTTTCGCTTAATATTGAGATACTCATTTACCTGTACCATTACAAACTCTGTCTACTTCACTTATTAGCTGTATATTGTATTAGAAGGATGGGCCGTAAGATACCTTCCGTTTCCTTTACTGTTGAAGGTGAAAGTGTTTTCCAGTTTTCCATGGCTAGGAGAGGCGGGCTGGTTTTGTGCAGTGGATCCAGACCTCAGCCTCCTTGTCCTACTGTCAGAGGAGGGGTTTGCTCAGTGGGCCAGCCTGGGGGAGC
Source organism: Homo sapiens (assembly GCF_000001405.40). Classification (NCBI taxonomy): domain Eukaryota; kingdom Metazoa; phylum Chordata; class Mammalia; order Primates; family Hominidae; genus Homo; species Homo sapiens. The sequence continues at coordinate 47,345,112 of NC_000007.14, read as the reverse complement.
CACAACCACAACTGTTTGGAGGGGCCTTCACTTGACTCCCTGTTCTCACATTCTACTCCCTGTGCCAATTTCAGACGATGACCCCTGGCTATCCCCAGGACCTCGATATTATCGATGGCAGAATTTTAAGTAGCAAGGAGTCCATGTGTTCAACTCCAGCATTTCCTGTGTCTCCAGAGACACCGTATGGTAAGAATGAAGTAACACTAGCTGCATGTGCTGCTCCATGCCCAAGGAGGGTGACAACAGCCCCTTGCTCTGCTTTCTTTTCCAGTGAAAACAGCGCTGCGCCATCCTCCGTTCAGCCCACCTGAGCCCCCGCTGAGCAGCCCAGCCAGTCAGCACAAAGGAGGACGTGGTAAGAAATCTACCCGCGGGTCACAGGCGCGCGGCACTCAGGCGCTGCATCGCGGGGTCGCCATTTTTACAGAGAAGAACTCGTATGCAGAAATGTTTCCATTTGTGTCGTATCTCAGAAGCCTTGGATGAGGATGGATCTTGCTGGGAAAGATGTAGGGATGTGGCCGTGAAATCCACTGTGTGGTGGCAACCTGGCCTTGCATCGCTGCCTGGCATCCTGTGGGGAACCCTCCTGTAATATGCAGTTGATGGGACCATCAGTGGTGACTGTCGGGCAGCTTAGCATTGGTGCTTTTGAAGAAACGAGAATGCCCACCCCACACTTCACGTTCTCTGTGGGGATTGTGCCGCACGGGCGCCCCAGCTCTGCCACCCCAGCTGCCTTCTCACACGTACCTTGTGGCCCCTCCTGTCTGTTATTAGTGGGTGCCTAATCACTGTCCCTGGATCTCTGCAGGAACTCAGGGGCTCTGTCCATGGCCTGATCGCGTCCGTCTGTCTGCATAGCTGGCTCAGGCGAGAGAGTGTTAGTGGGCGGTGTTTAGGGCGAGTTACTGTGCACTTCTTCTGGGTGGACTTGAGGACTTGCCTGAGAGTCCAGGACAAGGCCGAGCTCAGGCAGGTGGAGAGAGAATGTAAACCTAAAGCTCGTGCACATTTCAAAATCACTCTTCTCTGGGAGTTTCGTTCATTACGCTGCTGCTTTTTTGCCCTAGTGAAGGCTGCTGTTAATGGTTATTAGGCACGTTACCTGAGACTGAGACTTTCATTAACTTGTATTTTCATCTACCCCTTACCCAGGAGTGTTGTGATCATGACAGCTAGCTCCATTCTCTCTCTTTCTCCATAGTAAACCAAGCCTGTGGACTATGTAATAGAAAGACATCCTTCTCCTAAAATTCCCTTTATGGTTTCAGGACCATAAATTGCTCTCTTCATATGTAGCATATAGCAGTTATACTGCCTGTATTTCTCAGTAAGTGCTACTGAAATTTAAAATAAGCTGCATTTTAATGTCTACATTATGTGAGCATTACATGAGAAGTGTGTATGTTCCAATATGCATTAGCATGATGGACTCACACATAGGTAGCCATGCATCTGTTCTATATTTTTTATCATTTCAATAGATGCAGAAAGAGGGATGTCCCTTCCACCCCATGTAACCCCTCCTCCTCATGGAGGTGACTGTACTTGGCTCCTAGCTTGAAAGTGTTCAGTGGGTTTGGGCTGGCATCTAGCCCTCTGGCCTGGAATCCTGTCTTCTCCTGCAACACCAAAACCGGGTTTGTTTGAAATAGGTAGATGACAAACAGTGGAAGGTGGGTAATAAGCCTGAGGAAATAAAATACTAGAAACAGCCTGCAAACTCATTAACAGCTCCTGAGGGAGGCCTCTAAGATCACTGTATTGAGCATAAGAGAATGTGGAGCCCCGTCTAAACTCCAGAAGGGTCTAGGAGGCTGCAGGAAGCCTGGGTGCTCAGCGTGGGGTACCCAGTGGCCTGGCTGTCTTATGCTGGCCCGATTGTCCCAGCCTGGAGATGAGCTCCATGTCCTGTGCGTGGATGAGCGCTGCACTATGTGTGGATGAGGATGGCTCTGCACACCAGCATGTGTTAGATTCCAGTGGCTTCAACTTGTCCTGAGTACTATCTGCATGTACATATTCACACAGAAGAAGTCAGGGCTTTGCCTTTAAATATAAAAAGGTGACATGATAACAATATTAATGTGAGCCTTCTAGATTTTTATTTCAGCAGTCCCCAGGGAGGGTCAACTTCACATTAGCCCACAAGGAGCACAGAGATAACACAGTGCTGACTTAGTGGATGCTTTCATCAGACAGTGTGGTGAGCCAGTGCCCTTGCCAGGAGGCCCCACCCACTCTGCAAAGTCAAGTGGAGTTGTGAGACTCCTCCAAGGGCACAGTAATAACAGAGGTAGCTCGCCCATACAGAATGTGTCCCCTGATCTTTATGATTTCCTTCCATTTCACAGTCACATTCTATGGGTCACTCTTACTGTTACCCCCATTTTACAGGCAAGGAAATTGACACGAAGAAGTTGAGTAGCTAGTAAGTGGCAAAGTCAGAGTTTCAGCTCCATCAGCCGACTCCACAGCCATGGGCAGATTATACAGGGCTGATGTTTCACTTTGTCTTGTCTAACCTAGAAGTGACCTAATGTCACAACTAAAAAGCACATGGAAAGTCTCACAGTCATGGAATAACCATGTAATTTGTACATTTAGGTAACCCCTATGAACCTCCACCTCCTTATCTAAAAATGCAGACTATAGTACCTGCCATTCACAGCCACTGTGCAGTTTTGAAGTAGTAGGCTTTAGGCATCTGCAGTAATGCTTAACTGCGTATCATTTAGGCCTAGATACTGATGTGCATATAAATGACAGTATTTGCTTTAAAATACCATTAGGGAGAGGCTTCACTTCCCGGAGGGTGAATTAGACATACTTTTCTCTATTTCTCCTGCTAAGTACAACTTAAAACCTTGGACAGTAAGTATAAGACAAATATAAGAAAGCTCTGAAAGATGGGGAGAAATAGGCCAGCTAGCCATGGACTTCAGGGCCAAGGGACCCGGTAGGCCTTATTTATAATATCTATGGGCCAGGAAACAATCTTCAGAGGACTAAAAGTAACTGAACCATGCAGAACATGTTCTCCAACCACAATGGACTCACTAGAAATCAGTAACAGAAGGGCAACAGGAACACCTTCAACACTTGGAAACTGAACAGCACACTTATAAATAATCTATGGGTCAAAGAAGAGGTCTCGAGGGAAATCCAAAAACATACTGAACTGAATGAAAATGAGGATAAAATATCAAAAATTGTGAGACATGGCTTTATCCACTGCTTTAATACAGCCGCACTGAGAGGAAATTTTGGGCAAGAAGAAAATTCTGAAATGAATAGTTTATGCTCTTACCTCCATAACCTAGAAAAAGGAGAACAAACTAGACCCAAGGCAAGCAGAAGGAAGGAGATAATAAAAATCTAAGCAGAAATTTAAAAAGATACAGAGAAGTAATAGAGAAAATAAATGAAAGAAGTGGTTCTTTGAAAAGATCAATAAAATTGACAAACCTCTAGCAAGACTAACAAAAAAATGGAGGACATAGATTACTATTGTTAGGAAGGAAACAGGCACCATCACTAAAGACCCTGCAGACACCAAAAGAATAATGAAGGAATACACAAACTACTCTACATGCATAGTTTTTAAAACTTAGGTTAAATAGACCAGTTCCTTAATGAGCATGAACTGTCACAACTCACCCAATAGGAAATAGACTACTTGAATACCCTGTAACTATAAGGAAATTGACCTAGTAATTTATAATCTCCCAAAAAAGAAATCTTCAGGTTTCACTGGATAATTCTACCAAACATGTAAAGAAGAATTAACACTGATTCTACGCAATACCTTCCAGAAAACAGAAGAGGGGGGATCATGTCCTAATTCATTTTGTGAAGCTAGTATTACCCTGATACCAAAACCAGGCAAAAAGAACAGAAAAAGAAAACTACAGACCAATATCCCTCGCAGATTCAGATACAAAACTCCTTAACAAAACATAAACAAATAGAACACAGCAATATATAAAAAGATTGACACACTGTAGCCAAATGGGACATATTCTGAGATGCAAGGCTGGTTTAGTATTTGAAAATTCATTCATGTAATACACTATACTAACAGGCTAAAGAAAAAGCTCACGACTATATCAGTCAATCCAAAAAAAGAATAAAAAGAGTTTGGCAAAATTCACATCATTCATGACTCAAAACTTCCAGCAAAATAGAAGACAGGTACTCCTTCAACCTTACAAAAAGCATCTAAAAAGCCCCACAGCTGACAGCACTCTTTTTCAACATAGTTCTGGAAGTTCTACAGAGACATAATACAAGAAAAGGAAATTAAGACAACAGATGAGAGGAAAGAAATAAAACTGTCCCTTTTTGCTGGTGACATGATCATCTACGTAGAAAGCCCCAGGGAATCTTGAGTCTGCTGCTGACATGATTGTCCAAACAGAAAATCCCAGGGAAGAGGCGGAGCTTGCAGTGAGCTGAGATTGCACCACTGCACTCCAGCCTGGGCGACAGTGTGAGACTCTGTCTCAAAAAAAAAAAAAAGAAAAAAAAGAAAATCCCAGGGAACAACAAAACAACAACAAAAAGTGAAACTGTTAGAACAAATTCAGCCACTTTGCAGGATTCTAGTTCGACACACAAAAACTAGTTCTATTTCAGTACGCTAGCAATGCACCTGTAGAAGCTGAAATTAAAAATATAAGTCACAGCCCGGCGGAGTAGCTCACGCCTGTAATCCCAGCACTTTGGGAGGCAGGGGTGGGCAGATCACGAGGTCAAGAGATCGAGACCATCCTGGCCAACATGGTGAAACTCTGTCTGTACTCAAAATACAAAAATTAGTTGGGCGTGGCAGTGCGTGCCTGTAATCCCGGCTATTCAGGAGGCTGAGGCAGGAGAATCACTTGAACCCAGGAGGTGGAGGTTACAGTGAGCTGTGATTGCACCACTGCATTCCAGCCTGGCGACGAGCTAGACTCCGTCTCAAAAAAAAAAAAAAAAAAAAAAAAAAATATATATATATATATATATATATGTATATGCACACACACATATATTCGTATGTATATATATACACACATATACACATATGTATACATATATTTATGAAAAGGACATAGAGGTGGCATATGATCGCATATGTATACATATATATATATATATATATATATGCCACTTATAATAGCTCAAAAAAATTAAATGGTTAGATGTAAACCTAGCAAACCATGCACAAGACTTCTGTGCTGAAAACTGCACAATGCTGATGAAGGAAACCACAGAATATTTCAATAAGTGGGGAGACATACTGTTTTCATGGATGGAAAACTCAACCTAGTAGAGCTGTCACTTCTTTCCAGATTGACAGACAGTTTTACCACAATTCCTATCAAAATCTCAGCAAGATTTTTTTGTAGATATAGACAACATAATTCTAAAATTTATGTGGAAAGGCTAAGGAACCAGAATAGCCAAAACAACTTTGAGAAAGAATTAAGTGGAAGGAATGAGGTTACCTAATTTCAAGACTTATTGTATAGCTACAGTCATCAAGACTGTGGTGTGGATGGAGGAACAGACACTTAGGTTCATGAAACAGAGTAGAGAACCCAGAAACAGGCCTACACAGATATGCCCAGCTGATTTTTTTGACAAAGGTACAGAAGCAAGTCGGGGAAGGTCAGCCTTTCAACAAATGATGCGGGGGCACCTGGGCACCCACAGGCAAAACAATGAACAGCCACCAAAGGCTCACACTTTATACAAAAATTAACTTAAAATGGATGATGGACTTAAATGTAAAATGTAAAACATAGTATTTTTTAAAATGGGAGAAAATCTTTGGGATCACTAGGCAAAGAGTTATGAGGTTAGGACAAAAGCATGAACCATAAAAGGAAAAGTTGACAAATTAGACTTTATAAAAATTAAACATTTTTGCTATGGAAAGAACCTGTGAAGAGGATAAAAAAGACAAACTGCAGAGTAGGAGAAAAGGTTTGCAAACCACATGTCCAAAAAAAGGAATATCATCTAGAATGTATATAATCTCTCAATACTCAGCAGTAAAGAACAAACAATTCACTTAGAAAATGAGCCAAACTATTATTAAAAAGTCGAAAAACAACAGATGCTGGCAAAGCTGCAGAGAAAAAGAACATGTATACACTGTTGGAGGGAATGTGAATTAGTTAAGCCACTGTGGAAAGTAGTTTAAAGATTTCTCAAAGAACTGAAAACAGAACTGCCATTTGACCCAGCAGTCCCATTACCGGATATACACCCAAAAGAAAAAAAATCATTCTACCAAAAAGACGCATGCACTTGTATGTTTATCACAGCACAATTCACAATAGCAAAGACCTGGACTCAACCTAGGTGCCCATCAACAGTGAATTGGATAAAGAAAATGTGGGACATATACACCATCGAAGTACTCCGCAGACGTAAAAAAAGAACCAAATCATGTCCTTTGCAACAACATGGATGCAGCTGTAGGCCATTGTCCTAAGCAAATTCAGTATCCCCTGAATTTAAAATAAAAGTTGAAATTAAAAAGAAAAGCCACTGACTAAATTAAATAAATGGATTTTTATTCAGTAGGAAAAAAAATTAGAAAATGGTTCAAAGAAAAAAAGAGACATGTCACTGAAGAGGACGTAGAGGTGGCTTATGAGCACGTGAAAAGATGCTCAACATCATTAGCCATTAGCAAAATATAAATTTAAATCACACCTATCAGAATGGCTAAAATAAAAAATAGTGACAACATCCAATACTGGTGAGCATGTGGAAAAACTAGACCCCTTATACGTTGCTGGAGGGATTGTTAAAATGGTACAGCTGCTGTGGAAAACAATTTTGGCAATTTCTTAAAAATGAAAAACCTACATCTGCCATGTGACTCAGTGATTGCATTCCTGGGCATTTATCCCAAAGAAATAGACTTATGTTCACATAAAACCTGTACAGGAACTCTTTTTACTTTAATAGCCCCAAACTGTAGATGTCCTTCAACAGGCCAGTGGTTAAACAAATTGTAGTACCTCAATACCATGGAACACTTCTCAGCAATAAAAATAAGTGAATTATTCATACACACAACAACCCGGATGGGTCTCTAGAACATTAGGTTGAGTGAGAAAAGTCAAAACCTGAAGTCTGTATAGTGTATGATTCCATATATGTCACACTTTTTACATGGCAAAATTGTAGACACAGAGAAGAGATTCATGTCTGCTAATGGTTGGGAGGGGCAAGAGTAGAAGGGGAATGGAGTAGCCAAAAAGGCAACAGGAGATTGGCAGAAGAGTGGTGGAGTAAGAGGTCGGGAAGGTGGAGCCAGGCCAGGAGCCGTTCTCTGTAGTTCCCAGAAGGTGGTGGTGTGGCATCCACATGCAATGTGAGGTCATTACTGAACCTCAGGATGGGGAGGTGACTGCTCAGATTTGCATTTTCACACATCACTGTGGCTGCTGCATGAAGAACACGGTGGGATGGACAGTGGGCTGGAACAGACCAAATGGTTTCAGAAGAGATAGGAGGAAATCAGAACATTTGTGTAGGATTCAGGTGGTGCAATCAGCTGACCTTAACACAGTGGAATTGGAGCCTGACTGCTCTTTCTAATTGTATTGCTTTTGTCATTATTGTTTAAATTAGGTTCTGGCTTCTTGTTAATTAGTATGCAGTTAGTATAACACTATCTCCATAAAATTCCTCTGCAGATCGCATTACTAAAACATAACTTGATACCTCCTTAGTCAGCATAAGCCCCATGTGTTAAGTTCTTTTCCAGACAACCACCAGGATAGGTGTCCAAGAGAAATAGCCCAGTTAGTTAAAGGCTGTAAGGACAGATTTTATTCAGGATTATTGCAACAGGAGAAAGTGCTGGGCTCAGCCCCAAATGCAGCAAAGACAGCTGGAGATTTATGACCGAGGAATAGAGCAAAAGGATCTGGTGGATGGAAAGTCATTAAGAAGGGACATCAAGGGTAGGGGGGTTCTTGCTAAACTGGCCTAACACGGTTTCTGCTACAGACAGGCCAGGGACTTAGACACAAATGGCGAGGGATGAGGAGCTTGATGACGTGTCAAGGGGGATTAGATATCAAGTGTGGGGGATGAAAAGCAGGATTCTTGCTGGAACTGAGCTTGCCACGGTTGGACGTGGAAGGCCAATGTTGAGGCCTAGTGGAGAAGAGGGCTTGGAGGAGCCTGGCTAAGGTTTGGTCAAGGAGAGTCTGTCACAAGATAGACCCATCTGTATCCAGGCTAACGCAATAGGGTGACCAAATGCAGCCCGCACGCTTCTCTGTGTTTCTCTCCAGGTCCTTTGGGCACTTAGTTTATAATTTTTTATTTTCTATTTTTTATTTTTATGGGTACATAGTATAGGTGTGTATGGAGTACATGAGATGTTTTGATACAGGCATGCAATGTGTAATAATCACATCATGGAAAACAGGGTATTATGGGCACTTAGTTTAGCCATAAGGCTTCCGTGCCAAGTGGCCTGGGAGCCAGCTGGGGCCAGCTTCTGCCACAGGCATCCTTCACCCACCCTTCTCACAAACAAGCGATTCTTCAATAAACAATAAACAGAATACACAAAAAGCAAACCAAAACATCTCTAGATTTATTAATAGATGGGTGAATTAAAGGAGTCTTTTCCAAATAATGTGACTAACAGAAGCCAAGGGGGATGAATGCCCAAAGCTGGGGCTTGCCAGAACCTGCTGGTACCGAGAGCTGATTGCTGAAGTGTGAGGAATTTTGTGAGCCAGCTGACAGCACATTGGCAGCTTGGGATCTGCCAGGGCGGGATTGTTTACACCACAGGATTTAGCAAACGTTATGAATCAACCCCTCCATCGGCCCCAAGCTTCCCTGACACACCAAACAGTAGAAATTCACTGCCTTTTTTTTTTTTTTTTTTAACTCTGCTTGGTGTTAGCTAACTAGTCATGAAGAATAGAGGCTGAAGTGACCAAAGAGATCTTTCTGCATTTTGACATTCAAATATTTGGAAAGATTTTCCGCATTCAGCATTTGGATTCTAGTCCCATTGCCAGGCTCAAGTAAGCTCTGTGATAACAACACTCAGCTGTTGGAAACTGCTGTCCGAAGCATCTCTCAGCAGATAGGGAGGCCTAAAAGGACACGGCAGAGTGGTGTCTGGTGGGTCCTCTCCTGACATTTCTTCTCTCTCTGGTCAAATGCTGGATGCACACATATAGTGGCTCTGAGACTTCCTATCTGGGTGAGCTCAGGCAGTTCTAGGGACCTCTCTGAGCCCTAGTTTCATGTCCTGTACAACAGTAGTCATTCCTACTGCACATGGTTCTTGAGAAGATTGGACCAGAACATGTAGCTCTGGCTCCTGGCCCAGACCTGATCAACACTCAGCAAATAGTGGACACTGATGCTGTTAGGAGAACAGAGCATCCATATGAAGGGCGGTTCCCTGAGCTGGGGAGACCAGTGACAACTGTAAGTCTGGGTTCAGAGCATGAGTCGGGGGACGGAGAAGGCCCCTGGGCATCTGGCCCTGGGTGGCTGAGCCCTGGGAATCCTGCTTTTCCCAGAGATGTGCTTGTGCCCAGTGTGCTCATGTTTTAAATGCCAGCACCTACTCCAGGAAAATGATGGGTATTTCAATATCTGCTCACATTATGCATATTTAAATATGAATTTAAATACTGTTTAATTCTCCTAGGGATGTGTTGTCATTTAAAAGAGGTTGTGATTAGCATGAAGGACTGGGGACAGGAGCAGGAGATGGCAGAGCAGCTGTAGGCACTGATGTAATGCCTCCAGCTTTATGAGGACGGGCCCAACCAGGCTTCACCCATTTGGGGCCCTCAAGCGGGAGCGTCAGTGGCAGCCCTCGCCATCGTCCGTCTGTTGAATGTATTGCCACATGGCCACATTATGCCCCAGGAGCCATGTGTTGGAGGACAGTATCCTTAGGCTTCTCAGAAATTCCACATGGGAGCCTCAAATGGACATGCTTTTCTTGAAAACAAAAATATTTGTAAAAATGTAACAATGGGAGTCGTTTAATCTCAAGTCTCCCCTATAAGCAAAAATAGATAAAATTATGAAATGTAAGATGTAAATTATTCTGTTTCTTAGCTGATCCTTAATCTTGATGATATTTTCAAAACAAATGAATAATAAAGACATGAGAAAAGGTTTCCTTTAAAAAGTCGTGGTTCTCGCCAGGCGCAGTGGCTCATGCCTGTAATCCCAGCACCTTAGGAGGCCAAGGCAGGCGGATCATGAGGTCAAGAGATAGAGACCATCCTGGCCAACATGGTGAAACCCTGTCTCTACTAAAAATGCAAGAATTAGCTGGGCATGGTGGCGCATGCCTGTAGTTCCAGCTACTCGGGAGGCTGAGGCAGGATTTAAATACTGTTTGAACCCAGGAGGCGGAGGTTGCATGAGCCGAGATCGCACCACTGTACTGCAGCCTGACAACAGAGTGAGACTCTGTCAAAAAAAAAAAAAAAAAAAAGAGTCGTGGTTCTGATACATCTCAGCTTCCAAACTATTTCATAATTTTTTAAAAATATAAACACATAACATAAAAGCATCTATTTGAAGGTGAACATTGCACCAGCATTCAGTAGATTTACGGAGTCATGAGACCATCGCCCCTAGGTAGTTCCAGAGCATCCTTATCCTATAACAGCTTTACAAGTGGTATTCAGAGGGGGTTTGGGGACTTTAGGCTTCAGTGAAAAAGATTAGCAGTTAATGTTAGTTTACTTCAAGAGGATGCCTTTATATATTTTGCAACTTCTATTTTGTGTTCAGTTCTTCTGGAGAGTAGGGTGTAGGCATTTTAGGGGCCTGGCTTCCAAGCATGCAGCCTCTTCTCTGCTGTCGATTGGAGGTTTTGTGAAGGGCTGGGAGGATTGCCTCCATCCAAGTGCCAGTGCATGAGACTGATCAGGAGTGGTAGCATGTGAAGTGGTCCTCATTGGCTCACAAGAGGGGACACAGGGGTTTGGTTGGTGCTGTGCGGACTTCCTGGATTTGGTAGGTTTCAAAGGGTCATGATGTTTGCCACAGGGAGGAAGAAAAGGGCAGTACCAGTGGCACTGGTCCTTACCCTCTGTAGCTCTATGATCTTGAACAGTTTGCATAACCTCTGGAAGCATCATTTAAATCTAAGCAAAATAAGAATGTGTGTGCCATGCATGGTATTGGGGGCAGTCTTAAAAATGAAGATTTCAGCCTATGAATATGCTAGTGTAACAAAAATTTGTCTTAAAATTTAGTTTTTTAATTCAGAATGCACTTTCTTATTGAAATAGTTTCAGAGCCCCAGGGACTGATAGAGAGACACAGCGTGAGAAGAGGACAAGAGGAAGACAGAGACAGAGAGATTATTTTGACACAATGCTTTATTTTTATTGAAAAAGCTGTCATCCTTCAAAAATTGACAGATACAATGCTTTTACCAATCTTCTTCTTTCTTTCCTGTACTCGACTCCCTTTTCTGTTGAATTTTTATGAGCTCTGAATGAGAATGTTTATAATAGGGACAAAGGCATGTACTGAATGTGAATATGTGTGACATTTATAGAGGCCCTTGTTTACTTTGGATTTTCTAGAGCCTCAAAAGCACATGCATTCCTATATGGATTTCTCCATGGGTTTATATTCAGGTACGTAGGCATATGTAAGTGTGCATAGGAATAGACATGCCTGGATACATGCCTGTGATGTACTTTGCATTCCAATTAGTGCCAAAGAATGCACACTGGTGCATGGTGACCCCAAAAAACTGGTGTGGATTAGCAAACATCGCAGCCTCCTCCAACCCCTGCCCCAGATGAACAACATGAAAAAGAAAAGTTGACTGCTTCTAAATTATATTTAAAAGTAAACATCAGTGCTGGGTTCGTGGAGGTCAGCCTAAAGTGCTGGCCTGTGAATGTGCCTTTAGGGGTCTTTTGAGATGAGAACATGAATTCATTTGAGGGTGATGAAGCTAAAAAAAAAAAAGGTGTTGGCTTTCTGTGCTGACACCTCATCCGCGGAGCAGGCCAGCTTGGAAGTGTCCCCATGTCAGCCTGCAGACTTCTCTACCATGCTGAATGTTCTCGTTTGCTCACTTTGGGTTTAGAGGAATCTGCTTTTCTAAATTTATTTATCAGCTCATTCCATTACCCCCTCCTCTCCTGGTGGACTGTTCTTGACCCTCAGCATGTAGAAGTTATTCTGAAGTGCTGCTAACAGGATTTGATGCTGGCCCTGGGGCTTGGTGACAGATGTGGCTCTGGTCCTGCCCGTCTGTAGCTCTGTGATCTTGAACAGTTTGCATAACCTCTGAAAGCATCTTTTAAATCTAAGTAAAATAAGAATATGTGTGCCATGCATGGTGTTGGGGGAAGTCTCTTAAAAATGAAAATTTCAGCCTGTGAATACGGTAGTGTAACAAAAATTTGTCTTAAAATTTCATTTTTTAAATTCAAAATGCACTTCCTTATTCAAGCATTTTCTGAGCCCCATTGTCTATGAGAATTGTGCTCCATCCCGGGATTGAGGAAGGGAGGCGGTCCTGGCCCTGGGGCAGCTCGCGGGCTGGGGTCCCTTCTGAAGCAGCCTGTGGCTGGTGTGGAATCCGGAATCCACAGCTCGGGCCTGAGCCTGGGCTTGTCTCCTCCTCGCTGCTTTGAACAGGAAAAGGCAGTTCAGCCCAGCAGGATGCCTCTTAGAACTGGGAATGGCTTGGAAGAAAATGCTTATGAAGCCCCAGCATATAAAATGTGCAAGGATGTTTCCCTGCTGGAAGCATTTACCTGGTATCCCTTGCATTTTTACTTTCCTCCGAAGGCCCTCACCTTGTAATCCACCTCCCCACAGTTCCATCCCCTCTAGACAGCAGCCTGCCTCACAGTGGTGTCCCAAGAGCACTGGGCGTCAAGAGGTAAAATGCCTGGGCATTTTCTCTGAAGCACCTGTTACCACTGTCCCTTCAGGCTGTGATTCCTGGCCAAAATGCACCCATTCTTTTTGACACACTTGGGAGGGTCTGGGATTGTGAGACTTGCAGAAGGGTCAGATGTCTTGAGTCACTGAGAGGGCTGAAGAAGGAATATGTAGTCTGCTTCTTGACATTTGTTACTGGCCCGGGCCTGCCCCATCAGAGCCTTTGAGGGCATTACCAAGGTGCCCCCCAGATTAGTGTACCTCCTCAACAGATAGGCATTGGCCAGGCTGTCCTACTTAGGCCAGGAACCACCTTGTTGTCTGTTTAAATTCTATCACATTTTAGTGACACACATATGTAGACATGTTATATGGTACATATGTGTGTTATGTGTGCAGGTATTTATGGCTCTGCCTAGATTGAGGCATTTGCCACTTTCTGAGCACTTCTTACAGGCCATGCACTTATATATGCACACATGTAGAGAAAGAGCAAATGAACAAGTTTACAAAAAATCCTGAAAGCCAGGCAAGTGAGAATTCCATCATTTGGAATGAAAGTAAACTTTTCTGATGCTTCAGGGCCAACCAAGTGTGCGATGGGCGTCAGAGGTCAGGTCTCCATGTGTCACCTGGCAGAGGGATGGTGTGAGCAGCTCACTGGAATTTGATTTTTCCAGAGGAGCATGAGATTGGGTTACTGTGAAGTCCCAGTGTCGCTGAGGTTGTGGAGGGTTTGTGTTTTGTGTTTGTTTTTAATTCCTTCTCCGCAATGCCCAAGTGAGCACTCCACTTGAGTCTCAAGAACCCCAGAGTAGAGCTCGCCCTGGGGTGCTGGCCAGCACGTAATTCTCAGGAACAAACAAGTACATTCGAATAAAGCTGAGGATCTCAGTCTGCAGTGCCTGGTCCCTCGGAGGCATTCTAGTATCCCTCTTAGTTTTGTTTTATTGGGGCAGAGCCTGTTGCTGAAAACAGAACCTGTGGGTCACCCTGACTATCCTTCCCAGGCCTTCGAGAACTGCCTTGCATGTAGTAGAGAGACTCACAGTTTGCAGGAGTGGCACCGTCTTTGAGGCAGCTTTCACATAAAGCATCTGAAGTTCCTTTGCTAAGTCATGTGCCCAGTCCTCAAAGGTACCTGCAGATCACCTGATCGCTGGGAGTAGGGCTGGTCCAGGGTTCCTCTTATTGTGTGCACACATAAGGTTCGCCCGAGTCCGGTGGGACAGAGATGTGGGAGGTGATGGGATGCAGCCCCTGTAGGACCCGTGAGGCTGGTGGACAGGCAGTGCGGGCTGGTGGGAGGGTGTTAAGGGAGAATTCCATCCAGCTGATCAGGTCGTGTCTCAGGAAGGACGTGCCCCCTATGGAGGCTGCGAGACCTTTAAACTTGCTCATCCCTTCCCGTGTGTCTTCTCTGGGCGCCCCAGCTCCTCCCTTCTCCTTGGTTTAATGCCCCTTTTCTCACCTCCCTCTGGCAACCAAGTCTGCTTGTGTCTTCCTCCGAAAGGGAAACTCCTGTTGCCCCTTCTCTCCCTCTGTTCCTCCTCTCCCTCCTTGCTTCACCTTCCCTCCGTCCTTTTGTTTCTGCTGCCTCGCTCTCACCTGCATTTGAAGGATGTGACTTCCCAGTGGGACCTGGGTTGGGATTTGGTGTCACCCTCCCTCCCTCAGCCTCAGGACATTTCCAGAGCAGAGTCTTCATCACACTCCTGGCATCTAACACAGAGAAGGATCTGGATAAAAGTTTGTTTTGTTTTCTGATGGGTAAGTGGAAGGAGAGAGACAGTCTCTCAGCTCCAGGGAGCTGAGTGCATCATGCCTGCAAAGGGCCTGAGCCCGCAGAGTGGGAGCTGCGTGAGACCAGCACCTGTGTTTCTGAGAGGAGACCTGGCATTGCCGGCTGGTGGGGTGGGCTGTCCTCTTCCAGGTGTCTGATTTGCACCCCTGCTTGATTTTGCTAAGGTGCAGTGGGTGGTCCTGGCTGTAGCAGAGTCAACATGTGGACAGTCCAGGTCCTGTCGTCCCCGGGGATCTCTGGGTGTTTGGGTGGGGGGAGCAGACTGTCCGGGAAGAATTTTTAAATGTTTTTTCCTCAGTGGACTTGCTGCCACCTGGAGCCCACCTTTGAAATCACTTTAGTCCCTGGCACTGCAGCTGAGGAGAAAGAAGCAAGAGAGGAAAGATAAACAGATCTCCAGAAGATGCTTAAATCTGTAGATTCACACTCAGGATTGTCCCAGTCATGGCTGTGACACGGGCACAGAAGCAGCATGCCCTGCCTCCTCCTCCCTGCTGCCCATCCCTGTGGGTTTGCTCCGAGTCACTGAGCCCACAGTTCCACGGAGGGAATGGGACCCACCCTTGGGAGTGCCATCCTGGTCACAGTCACCCTTCCTGGGCCTGGCTGCCCCATGCTGGTGCCGCCCCGTGCCGCCTTCCTCTCTGCTTGGGGAGTGACAGGCACGGGAAAGGCCAGTCCATCCGCTTCCGCTGAGCCTGCTCTGTCCGTGGTCAGGCATTTCCGACAGCATCATTTGCAGGAGCTGCTGCTCTGCAACACATAAACAACCAGGGAGGAAATGCCTACTCAGACCTTTGGGAGGAAGGTCCCAGGGATCTTCCTGGCCCATGTGCGGAGCGGTGGCCCTGAGGGTCCCAGGCAAGCCGTGTCCCTCTTGGGGTAGGGCATTGACCTGCCCACTCTTCACAGGTTG
Organism: Homo sapiens; assembly: GCF_000001405.40. Classification (NCBI taxonomy): domain Eukaryota; kingdom Metazoa; phylum Chordata; class Mammalia; order Primates; family Hominidae; genus Homo; species Homo sapiens. The sequence goes on along the minus strand of NC_000007.14, from coordinate 47,329,459 downwards.
ATGAGTGTGCCAGGGTCGTGCAGGGGCTGGACCGGCCAATGGCTCGGCTCAGGCTGGGCAGCAAGCTGTGCTGGAAGCACAGGCGTGCACAGGGGCTGTAAGAAAGGAGGCAGCCCAGGAGGAACGGGGACCTGCTCTTCCAGGGAGAGCTTTCTAGGGGAAGGGGTGACACACCAGCATTTGAAGAGGGAGTGGGATTTTGCCAGACACAAGAGACAAGAGAAGCCAGGAGTGAGTGTCTGTTCTGTGCTTCCCCTTGTGAAAACCCTGAGTAATGTACCGTGTCTCTAAGGCCCAGACACATGACAGGCCCCTATGTTCTGCCATGTGGACTGGGTTATAGTCAGATTTCGGGTCACGGGAACAGAGCACTTTGACTTGACTGAGGGAGATGGTGTTCCAAATGCTGAAAAAAATGTGGGGTCACTTGAAAAGGGCTTTGTAGAATGTATAGGAGTTTTTCAGCAGTTGGCTTAGGAGTTTGGCCTTTTAGATGAGAGAAGCATATGAGCAAAGAACATGGAAGAAAGGGGACACAGTGCGTAGAGGCTGCCAACAGCCTACAGTAGGTGCCAGCCAGGCAGAACAGGCTGAGGGATCCAGAATCAGGCTCTAGGACAGGGTTTGGGCAGGATGTTATAGCCCATTGGGGCCCGGAAGAAAACCTGCAGGGTTTGAGCAGTGCAGTGACAGGGTGGGATTTGCATTGGAAGGTCCCCTGGGCTGCCTTGAGGAGTGAAAGGCTTCCAGCCTGGTGGCCAGGCCAGATGAGAGGCAGATGGCCCCATCCAGAGGAAAGGGACATGGGTGTAGGCTCCTGCCGGGGTGGGGGGCAGAGGACTGACTAGGGACATCCTTGTTGTTAGAGACTGTTCAGGCTTCCACTTCCTCTCTGGCTAGTTGCTGGAAGCCTCTCTCTGCTGTGAGTGTGGGGTCCCAGGGGAATGGGGGTTTGATTTTGGAGGGGCAGGTTTGGGGGCATGGTGGGCAGGTCCTGCCGCTTGTGCCTTGGGTGATGGCTGGCCTGAGGCTGAAACTAAGCCTGGTTGGGTTTCAGCAGGGAGGTTGCAAGAAATTAAAGTTGGGGGAGGAAAAAGTGAAAAGAAATGAAAAGGAAGCAAACCGCAGCAGTGAGCAAGGCGGGGCCAGGGCCGTCTGGAGGCACTGACTGGGCAGGCCGCCCGCGACAGCCAGCAGCAGCTCAACAATCCCGGGATTCTTTCCCGGGCCTGAGCTCTCTCGGCCGCCCTCTGAATGGGCCTCTTTGGAGGTGGCCGCCCCGCCCCCTGCACGACTCCCTCGGGACAGGCCGGAACACAGAGCCCTGCCTGGGTGGGTGGGGGACGCCACCGCTGGGACAGGGACTCGGGACTCTGCTCACCACGTAGGGCTGCTGGGGACACAGCCCAAGGAGTTCCCTCTGTCTGGCCCACATCCTCCCAGGCCCTTCCATGGACTGACCAGGGTCCTGGGTGCCAGGTAAGCTGTACATTGGGACTCATTGCTTCTTCCTGCTCAGTCCCTACACGCCTGGTGTCTTCTGTGCTCCTGGCGCCTCTGGCCCGGATCCAGTTGCCCTTGCTGAAACTTGATCTCCTGGGCTCCAGTGGAGGGGGGTGGGGAGGGGTATGAGGTGGGATGCAGAGGTCACTGGGCCAGGAATCCTGGGCAGGACTTGGGAGGAGGGCTGATTGTTCCAAGAGTCCCCTTGTCACTTGATGACAGTTCTCAAGTCGCCAAGGCTTTGGGACAAAACGCCCCAGCCCTTGAGCCTGGAGGGCTAGTCCTTCCAGAAGAAAGTCATGCTTTGTCTTTGCTGAGATTCACTCAGGGCTAACAAAAGCCTGGTTTACAGATGTGCAGCTTTTCTGGAACAGGACTGCTTCCTAGCACAGTGCATTCCTTTACTGAAACTGATAAAGCGAGCCTGCCCCATTCCAGGGCTGTCACCGCCCCCACCCCAGTTCCAGGGCCCTTGAGGGATCCCGGGCAGCGGGCAGCAGGACCTTCAGAGGACCAGAAGGCTGCACTTCTGAGCACCCAGCACAGTTGTTTCTACTAAATGCCGAAAGCAAGCGTTAGGATCAGGCGCTGGGTTCTAAAATGAGATTTACTGTTGTCTCTTCTGTGGTTGAAGCAAGCAAAGAGAGTATTTCTAAACGAGTTCATGTCATTGAAAAAAACAAAAACAAAAACCCATGCATTCACTGAAAGAACCTGCTCAGATTATGTTAACAGAGCTTCTGGACCTAGGGGCTTTGTTTCTTCACTGTCCCTTCCCTCCCAAATGTCTGAACTGGGGCTGGGGCTCTGTGGGACCCTGGGAGAGTCAGCCAGGCACTGGGGGTAGCACGGGCAGGGCTGGCGCCTGGGCCCAGGGTGGGCCTCCTGGGCATCTGCTCCCTCCTCTGCGTGGCTGGCCTGTGATTCTGCTGGCCCTGCAGCCGACACAGCGTGTGTGTGTGTATTCCAGCTGGAAGGATGGGGAAGATTAAGAGGGAGCGAGGGGAAAACCCAGAGCTCTTTATTGTGAAACGAGCACTGCAGCCGCTCTGAGACAAGCCCAAGTGGCTCAAGGTCCAGCTTCTCCTTCCCAGGCTGAAAATCTTGCCCAGTATCCCTTCCAGGATTGATGGATTGCTCTCCAGCTGATGGAAGATGCTATCTTTTCAAAAGTTTCCTGTCCTTTTAATGTATTTTATATACATTAGTAATTTTTCATGAATTCCATATGCGTGTCAGTGTATTAGAGATTGTCTGGTTAGGACGGACATAGTTTTCTGACTTTGGAGGTGAGATTAAAAGAATTTTGGTCCACCTATTTCGAGAGAGGGGTGATTTTCTCCCTTGGCCAACCTGTAGCCATGGTGGCCCGTGGGGAGCCTGGTGCTGTCTTCTGCTGGGGCTTCCTGCACTCTAAGGGGGAACCTCAGTGACAGGGCTCTAAGTTGCTCCCAGAGTACCTGTGCCTTCCTAATCCCCAGGGCAAACCTGTGCAGAAGGTTCCTTGTCCTCCTGTAGGGGCAGAGTAATTGTATTACATTCTGCGTTCTGACTCAGACCCTGCTGGTGGGAGGCAGGGATGTCTTGTGGAAAGAACATAGTTTTCTGAGTCCAACAGATGAGTTGGCTTCCTTTGAATAAGCTTCTTAACCTCACTTTTCAGAATCTGTTTCCTCATCCATAAGATGATTTGCATGTGGAAATGTTTGTATGAGGATTAAATCAGATAACACCTATGTGTGGGTTAGCAGAGTGCCTGGTGTATAGTAGGCACTCAGAGAAAGGGAGCTGTAATTCTGATTTCCATTTTACTTTCTTTATATGAAAAGTTGATATGTGTCATATAAACAGGATTTTACAACAGTCCCAAGAGCTGTGTGATTTAAAAGCTGTTGACATTCAGATTGGCACCTGTACTGATGGCAACATTTCTCCAAAAGCACAGTGAAAGCTCCCGTGGTTGGAGCTGGGATCTGATAATCCGCATGGTTCTAAAAAGGCAGTTTGCAGCCAGGACCATGCATCAACATAGTTCTAACTGCTGCGCACTTTGACCTTCTCTCCTCTACCCTTCTGTTTCCACTTCCCTGTCTTTAAAAAAAATAACATCCAAGGCAATCAAGCTGCCTAGTTGATGTAGGATCAGGACAGGAAGCCTGGTGGGTGTGATGCATGGAAGGTGGTCTTACTGCTGTCAGACACAGGTCTGGGATGGCTCGAAGTCCTGTGGTCTGATGAGAATACCATGCCCATTTTGTTTACATTAGGCTCACCTGAGACAGGTGGCCTCTCCCTCCTATCAGGAGGGACTGTAAACAGAATGAGTTTACAGTAAGAGTCAAGGGACCAGAAGGTCCCCGTCACACAGCACACTCTGCCTTCTTGCTCCGTCCCATTGCTCACTGTGATTTTACCAGGAGATAACCTAAGAACGCAGGACTAAGAAATCACTGGAATGTCAACTTCTCGTTCCACCACGAGATAGCAGAGTGGCCTGTGGCCTTCCTTGAGCAGTGTTCTCTGTGGACATATGATTCTTGATTAGCCTCAGGTAGAATGGATAGCTGGGTGGAGAAGGCAGGTGGGTACCGGGTCACCCAAGTAAATTAAAGTTAAACAGGGTTTTACAAACGTGGAGTGGAAGATAGAGGAATGAGGGCTCAGCTGGCAGGAGGACGAGGGTCACCAGTGGGATGCCTGGCTTTCTTGAGTGACCAAGTACAGATAGAAAAGCTTCTAGAATGCTATGGAACTCATTTACTGCTCTGTGGAGGTAAGAAGGAAATGGGACCAAAGATAAGGCTTGCTTCTGGAAGATGTGGGTCTTGGGAACCCCTCTTTGTGCATCTGTTGATGGGAGTAATGGATACACAAAACCACACGGTCCATCATGCTTCCAAGCTGACTCCTCCAAGTCTGGTTTCCCTTGATAGTTTTCCCAGTGGTCCCATCACTTCTGCTGCCTACTAGATTTATCATCACGAGAAAAGTCCCAGTTTCCTTTGTAGCTCATGCTGCACTTGACTGGAGGAAATCAAGTCAAGGATATCTTGGTGACAATTGAAGGGATACAGGAATTATACAGTTATGCGCAGACTATTTAAAAAGACACTATTTTTTTCTTAACAGGGACATTTTTCAAAGTTTTTCAAAGATTTTCAAAGTTTTTATTAAGAGACTTTTAAAAAATATTTATTCATTTATTTAGATGGAGTCTCACTTTGTTGCCCAAGCCAGAGTGCAGTGGCATGATCTTGGCTCACTGCAACCTTCGCCTCCCAGGTTCAAGTGATTCTCTGGCCTCAGCCTCCTGAGTAGCTGGGACTACAGATGTGCACCACCACACACGGCTAATTTTTGTCTTTTTAGTAGAGATGGGGTTTCACCATGTTGGCCAGGCTGGTCTCAAACTCCTGACCTCAAGCGGTCTGCCTGCCTCCGCCTCCTAAAGTGCTGGGATTACAGGCGTGAGCCACCTTGCCTAGCCCTGTTAAGAGACATTTAAAAAGATAAAAATAAATGGAGAGAAAGCCATGTTTGTGGATAGGAAGACAATGTCACAAACATGTTGGACCCTCCCAATTTCATCTGTGTACTTAATTTAATTCCAGTCAGAGTGCCAGCAGATTATTTTGTGGAACTTGATAAGCTGATTCAAAATTTATATAATAAAGTAAAAATTCTCAGTAGCCAGTATACAACTACTAGAAATGAGGACTTACCACAAAGATAGAAAATTCGGTAAACATGAGCTGGTACAAGGACAGATAAATTGACCAACAAACAGATGAAAGTGCAAAACAGACCAGCACATGCTTGGAACTTTGGTGCCAGACAAAACAGGCAGCCAGGTCAGGAGGGGAAAGAGGAGCTGCCTCATAAATAGAGCTGAGGTTTGCCAGGTAGAAAAGGTTAATGGATCCCTTTTATAACACATGCCAACATCAGTTCCAGATGGACCAAGGATGTCAATGTCAAATAAATTCTTAGTAGAAAATCCGGGTGCATACGTTTTTCCGGATTTTTTCCTTCCTGTCTTCTGCTCTTCTGTTTCTCTTTTCCTGCCTTACTGTGGATTTATTTATCATTTAGGGGAAACTCTGTCTTTATTTATTGATAGTATTTTTGAGTATATCCCTCCCTGTAGTTTTTTTAGTCCTCGCTCTTGGTATATACATAACTTGTCATTATTTATGGCTACTTGTATTATTTTATCACTTGGAGCGTAGCATAGAAATCTTACTTCAATTTAAGTTTCTTCACCCTCCCCATTTTTAAAGTACAATTGTTGGAAGTATCTTATCCGTTTATGGTGAGTACCACATGTGATGATGTCTGCTAGTTGCTCCAACTATAAAAAGTGACTTAAGAAACTCATGAGAAGAATGGACTGTTATATTTACCCTTACTTTGACTCATTTGAACATTCTTCTTTCCTTTTGGAAGTTCCAAATCTTATGATTTTCATTCTGTTTAGAAAATTTCCTTTGGCCATTCCCTACTGGGACATTTGCAAACAACAAAATCTCTTCATTTTCCTTCATCTCTGGATTTCTTTATTTTTCCTTCATTCCTGAATGGTATTTCTGCAGGATATAGAATTCACAGTTGACAGTTCTTTTCTTTCAGTACCGGAAGCATGTGCCACTTCTTTCTGGCCTCTTTGGTTTGGGTTTCTTTTGAAGATTCGAAGATAGGTGGATTCTCAGAAAAGCTGTCATTTTATATGACACTAAGATAGGGAAAACAGTGCCAGGTAAAACAGGATGCACTGTGGGTGAAAAGGTATGCACAGATTTCAGAAATGTGGCTCCGTGAGAAAAAGCAACTGGGGACTGGGCACATGAGGCCTCGAGGAGCGGTACCTCCAGCCCTAGACTGGCTGCATGGTCGGCCCAGGGTGTGCAGAGCTGCAGGTGGGCTGGAGACGGGGTGCCTACCATGCAATGAATCCTCAGCAGGGGACCCCTCCCTGCTGGCCTCCTATGTAGGAAGCCCTGGTGATGTGACAGTGAATGAGACACAGCCTCACCTCTGACACGGTTCCAGCAGTGTGCTACTGGCCATGTGCCAGATAGAGCAGGGTCCGTGGCCACCGAGGGCCTCCGTAAGAGGGAATCAGGGAGCGGAGGCAGGCTGCTCTTGAGGGCTTTAGAGGGCTTCATGCCCCGGGTAGGGCTTCTGTGATTCTGCGGGGTCTCCAGTCCTTCCAGCTTGAGCACTGCACTCGACTCATGGTAAATATTATCAGCAACTTAGAATATTTAGGCACTCCCCTCAGTTTTATGTTCGTCATATACAGGCTTTCACAAACCATTTTCTTTTTTCTTTTTCTAATCATAACATTCCATTCCTAGGGTATGTTTGTTAATTTTCATTTCACTGGGTTGTTTTTTTGATTGTGTGTGTGTGTGTGTTTGTTTGTTTGTTTGTTTGATACGGAGTCTCACTCTGTCACCCAGGCTGGAGTGCAGTGGCGCGATCTTGGCTCACTGCAACCTCCGCCTCCCGGGTTCAAGCGATTCTCCTGCTTCATCCTCCTGAGTAGCTGGGATTACAGGCATGAACTACCACGCCCGGCTAATTTTTGTATTTTTAGTAGAGACGGGGTTTCACCATGTTGGTCAGGCTGGTCTTGAATTCCTGACCTCGTGATCCGCCTGCGTCAGTCTCCCAAAGTGCTGGGATTACAGGCGTGAGCCACTGCACCTGGCCTTTGCTTTTTTTTTTTTTTTTTTTTTTTGCCCGTTCTACTTCACTCTCATGTGCTTTCCCATTGGTTTGTGGTTTTGCTGTTGCATCAGCTTCCTTCTATAGGTCAAGGCTATGTAATGTACCCAGACCCTGGTCCTGGGGCTGAGGGACCAGTTCTGAGGGATGCTTGATGCTTTTACAGTTCTTTAGCCTTTAATCTTTTTGTAGAATGCCAATGAGACTCCTCCTTCCAGGACAGCTGGGAGGGTCGGGAAGTCCTCAGTGAATGTTCATCATCAGGAAAACCTTGGTGGATGATGGGCAGGAGGGAAGCTTCAGCAGTGGGTCCCCCTCCCTGAACTGCTGGTTAGAGAGAGGCTTGAGTGCTGTAGACAAGGAGGTCTTTTATATTGTGTTGTGCATTCTAAGTGGATGGTCTTTGGGGGAAGAAAACAATGTAGAGTAAAATCAGGACAATTTGGTCTATTTGAGCGAAGGTCTTTCTGAACTCCCAAGTGTTTGTTCCCTCCTTCCCCTCAGAGCACAATGGTTATTTCTTAAATTTATTTCCTATGAGACAGGAGTAATTATGGGCAGAGGGACAGATGAGAGCTTCAAGCATTGTCCAGTTCTGTCCCGGGACAGCCCTCTTGGAGAGAGAACCACCTGTGGCAGAGACTGTGGATTGCTGTAAATTATCTTATTAATTGGAACATCACTTGTTATATTGGAGCAATTATAGCATGTTCAAAGCTTTGCTGGAAGGCCCTCCAAATGCCGACACACCCTGCTGGCATTTCAGTAGTGCTGGTGGCCTCTGTATTCGTGAGTTTTGGACTCAGTGGAATGGAGCTGGGCTCCATAGCACCTTCGGGGTCCAGAAGCCAGTGGCATGGTGCATGACCGTGGAGACGCTGCCCATGAAGAACATAGAGCCAGCCTGAAGGAGAATGGTACCACCGAAAACCAGTGGGTTGAGAATGAGACCCTTGCATCAGCAAAGTGAGTAGCCTACCCATTAGGCATGGTATGAATCGGAAACCTTAGTGAAACAAAAACACAAAGAGAGGAGAATCGGGACCAAGAAGGAAGGCGGGTGAAGCCGCATCATCTCCCTCCTCGGGCTGGCTCAGGGCCCCATGAGATGCAGGTTTTCTGGCACAATTGGCTCCTCCTGGAGTCCTGCCTCAGGCTGGTCAGAATTCCCATGCTCCAAGAGTCAGAAGGGACACATTAGAAAGTCTGTGTGGTCTCCTCAAAAGCCACATGCCTCATGTCAGTTTTCATTTCTTCCTCGTCGCGATGGATCTTTCGAGTGCTTGCCAGGGGCCAGGCCCTGCTGTAAACACCTTTCATGCCCTAACTTGGCAGATTCCCTGAGAACTCTGAAGTAGGGCCTATGTCACTCTCCTGCCATTTATAGAGGGGCTGCATCTCCCCAAACCACACACAATTCGTGTTAGGCTGAATTGTGACTCCCTCCACCCCCTGCACATTCCTATGTTGAATGATGCCTTAACCCGAACCCCAGGATGTGAGTGTTTGGAGAAAGGGCCTTTACAGTGGTGACTGGTGAAAGTGGGTCCCTTAGGGTGAGCCCTCATCCAACATGACTTGTGTCCCTGTAGAAGGGGGCGATCAGGACACAGACACACAGAGGGAAGACCATGTGAGGACACAGGGAGAAGATGGCCATCTGTGCACCGCAGAGAGAAGCCTCGGGAGAAACCAGCCCTGCCAATGCCTTGATCTTGGACTTCCAGCTGCTAGACTGGGAGGGGATACATTTCTGTTGGTTCAGTCACTGTGTGGTATTTTTTATAGCAGCCCAAGCTGACTAATACTCCCAACTCGTGGAATACCAGGATTCCTCTTAACTCACAGAGCTGTGGACAGAGTGAAAAGGAAAAGGAATGAGGTTCGTGCTAATGAGCTAGAGGTGGGAAACCCAAGAATCATGTTTGAGTCCTGCTCCAGCTGGGTGGTGCGTGTGTTTCCCTCCAGGTGCAGGTGAGGGGAAGTGCTGAAGCCTCGGCCTCCTCACAGGTATAGATGGACGAGAGTGCACACCTTTAAGAGTTGTTCTGAGGGTCAAGTAAGCCCACTGAGCACCGCGCAGATAGTCACTATTAGTAAAATAGTGATAATTTATAAAGATAACTTATGTTTTCTGAACAAAGATAAAATGCATTCTGAGTCTCTGTTTATATTTACTGCAATGAGAGTACATCTTTTTGTTAACTGAGTGAAGGGTTTAAGTGAAGCTGAGGTTTCGAATTCTTACCTAACACAGGATTCCCAGTGTTGCATTCCTCATTGCTCACAGGACGCTTTAGAAATACTGGGTGAAGATGGCAACGCCTGGTTAGGGACCTGGTTAGAGTCTGACCAGTGATATTCTCTCAAAAGCAGCAGTCTTCCAGTTTCTGAAACTACATGAGAAACCCCCATTAGCTGCCTGTGGTCCCTGGCACATGGGCTGGTGGGCATAAGGGATGCAGATGCCCCGAGTGCCACAGGGGTTCTTAGACAGGCAGGTCCTTTAAGGGTGTCTTTGATTCTATTCAGGTCCATTGAAATCTGCCACATAGAATAAGGTTTTCAAGTCATGGTAAGAGACTTCTGAGATTACAGGGGAGGTTTCTCCCCCTGGGCCTTATGTGATTTAGACTTCCATGGTGCAGTCATTGATACAGTTTGGATATTTGTCCCCTCCATGGGGGCAGATACTTCATGAAGGGCTTGGTGCTGTCCTCATGGTAACGAGTGAGTTCTCACTGTTAGTTCACACGAGAACTGATTGTCAAAAAGAGCCTGGCACCTCCCCTCCTCTCTCTCTCTCTCTCTGTCTCTCTCTCTATCACTCTCTCACTCTCTCTCTCTCGCCTTCCTCTCACCATGTGATGCCAGCTTCCTTTCACAAGTCCAGTGGGAGTGGAGGTAGACAGGAATGCACTGGCATGGGGTGGTTAGGCCAGGGTGAGGGTGTGCAGAGTGCACATCAATGGAAGCTTCCTGAGGCCCTCACCAGGTGCAGATGCTTTTTCTACAGCCTTCAGAACCGTGAGCCAAATAAACCTCTTTTTAAAATAAATTGCCCAGCCTCGGTTGTTCCTATATAGCGGTGCACATGGACTCAGACAGTGGTTGTAGGACAAAATGATGATCCTGGACCAGGACTCCTCGGGACTTCAGCTGTTGAGCCACCAGGCTAAAGTGACCTTTCCTTAGAAGGGCTGTGGCAAAGTTCAGCACATGTCATCTGTGTCCCATGTGCCGTTTCTAAAGGAAAGCCAGATTCTCTGGGAATTCTGCCTGAAAACAGAAAACATCAAGACTTCCTGTCCTGTGGACAAGTCCAGTTATGAGACTGGAATTATTCTGCGGACTAAAGACTTGGAACCAAGCATCTTAGGTACAGCCTCTTCATTGGCATAGACCCTCGCCGGTATCATCTTGAGCTGCCTGAAGCTTTCTCTGACCGCTGTCCACTCCTGTGTGGACGTGGTGTATACATTATGGTAACCTCCATTCTCCATCATGATAATCAGCCCAGGGCTCTCAAAGCCTCTTATGCAGGTTCTCTCTCTGCTTGTGAAGGGCAATACTTCCTCTGTTTGTGGGTTTTTGTTTTTGTTTTGTTTTGGCTCAGCATAAGGAAAGCTTCCCTGAGGAGGGTCAGATGGCTCTTTTCTTTTCTGGTGCTGCTTTGCATACCCTCACCCTGGCCTGACTGCCCTGTGCTGGTGCATTCCTGTCTGTTTGCACTCCCACTGGACTGGAAGCAGCTTTGAGGCAAGGACATTGTGTCACTGAGTCTGTTTCCTGTTGCAAGTAACCAGTCCCAACTCAAACTGGCTAAAGGAACAAGAGAGGAGAAAATGTAACTGTTCGCAAAGTCAAAGGGTGAAAGCTATCGAGTGTCCAGGGACAGCTGAATGGATAAACAAAATGTGATCTATGCATGCAGTGGAATATTACTCAGCCTTAAAAAGGAAGGACGTTCTGACACGCACTACAACATGGAAGAACTTCAGGGACATTGTGTTCAGTGAAGTAAGTCAGTCACAAGAAGACAAATTCTGTATGATTCCACTTACATGAGGTCCCTAGAGTCATTGAATTCATACATACAGAAAGTGGGATGGTGGGGACTTGGGTGGAGGATAGGAAATTATTTCAATGGGGAAAGAGTTATAGTTTTGTAAGATTATAAAGTTCTGGAGATAGTTGGTGTACGAAAAAGTGAATGTACTTGATGCTACAGCACTGTACACTTAAAAATGGCTAAGATGGTAAATTTTGTTATGTATGTCTTATCACAATTTGAGAAAAATAACGAAACTCACTGAGCAGCTGTGGGTGGCTGTGGCCTCAGATTTGGCTTCATGAGGACTCCTTGGCCACTCAGCGGGTGGGTCTCTCTCTCTGTCTCTCTCACACATTTATTTCCAGTGACTCCCTAGACCCTGATCTTCTCAGCTGTGTGTTGGCTCTGTCTGCAGGCTTGATGTGGTCTCTAGGCAGCCTCAGTAGCTCCACTTCAGTGTCATCTTTCTTTAAAGTCTAGAAGGAAGGAAGTCATTTGTTTTCTTGAGAACTCAAACCAAAGCACATTTTTTTACAACTCTCATCCCTTGTAGGTTGCTAAGGGACTATGTGAGTCCCTGGAGGAACTGGCCTCACTTAGTGCATCCCAAGTGTAAAAACTGCTTGGGAAACACTCACTATGAAGAAAAACGCTGTTTTCACTGTTTCAACATTAGAATTCTCTACACAACACCAACTAAACTGGTAAATGTGTTTTCTTTCCAGTCTGATCAAAACCTTGAATATAAATGGGACATCTTCAAAGAATAAGAGAAAATAGGGCTCCAACTGTAATGAACTATTGCATCTACATTTTCTACTTCCTTTTGTGTTATTGCTTAAAAGGAAGACTGTGGCATGGTCTCTTTTGAAGGGGATAATTCCAATTGTGATGAGAATGTCATAAAAGGGTCACCCGGCTTTTGGTGGACAGGATTCCCATTTCAGCCCTGGCTGGAGCAATTCTGGCTTCACTGGGGGAATAAGAACCTTGCTTCCTTTAAAAAGACAGAAACAATTTATCCTTTTGAGAGCATTTCTCATATTTGCTGAAATCAGTTGACCTTAAGCTGTAGAACAAATTTCATATTATTTGTATTATGTTGACATCAGGATTTTAAAAAGAAAAGATTCAACACCAAGAAAGTATTTATTTATCCATTTGTGGGTTTTTCATCATTTTTGTTTGTTTGTTTGTATCTGTAGGACTTTGATTCTCATCGGAAACCATGAAAATGCTTTTCCAGTGTTGGGGTGGTCACTAATTAATTCTCATTATATCTGGCTGCCTGCCATTTTCTCTTTGCTTTCAAGAAGGTTGGTTAAATGGCCTGATTGTTCATAGACAAATAACAAAAGAATTATAGGATAATGACTTTTTTTTTTTTTTTTTTTTGAGATGGAGTCTCGCTCTGTTGCCCAGGCTGGAGTGCAGTGGCACGATCTTGGCTCACTGCAACCTCCACCTCCCGGGTTCAAGTGATTTCTGGCTAACTTTTGTATTTTGAATAGAGACGGTGTTTCACAATGTTGGCCAGGCTGGTCTCAAACTCCTGATCTCAAGTGATCTGCCTGCCTTGGCCTCCCAAAGTGAAGATAAGGACTTTAAAAAAAAAAAACAAAAACAAACAAACAAAAAAATAAAACTAATCACTACTGAGGAAACTCCAATACAAAGTCTTGCTTTTCTAAATTAGAATTTAAAAATTCCTAGCTAAATAAACCCTAGAAATCATCTAATCTGATCCCAATTGAAGTGAGTCTGTAAATGAAGATCCTGAAGGCCCCAGGGGTTGACAATGTGCCCAACACCCCATGGTTTATGGCAGAAGAGCTCAGGCTAGAACTTGGAGATCTGAGCTGTTTCTCTGCAGCAGCCCCAATTCCCCGCCTAGAAATGTAATGGAAGAAGGATACGAGAGATTTGATGTTCCATTTTTTTAGAACTCTCTCAAATAATGGAAAAAGATACTTCCTATTTAACTGCATAATAATCCCGGGATGTGACTAGGAGGGAGGAAAGAATGGAGAGAGAGAGAGAGAGAGAGAGAGAGAGAGAGAGAGAGAGAGAGAGAGAGAAATAGTTAGTTAGGTGGATAGTCTCACTTACTTCTGAAAGTTTATTGTGAATATGACTGTGTATTTATGGGCCAAAGATTGAGACTGTATTTTTAGGTAGTTAACAAAACTCAAGTTTCTTCACTTGGATAGGAGACTATAATATTGACCTCAGCTAAATTTATTTTATTTTTCATTAAAGGTGATATAAAACATTCAAAGGCGATTTGTAGTTACTAATTGATGTATGAGTGAATAATTTTTATGCCTTATCAGGAACACGGGAAATTGGGAACACAGGAAAATGCTGATTTTGTTTTTAATGTCACATGTCCTGATTTTTTGCTAAGTAAGTTATGGTTCCTGAGGATGAACTTTGATGTTTGGATCCCTCATGAATGTTTAATATGTCTGACAACTCCTTACACATTTAGGTTGCAGGTTTTGGCCAGGCTCTAAGGCTTCCGAAGAGCGAGCCAGTGGCCCTGCCTGAGCCCCGTGGGTTTCTCCTCTTCCTGTTAACTTATATGTCATGTAAATAGTGGCCGTTGGAGAATGAGTGGTATCCAGCTTCCCACAGAAGCCTGGATGAGAGCATAAAAATAGATCGTTTGGAAAAGGGCCCGTGACCCTCTGTCACCCTTGTTCTGGGTAAAGGAAATGAAGGAGGTGGAAGCCGAGAGGAGAGGAGCATAGACATTCCTGAAGTCCCAGAACGACGGGCACGCGCCTCCCAAGTTCTAGCCCGGTCCCGGGGGGCTGCCCCGCAGCAGCAGCCTTCCCGGCCACCTCACCCCCGCAGGGCACCAGGGACACCAGCTGCTTAGGCGGAATACCAGAAAGTGAGATGAGTGTTGTTTCCACACACTAACGGTATTATGCCTCCTGCTCTGGGTCTGAGCAGCAAAGGGAAAATGTGAGAATATTGTGGGAATTAAGGGCAGAAGGAGGCCGAGCCAGCAGGATGCTGGAACTAAAAGGAGCGTCTGTTCAGGGCCCAAGATCGGCTGTGGCTGGCAGGGCTGTGCTGGCGTGCACACGGTCTAAACAGCATCCCTGTGTGGCCTCTGGAGCCTCCCACGTTGTGGAAACACATCTTCATAGGGGAGGGGTGCATGGCCTCAGGAAGACGGCTTTTGCCTTAGTAGAAGTTGGCCTGCACCGGAAAACCCTCCATGTAGTTGCTTTGAGGGACCATTATGCTCACTGTGGTGCCCTTATGTCTCCACCTCTGAAGCAGAGAGACAGGCTGCCACAGGCGCAGGGCTCTGGAGAGAGCAGCGGGCTTAATGCCTCCGCAGATGCCCCTGTCCAAGACGGTGCAAATCCCATCTGCTCCTCACCCCGGTCATCCCCACCCCGGGCCATCTCCTGGGCTCTTCTAGGTACAGAGCTGAGGATACAGGCACCTGATCGCCCCACAACAAGGAGCTCAGCCCACGTCCTGTCCTCATTTTTAACATTGCTAAAAATGTTCATGGTAGTTTAACCGTGAACATCAAATGTACAAGTTGAGCAACAACAACAATTCTGCCTGTTCTTATGGTGAGCCACATTTCTAGAAATGAAGTGAACTCATGCAAAAGGGTTTGCAGTAGGTAGATCATCCTCACTTGACTGGTGCATTTGACTATACGATTTTTGGTGCACCTCCCCCAGCCCTGCCGGCTCCTGTTCTGTGCTTGCTAGATGCTCAGCAGGGACAGTGCAGAGGAGCACTTAGAAAGGGACCCAGGCTCCCGCTGCCTCGCTCTCCTCTTCCGTTAAGCATGGGCACATCTCGAGGAGCTGTGCAGACCTAAGGGAAGTGGAGATGGTAGGTGCCAAGCACAGCGCCTGCAGGGTGTAGGTTCTGTGTAAAGTGTAGCTGCTGTCAGCATCCTCCTTGCTGTCTGCAGTCCCAGTCACTGGAAGTGACTGCACTGACCTGAAGATGTGACACTCACCCAACTTATCTGGGAATGCCAAGGCCCATCTAATAAGTGGATTAATTGCTGTGGCATTGAGCTGTGTGGCACTCTGTTAGCCGACTTGCATCTCTGAGCACAGGCAAAGACCAAGGACCTTCAGGAGAAATGGCCCAGGAAGCCCAAGTCTCCCTGTGCTGAAGTCCTTGGGATAAACATGGAATCTGATGCTTTGAGCAGCCCCTTCTCCAAATAAAGGGTTAAGTCCTGTCACCCGGTCAGGAACTGGTCTGACAGAGGGAACTACACAGCCAGAGTGCCCCAGAGTTGGTGCTAATTGAATGATAAACAAAGCCACTTTCATGGGAATTGCTGGGCTTGCTGTTTTCTGGGACAAGCACTGTGATAACAGGAACAAAGTGGATTTTATTTTCCTTCAGCCTCTTCTCATTTGGTGAAATTCCCAGGCGCCATGGGAGTGCATTGAGGGCTTCTGAGTCATGGCATGGGGTCTTCTAGAGCCTTGAGGCACGGGGACTCTGTAAACAGGGATGTGAAGCACCAGGGATTGCCCCCGTGGCTTTGTGGGAACCACTAAGAGCAATGTCAGTCATAGAAACAGGTACTGCATGCTGTGCTGGGTATGTGCTCCTCTCTTATATGACTCTTTGAAAGCTCAACCAACCAACCATAAGGTGGGCATATTAAACTTGATTAATAAACTTTTTTTTATTCCAAAGTTCTGTGCTGCTTCTTGGCATGAGACCCTAGGAACTGATCAACCAACTGTCCACCTACTCCTCTGAACCAGACCCCTGAGCAGTATTTCCACGTCATGCTCTGAACCTCTCCCTCTAACCTCTAAGCCTTTGCTAGTTCATTCATTAATTCACAATGTGAATGACATGGAGCTCCTACAGGTGCCAGCCCAGTGCTGGGGACACAGCAGTGAATGGCAGGAGTGGCCCCTGCCCAATAAGCAAAGAACCCATGAGGTGGTTTTGTCAGAATGCATGCCACCCATCCTTCCAGGATGGCATTCATCAAATGCCACTTGCTCCAGGAAGCCTTCAGATGAAGCTCCCTCCAGATGAAGCAAGTCTCCCTGTGGGTCCTCCTGCAGCTCAAGAGCTGCACCTCACATGTTCCTCCATGCAGTAGTAATTTGCACATGGTCTCATCTGGCTGACACAAGCAGGACACGCAGGCACTCCCTGTTTCGCTTTTGTTTCTCTCTTCCGTTCTCCGGCTGGTGTAGGCCATGTTAGTGGAAAACTGGTGCCCAGCAAAGACATTTTATTTTTTATTTTTATTTTTTAATTTTATTATTATTATACTTTAAGTTTTAGGGTACATGTGCACAACGTGCAGGTTACACATGTGTACATGTGCCATGTTGGTGTGCTGCACCCATTAACTTGTCATTTAGCATTAGGTATATCTCTTAATGCTATCCCTCCCCCCTCCCCCTGACATTTTATTTTTTTATTTTTATTTTTATTTTTTGAGACAGAGTTTTGCTCTCTCGCCCAGGCTGGAGTGCAGTGGCATGATCTCAGCTCATTGCAACCTCTGCCTCCCAGGTTCAAGTGATTCTCTTGCCTTAGCCTCCCGAGTAGCTGGGATTACAGGCACACACCACCACACCCAGCTAATTTTTGTATTTTTAGAAGAGACGGGGTTTCACCATGTTGGCTAGGATGGTCTTGAACTTCTAACCTCAGGTGATCCGCCTGCCTCGCCTCCCAAAGTGCTGGGATTACAGGCATGACCCGCCGCACCCAGCCCCAGCAAAGACATTTTTAATGGAAAAGAAATACGGACAAACACAAATGGAGATAAGTCATCTTAGTACTGGGAATAGAAGTGAGGGTGCAGAGGGATGGTTTTAAACTCCATGCATCTTTGTTTTTCTATCCCAGCTTTAATAGAAAGAAATAATAAATTCAGCAAACACTTATTTTAGGACATTTCCTGTGGGCCATACTGGGAGGAGGGGCGGTCAGTCACACAACTGCATCTGCTCTATGGATTTACAGGTCAGTCATAGCAGAAAACGTGCACATGTATTCATGACACAAACTGAGCATTTGCCAGGCCTGGCCTTGAGATGGTCATGGTATTTACAGTTGGGTGCAGCAGACACACCATTCCCAAGGGTCTTAACAGTATGTTCATACAAACAGAACATTAGTACTGGGCTTTTCTATAATGGAAACATGATTAAATGTTGAAAACATTAGTGCGGAAATTGGTGTCTCGTCCTTTCCCCCAAAATGGACAAGGCACTGTGTTTCAGACTTTGTATTTGATTTTTCAGAAGTTTTACTATTAAGTGCTTATGTGTAATTTTCTTTTTATTAATCCTTCTTAGGTTTTTTGTTTGTTTGTTTTGTTTTTTAACTTGTGGCTTGATTTCTTGAGTCTTTTAGGAAATTCTCAGTATGTATATTTTCCAATATTGCCTCTGCCTCATTCAATTTCTCCACAACTTCTTGGACTCCAATTATAGGTATGTTAGAATTTTTAAGAATCATTTCTCATGTCTTACTGTCTTTTGTGTATTTCTCAGTCTTGTTCCTCTTTATGCTTCAGACTGCATATTTTCTTCCTATTTTTCTCCCAGTTCACTCACAATTTCTTTTGCTGTGTTTAGTCTGCTGATAAAATCATGAACTGAATGCTTAATTTCATTTATTTTGTTTTGAGTTCTAGAGTTTCCATTTGATTATTCTCTCTTTCTCTCTCTCTCTCTATATATATATGTATACACACACACACACACACACACACACACACACACACACACTCTTTAAGTTCTAGGGTACATGTGCACAATGTGCAGGTTTGTTACATATGTATACATGTGCCATGTTGGTGTGCTGCACCCATTAACTCGTCATTTACATTAGGTATTTCTCTTAATGCTATCCCTCCCCCTGCCCCCAGAATGGCAATCATTAAAAAGTCAGGAAACAACAGGTGCTGGAGAGGATGTGGAGAAATAGGAACACTTATACACTGTTGGTGGGACTGTAAACTAGTTCAACCATTGTGGAAGACAGTGTGGAGATTCCTCAAGGATCTAGAACTAGAAATACTATTGACCCAGTGATCCCATTACTGGGTATATACCCAAAGGACTATAAATCATGCTGCTATAAAGACACATGCACACGTATGCTTATTGCGAACTATTCACAACAGCAAAGACTTGGAACCAACCCAAATTTCCATCAATAATAGACTGGATTAAGAAAATGTGGCACATATACACCATGGAATACTATGCAGCCATAAAAAAGAATGAGTTCATGTCCTTTGTAGGGACATGGATGAAGCTGGAAACCATCATTTTGAGCAAACTATCACAAGGACAGAAAACCAAACACTGCATGTTCTCACTCATAGGTGGGAATTGAACAATCAGAACACCTGGACACAGGGCAGGGAACATCATTTGATTATTCTTAATGGACTTCAGTTCTTTGGTGAAATTCTTTTTGCTTCTGCTTTCTTAAACATTCTGTTCAGTTATGTTAGTATCTGTGGCTTTTAACATCAATTTTTGAACTAGCTGTGGGCGTTTTTTCTGTGTGTGGGGTGGTGGCAGTCTTGGTTTTCATTTGTCATGTTTCCTGGCATTGATGATCATTTTTTTACAATTAAATATTTGATACTGTATTTTTAGAGTATAGACAAAGTCAGGCTCTGGGTGGGGGAGGCATGTTCTTTAGAGAGGATATAATTTTTCTTCCAGGCTGCCTAATCAGATCCTGTCATGGTCCTCTTGTTTCTAGTTTGTAGCCCTTCAAGGGTCTCACCTTGAAACCTTGTGGTGTTTGCAAAGGCCCCTCTTCCTAGGTGCATCTTGAACTGCCGTTTTTGGTTACTTAGCATCCACTAAGAGACTGCCACAATCCCTGCTGATCTTTTTTAGATTCGTAGCAGCTGGCTTTGTCTTGTTTACTGGGCATTGGGCCCTGTACCTCTGCCACTTAGGACTCAGAAATGCCTTGAGGGGAAACATGCTCAGAGTGTTGACTCTGTCTCTGCAGTCCTCATTTCTCTGAGACCTTGGCACTTCCAGAACTGGTGCCTTGGTAGCTCTGAACTCCAAACTTGGTCTCCCCAGAACAGTGTGATTACCACTGCTAGTTTGTGTATGGCCCCTATACCACATGCTTCCAAACGGGTCCATGTCTGAGAAGGAAAAATGGCCATGGATCTCCTGCTCCCTTCCCTGGAGGTTTTGGCCCAGTAAGCCCTGGCTGCCTTGGGCGATCTGAATGGGTTCAAACTATTGTTGTTAGTATTTTGTGTAGCTTTCATAATTGTCCTTAGTGGAAGTTTAACTCCTGCACTGTAACTGAAAATTAACATGCTCTCTCTTTCTAGTACTGGCTTTGAGCTGATGCAGCTGATGTGGCCATCTTTGATAGATAAGGGTTTACAGATTGTAATGTCTCCAAGATTGTTGATAAGCATGTTTTTCCACCTTTCTTGACGACCTGCAGTGAACAATCTAACATTCTGGCTTCTTCTACCTCACTGGATAAACATCTGTTTAACCTCTTTCTCTTTAGCCATAACATTGAACATTTGTGTAAATTATTCATCCTCCCTTTTAGCCTACTAATGAACCCTCTGTGGTGGGTAGCAGTATTAATCCTATTTATCGGTGAGGTGGTAAACTGAGAAAGGTAAAACAAATTACTTTAAATTCAAACACAAACCTCCGGCTTGTTGAGCTATTTTTATTATTCCACAGTTATGTTTTAAACATACTCTCATAGCATATTTTTTTTTTGCTCTTTTTCATTTTAAATACTCTTAAGTCTTGGGGATATTAATTTATAGAGTTTTCAATAATTTATAATTATTGAATAATTGATAAGTTAACTTTAATTTCAGTGAATTGTTCGTCTTTAAATATGAAAGATTAGAGATGTATGCTTCAGGTCAGGATGGAGTAACAGAGACTTGATTTATTATCCTGACTGAACAAACAAAAAATGGACAAACTATATGAAATAATGGCTTCCAAGCCAATGGGCATCAGGCAGTGAAAGACAACGATCCCTGAAAAGTAAGAAACAAACATGGTGACAGTACAGTTGTCCCAGTTTACCGCCTAGACAAAGTTTCCAGGTGTAAGGCAGGGAGAGGAAACTCACGCAGAATCTGGGAGACTCTGAGTTGGGCATTTGGAGTTGAAACTCCAGGGGACCACAATGACTTGCAGGATGGAGAGAAGGCTGAACAGAGAGAGAGCTGTTGGAGATCTGCAGAGGATCCGCCATACGTATTCAACTGAGCGTTGGGTAGGAGGACATTAGGGACATTGAAGGCCAGGGAAAGAACCAAATGAAAAGATTGGAAAGAGAGGCTAACCCAGTGCTAACTCAAAGCTGGGAAGAGTGCCTGTTCTCATGAGCAAGAGAGGAAAGTATCAAGATTCACTGGGCATTGAGTGATATACAGAAGGGTTTTGCCCAGTAGTGGGGGATAACTTGCACTAGATGGAGCATGACTCCAGGCCTTCCTAACAAATGTGAAGAGCAAGACCCAAAAAGATAAAAATGTTTCTAAGCAACTTAACTGCATCCCAGAATAAAGTTCAAGAATATTTATAAGAATACAAAAATATCCAGCATCCAAAAACATAAAATCACAGTGTCTGGCATTCAATCAAAAATTACCAGGCAATCAAAGAAGCCTGAAAATAGCAATATAGTTAAGAGAGAAAGCAAAACAAAACTAATGAGGACACAAAACTAATGTTAAGATTATGAACATTAAGACAAGGACATTAAGACATTTATTTTTACTATGTTTAATGTGTTCAAAAAGTTAAGTAGAGTCGTGGAACATATAAAAAGACCCAAACCAAACTTCACTGGAGAGAGAAACTCCAGTGTCTGAAATGAAAAATAACCTAGATGGATTTAACATTTGGCTGATTTTGGATAAAATTACAAAAGCAATTCAATGAAGAATAGATAGTCTCAACAAATGGTAGTGGTACCATTGAATATCCATATTTAAAAAACTAAACTTTGTTGATATATATGCCTCACACCATGTGTAAAAATTAACTGAAAATGGATCATAGGCTTATGTTTATAGTTTCTTCCAAAACTATTACACTTTTGGAAGAAAACAGAAAAACATGTTTTGTGACTGGATTAGGCAGATACTATTTTAGATACAACACCAAACACACTATTCCTAAAAGAACAAATTGATAAACTGGACTTAAATTACAAGATTTTGTTCTTCAAAAGATTCTTAAGTGAATATATGCACAGGCAACAGACTCAGAAGAAATATTTGCAAATCATATATATGATAAGGGACTTGCATCTAAAATATATAAAGAACTCTTACAACTGAGTGTTAAGAAAGCAAACAACCTAGTGAAAAAAAGGAAAAGGATTTGAACAAACATTTTACCAGAGAACACATAAAAATGCCTATTAATAAGCATACAAAAAGATGTTCAACATCATTAGTAATTAATAAAGTTGCAAATTAAAAACACAGTGTTATACCACTACGCCAGCACTAGAATGGCTAAAATTCGAAATGCCAACCATACCAAGTAGGGGCAGGATTGATGGTGGGGATGTGAAATGCTGCAAGTATTCTGGGAAGCAGCTTTGCATTTTCTTAAAAAGTTACATAGACACTTACCATATGGTCCAGCCATTCCATCCCTAGGTATTCACCCAAAAGTGTCTAAAAATACTCATTGCAGCTTTATATGTAGCAGCCCCATAGTGGCAACAACCCAAGTGTCCATCAACAGGTAAATGGACAGAGAAAATGTGATATGTCCATACAATGGAAAAGTACTCACCGTTGAAAAGCAATGAGCTATGTATACATTCTACAATGTGGCGGAATCTCAAAATAATTTCTTAAGTGAAAGTAGAGGAAAAAAAGAGTTTATATGAATGATTTTATTCATGTAGAATTTTAGGAAATGCACACTAAAGCAAAGTGACATAAACCAGATGAGCAGGAGAAGGGGCTGGAGGAAACTCTTGGAATGATGATGTAACTGTTAATTATCTCAATCATGATGATGGTTTCATGGACGTTTACATATGACAAACTGACCGAATTATTTACTTTAAGCATATCCAGTTTTTTGTATATTAGTTATACCTCAATATATAAAGGTGTGGTTTTTAAAGTTTCATGAAAAATTAAACATTTAAAGTTCACTTTTTCTCTACCAAGGTCTATTAGATAACTTAGGATAGTTGTTAATTTAGGCATAACTCCAGACATTTTGTGTGCTGATTAATATATTTTAAAATTCTAGGCCACGCGTGGTGGCTCACACCTGTAATCCCAGCACTTTGGGAGGCCAAGGCGGGCAGATCACGAGTTCAGGAGATCGTAGCCATGCTTGCTAACATGATGAAACCCCGTCTCTACTAAAAATACAAAAAGAAATTAGCCGGGTGTGGTGGCAGGTGCCTGCAGTCCCAGCTACTCGGGAGGCCGAGGCAGGAGAATGGCGTGAACGCGGGAGGTGGAGCTTGCAGTGAGTCGAGATCACGCCACTGCACTCCAGTCTGGGCGACAGAGCGAGACTCCGTCTCCAAAAAAAAAAAAATTCTCTAAGGTTTCCTTAGGAAAAGAATTCGTGCTAAATAAAAATAGTAATTTTTAATTCATATTGAAATGACGTGTGACCAAAAAAGTGCTTCACTTCACATATGTGGGGATACCATATAATTTTTAGAATGTTCATTCTGTCTTGGTAGAGATGGAGCTTGTTTACCTCATTGGAGTGAAGTGCATTCCATTTGTGAATTGATAGTGCAAATTCTGTAGAGATCAATTTTTTTTAAAAAACCAGGATATTACATCCTGTATGTGGAGGTAATTTAGTTGAGTGGTCAGGGCTTTCCCTTGCTTTTTTTGGATATAATTCCTCACTGGTCTGAATAATCCACAGACCAGTGCTCATTGGCACCTGGATTAATGAAAACCCCCTAGGTATTTCATCTTCAGAAATCACATATGCTGTTGATAATTCCTTTCAGAGTATTCTTAGTAAATGTCATTTTTATAAAGTGTGATTCTGGTATTCAGTTTTATTATTGGTTTTCATTTGAAGGGTAAAGAAGGTAGCCTTTTTTTCAGTATAATTAAAATAACACATATTTCAAGCATGTGAGGTGATAGTCCTGTGAGTTGTAGGGAAAACAGCATTATTTGGAAATCTCTAAATTTCAATACCCTCTCCAGGAAATGAATAATATGGAGTTTTTTTCTACATTAATATTCTCTTATCAATCCTCATTAGTTTTGAAACAGAAAACAAACTGACCAGTATTTCTAATAATATTATTTTACTGACCATGGTAGATTTGTCCATTTCTTGAAGCCTGGTTTAAAAAAAGAAAAAATATAAAAGGTAAGATGTTTTAAATATCCAGAAATAATGCAGCTGCTGGGCAAGAAACCAAACAGAAATTCTGTCAGAGGAATGTGCCTGGGCTCAGGCATGGGACACAAGCAGGTTTGCGTTCTGGCCCACCTGCGAGGGTGGCTTCTGCACCCCACGGTGTGGCCTTTGAAGCAGCGGGGTTTGACCTGGAAAGCAGCAGCATGGGTTTGCACCCTCATAGTGCTCGATGTTGATGGCCCAGTTACCAGCTGGGGGGAGGGTAGGGACCAAAGGAAGGTGGAGGACACCTAGGCCGCCCGGCTGCCGCAGGGCCTGCACTTATGGTCTTTATTGGGAGAAGTCGCCTGCTGGTTTGCAGAGGAAAGGCCATGCCAATTCTAAAGTGAGGTGCAGCCTAGATCATGGAGTGGAGAGTACATTACAGGACATCAGCCTTTGTGGGGGATGGGGCTGGGAGGACCAGCCCAGGCGGCCCAATGTGCATCTCCTCACATGACCAGCTCGTGGTAATGGGCTGGACACTGTGGGGGACTGAATTAGGTCGCTTTATTTTTGGAAACAGTGATGGGTGAGAATAAACCCATGCTTGTGGGTGCAGGGCTGGCCGCCTCCTCCAGCCTATTACGGGTAGTGATGTCATGTTCAGTATGGCCATGGATGACAGAAAGCCTCAAAGTCAGCACTGTTTCTTGTGGAACATGCAAAAGCAGCAGAGATTATGACTTCTCCAGTCCTACAACCGAGGTCTCTCTGCTTCCTGTGTTCCCGCTACAGAACCACGAAGCTGCCCTGAGACGCTCACTCACGCTGTGGGGATGTCAGAGAGCCCCATCGGACCCAAATCCACGATGCTCCGGGCTGATGCGTCCTCGACGCCCTCCTTTCAGCAGGCTTTTGCTTCTTCCTGCACCATTTCCAGCAACGGCCCTGGGCAGAGGAGAGAGAGGTAAGAAGATGGATCTTTAAACTTGGCACAAGTTCCCCTTAAAGACCCAGAATGCTGAGAGGCATGTGGGACCAGCGGGGGCTTGCTCTTCAGAGAAGCTGAAGCTAGACCAGGCAGGGACTGGCCTGAAGATGGGGCGGGGCAGGGGACCAGGGCTGTGTGCACGACACTGCTACCGCCGGGGACAGGTGTATGTGGTGACATACGAGAAAATATAGGGACATACAGGAAATACAGGAAAAATCAGTCTTAGAGGGCTTCTGGTTTACAGAAAGACCTGGGGGTGGGAGAGGGTGGGTATTAACAGGGAAAAATGGCCTATTTCTGCTTCACAAAGATACTACCCCTGAGGACATTCATACGTGAGACCATTCCACTTGCTCAGAGTAGGAATAAGTTTCTTTATGCTTTGTTGTATGAACACGTAGCTCCCTATTTAACTTTTTAAATTCTACCTCTGTTCTCCTTAAAATAAAAGAGGAGCCCTCATTTAAGGACATTACGCATAGACTCTGTACCCATGAATGTTCCATTGCTAGTGAAATACGTGTGTCACGTGGTGTGGTTTTAGCTGTCTTTCCGTACTCGTAAGTGGTTGGTAATTTCCAGTAGTCTTTGTGGTATCCGTTAATCAACTGGTTCATCTAGCAAGCATGGATTGAGGACTGATGGTGTATCTGGCAGATAAAGGAGATGGGGCAGAGGGATCATGCTGCGAGGAGGAGGGGACCCACAGTGAACCAACGGCCTGGCTGCGGGGGATGAATGTGGGTGGCATCCCTGCCTAGTGCTGTGGGACAAGACGGGAGGGCATTTCTACTCCCGAGGGCACACGTGTATGTGGCCACAGGTGCTGGCTAAGGGCTAGGAAAAGGCTTCCCAGTGGGTGCACAGCTGAGCTGCGTCTTAAAGGACGAAAGGGCCTTGACCCGGTGAAGATGCAGGAGGGAAGGCGCAGGGGCCGAGGGAGCAGCATCTGCGCATGTGGAGGCCTTCATGGGGCGGCTCCCCTGGGTGCCCTCATGCGGGCTGCAGCATCCAGGCATGAAATGGGGGCTTGAAAGGCAGGCAGCGTGAGCTCAGAGAGGGCCTTAGTGTACATATTTTGGAAAATACCTCCTGTGCTGCCTGGAGGGCCTCAGCACCCACTTCCCCATCCCTGTCTTCCCGTGTGGGTGACGCTTGCTGGTCTTCAGGTGTCTCTTTGTACCTTACATGCTGTCTTGGTCGGCTTGTCTTTTGAACAGCTCCTCTTCTGCAGAACGCCAGTGGGTGGAGAGCAGCCCCAAGCCCATGGTTTCCCTGCTGGGGAGCGGCCGGCCCACCGGAAGTCCCCTCAGCGCTGAGTTCTCCGGTACCAGGAAGGACTCCCCAGTGCTGTCCTGCTTCCCGCCGTCAGAGCTCCAGGCTCCTTTCCACAGCCATGAGCTGTCCCTAGCAGAGCCACCGGACTCCCTGGCGCCTCCCAGCAGCCAGGCCTTCCTGGGCTTCGGCACCGCCCCAGTGGGAAGTGGCCTTCCGCCCGAGGAGGACCTGGGGGCCTTGCTGGCCAATTCTCATGGAGCGTCACCGACCCCCAGCATCCCGCTGACAGCGACAGGGGCTGCCGACAATGGCTTCCTGTCCCACAACTTTCTCACGGTGGCGCCTGGACACAGCAGCCACCACAGTCCAGGCCTGCAGGGCCAGGGTGTGACCCTGCCCGGGCAGCCACCCCTCCCTGAGAAGAAGCGGGCCTCGGAGGGGGATCGTTCTTTGGGCTCAGTCTCTCCCTCCTCCAGTGGCTTCTCCAGCCCGCACAGCGGGAGCACCATCAGTATCCCCTTCCCAAATGTCCTTCCCGACTTTTCCAAGGCTTCAGAAGCGGCCTCACCTCTGCCAGGTAGGTGTGTTTCCAGCTGGTTGGAAGGGCCCCTCTGTCCATTCACTGGGGAAGGGAAGGGTTCAGACCTGCAGCTGAGCTGGCATATCTCTAGTGCTGGGCTGGGCACCTGGAGAGGAAATCCAGAGCCGTTGGGGTACTTTTCCATTTTCCTCGTCCAAAACCAAGCACTGGCTCAGGCTTTTCATTCACTCTTCTTGGCTTCTGTGTTTGGCCACCTTGGATTCCTTCCAGTTGTAGAAAGTGCAGACATTTGCAGTGGTTCTACTTTCCATGTCACTTGGGAACATGGCTTTTTGTAAATAACAAATTCCTTGTCAAATTAAATTAATTCATCCAAAACGTCATTATGAAATATTTCAAGTGTATAAGAAGCAGTGTGGTCTATGGGTTGAACAACACCAACCTTACCCTCTCTTTCCTCACTACCTTCCTATGTATTCTTAAAATGTATTGCAAAGGCTCAATCCAAGCATCCTGTTGTTCTGTTTTGTGTTATAAAACAGTCACTGCCTCCTCCAACTCAGTCATTTCAAAGGCAGGGTTCCCTTTCCTTAGAACATCGCTCGCTTGCTTGCCCTTGGCATGGGATTTGGACTTCTGGGATCACAGCAGATGAGAGGTTGCAAGAAGAAAAGTGCCCATCATGGTCACTGTTTTTAAATTTTGCTTTACAGATAGTCCAGGTGATAAACTTGTGATCGTGAAATTTGTTCAAGACACTTCCAAGTTCTGGTACAAGGCGGATATTTCAAGAGAACAAGGTATGTGGGGAGGATGAGGGCCTCCTTGGGCATCTGCCCTAGTGCCCGCTTCGCTGCCTTGTGTGAAGATGGGCCCTGCGGTGGGAACATCGGGCAGCCGTGGCCTTCATATGGATTGAGTTTGAGCAGGGCCCACACGTTATTCCATGCCTCCTGGGGACATGCTACAACCTTTAAGTTTTTATAGGGGAAAACTCACTACTAATGAGGGAGTTGGTGAGGAATGGGCCCCAGCCATGAGCATTCCAGTGTGTAGGGTGTAATTTCTGGCTGCTTGCACCAGCCACTGGCTTGCCAGTGATGCCAGCCCACAACTGCTGACTGTGAGGAGGAGACACACTCTCCTGCATCTCCATGAAACCAGAGAGGACAGGGTGAGGAAGCAGGAGAGACACCCTCCTCTGAGAAGTCAGGGACACTGTGTGTTTGTGAACACCTACATAAGCACTTAATAATGAGACCCGGTTGTGGACTTAGCCGCATGCCTCACACACAAACCAGACAGAGCATCTCTCTGCTTGGTACAATGTCAGGCTTTTTTTTTTTTTTTTTCTAATTTGAAATCATTAATACTAATTTTTGAGCAATGAATATTTGAATATTTTGAGCATCACTTTTTACCAGAGCATGAATAGAAGAGATGTGGGAGAGGAAGGCTAGCAAGCTCTTCTGGGCAGCCCTGCTTGGAGACAGCCCCTGGGCAATGAGGAGAATTCATAAGGTGCTTCCCTCGGCTGTGGGATGGCTTTTCTCCCTGGATGCTGTGTCTCAGCTGAGCGTACCTTCCTCTGGATACCTCATTTTGGCAGTGCATAGAGTTTGTTGCTTCTGGGATATACCTCAGAAGAGATGGTGTGTGACTGGCAAGGCAGGGCAGGGCCATGCCTCCAGTGCCTGGAAGACGGAGTCAGGATTCCTAGGAACCAAAGTGAATCCCGGTGGCCACCTGGTGGAGGCTGGAGTGAAAGAGGGAATGGGTTGGTTTAAAGCGGTGAGAAATGACAAGCTGCCCGCAGTCAGCAGGAGACCCACTTGGCTCCTCTGTGCCTCTTTACCTCAACTTCAGAAGAAAATCAAGCTCTCTCCTTATGAAGATGCCTCAGGAATGCCTAGAAATGAATAGTTGAGTGGCAGAAAAATAGCTCTGTCCAGCTCTCCACTGAAATTCTGCTATTCAGTTATGTAGATGACAGAAATGGTAAGAATGTGCATCTCTTATGATCTCAAAGAAGCGATTGTCATTTTAAGTGGAAGAGAGAGAAAAAAAAGCCTGTGGCCTGGAAAGACCTTCATTTCCCTGAATTGGCCTTTGTGAAACACTGCTCACCATGGCTGAGGGCCTCTCTGCGGCCGGATGCTGTGTGCCTGTTGCCACCACCCTGGCCCTGCTTGTGTCTCAAGAATCCCGATGACTGTGGCCCCCAGTGCCTCGGCACCTCCTCCAGCTGGCCAAACTGAGAGGTGCCTATCCAGCACCTAAGAGATTCTGCACAGACCCTTCCACTCTATTGGTGCCGTCTTCTAGGGCAGGGCGATGTGTGGGGCTGGATGCCCCCTTCTCTCATTGTGCAATGTCATTGTAGCAGGGGGGATCTGAAACAGACAGATTTGGGTTGGAGTGCACTGCTGGCTTCCTCGGCAGGGTAGCAAGGTTCGAGCCTGCCGCGGGGGTTTGCTGAGAGCAGTGCCATGTGGAAGGTACCTGCCCTTGCTGGCGCCTGGTAGATGCAGGATAAGTGGATGTGGATGTGCAGTATGTGTAGGGGCTGCTGTTGGCATGTGCTTGATCTTCAGCACACATTGTAGAAGGTTTGCTGGGAGGACCCCATCTCAGGATGGCCAACATGTGCATCGAGTGTTGGTTTTTCCAGCTGAGCTCTAAAAGGATAACTTTCATTTTCTACATATTTTACATAGAAGAGACCTGTGCAGACGAACCTTCTACTGCCCGTGTCAGAGTCTCCAAACAGCGGAAGGCTGCCCTTGGGTGTCATTTATTTGGATTTTAACTGTCAGATGTGCCTTTTTCTAGAAAAGCTACAATGACATTTCAGGGTGATGCAGGAGGAAAAAAAACACCCAGATAACCTCTTTGGGAGTGCAATTTGTCACATACTTAATTCCTTGAGGTTTCTTAAAGCTAACATAAAAATACCTCAGGAGGAAAAGAGGACCTTAAAGTAAAATCAAAATTAAGTACTACTGTCCCAGTTGTACTTCTGGGGTGTTGCTTCTCCAGATGCTTCTCCAGATGCAGGGCGCGACAGTGTGAGAAGGTGCGAGGAGACTCACTTGCCTCCCCTCCCCTCATCCCTGTCTCCAGGTGAGGAATGCGATGCCAGTGCCAGGGTGGAGCACGCAGCTGCTGTGTGCAGTGTGTGGACGCTCGTTTTTCCAACTTCAGCACACCAGGCTCCTCAGCCTACTTCTGTTTGGAAAAACAGCGGGTCTAAAATTCTCCTCTTACTCCCATTGCCTGTGCAGGAGAGCACAGCCCCCTTGCACCCCTGCAGCCTGGCAGCTGGGGCTTCCCTCCTGGCATGGGGAGAACTGGTCGGAGCAAAGCCCGTGTTCCCTCCACTGCCATCCACAGGTGCCCAAAGTCTCAGTCCCGTGAGGCTTCTACACTTTATTTACCACAGAGAAGTAGAACCATGACTTACAAAAAGAAAAGCTCTGAGGTATATCACAGTTGAAACAAAATGTAAGTGATCTTTTGTCCTACTTAGAGAAAACAAAAAAGTAGGCCCGGCGCAGTGACTCACTCCTATAATCCCAGCAACTTAGGGAAGCTGAGGTGGGAGGATCACTTGAGCCCAGGAGTTTAAGGCCAGCCTGGGCAACATAGTGAGACCCAGTGTCTACCAAAAATTTTTAAAAATTAGCTGGGTGTGGTGGTGTACACTTGTAGTCCCAGCTACTCAGGAAGCTGAGGTGGGAGGATCACTTGGGCCCAGCAGGTTGAGGCTGCAGTGAGCTATGATTGTGTCACTGTACTTCAGTCTGGGCAACAGAGTGAGAGAGCCTATCTCAAAAAAATAAAAATTAAAAACTGAAAAAATGTCATTCACGTTCAGCCCCCAAGTTTATAGACTACGCTGTGAGAAAACGTGCACCAGAATTCAGGGTTTATTCCCAGGGCCTGTGCCCTGCCCCAGGAGGCCCCCCACCCAGCCCTGGGTCCCTTGCATGGGCGGCTGCAGGCCTGGCTGGAGCTACCAGCAGTCTCGGGCATGCACGGTGAGCCTGCCTGTGTTTTCCTGCCCATCCTTCCCACTGCGTGCTGTTTAGAAGCTCCTGCTTCATCCCCAGGGGCATGTTGAGCTCCTCCCCGTGCCCTCATCCTGTGCACAGGGCCACGGTGCAGACATTGAAAAATGTGTAAAAGAAACCATTCGTTTCATCCTATGGCCAGACAGATGCCTTGGCTGTGGGTCCGGTCAGGCCTGGGGGCATGTGAGGGGCCTCTGTGGGAGTGCGCCGTGGAGGTATTTACTGAGGCATGCCGGGGGCATCCCAGCACTTACTGGTTCATGTTCTGCGCCCTGATCGCTTCCAGGCAGAGCCTTTGGCATTCCAGAAAGGCAGCATTTCCATGGCTGTAATTATGTATAACTTTATACTCTAAATCCCCAGTTTTCCCTTTTTTAAAATAAAGAGTAAATGTCTAGAAAAGAAATTCTGAGATGTAGTCTAGTTATCAGGGAACACTCTGGCTTGTCTGGGCAGTATCGAGTTGAGGTTACTATTACCCTAACCCACTCCCTCTTCTTGGAAATGCCAGATTTTGGCCATGAAGGAGAGAGATTTTTTGAAGCAATGATTATGATTAGTTGAATGCCTACCAGCCTCACCAGGGAAGCTGGGTGACCCACTGTGCGAGGCCCTGGGTTGGCGGGCACATGGGGAATGTGTCCTCAGCCCCATCCAGGCTGGGCCCATTTGGCCACATCAGCCATGGAGCCACGGGATAGGGGGCCACCTGCAGGCCAGGTTTTTGTTACTTCCTTGGTGAATCTTGGAATTTGTATTAAATTTTCAGTAACATTTTGGGTATGCCCTTTCTATCATCAGAAAATGTAATTAGAAACTTCTTTCCTGGCCAGGCGCAGTGGCTCACGCCTGTAATCCCAGCACTTTGGGAGGCTGAGGCGGGTGGATCACAAGGTCAGGAGATCAAGACCATCCTGGCTAACATGGTGAAACCCCATCTCTACTAAAAATACAAAAAATTAGCCAGACGTGGTGGCAGGTGCCTGTAGTCCCAGCTACTCCGGAGGCTGAGGCAGGAGAATCGCTTGAACCCAGAAGTGGAGGTTGCAGTGAGCCGAGACCATGCCACTGCACTCTAGCCTGGGCAACAGAGCGAGACTCCATCTCAAAAAAAAAAAAAAAAAAAACTTCTTTCCTTTTATGCTGTTGAAAGAGTTCATGTTCTCATGTTCTAAAATCTTTAAGAAAAATGCCACAGGGGGCAGTGTCCAAGCAGAGGCAGGGTGTTCTGCGACAGCCTCCCTCCCACTGCCTGTTTCTCCCCTTTGTGTATATTTGGATCTGGTCTTGTTTCTTACTCAGCGTGAGCCTTGGTTTCCTGGGCTGTCAGGTGGGGACCATCATTTGGACATCACAGGTATTGTGGGATTAACAGAAATCCTGTGTTCTTCCATGGGCAGCCCACAGGACAGTGCCCGGCACCTCAGTCTAGCTAAAGAGAGGGATGTTCCTGTCCTTTCTGCCTCCTCAACAGGCAGGCCCACCCATGAAACATACACGACACCACAGAGACCTCCCTGAAGGTCCCTCAACTGCATGGACATGTAGTTCTTCCAGCCAAGCAGAGGGATCCCGGCCAGGTCCCCACTGATCCAGTTTGCAAAAAGAGTAAGGGGAGAGGACCTACCCAAGGTTATGAGTGGGCATAGACCTTTGTCCACCCGGCAGACCTTCTTGTCTTTCTCCTCCCTTTCTCCAGCCATCGCCATGTTGAAGGACAAGGAGCCGGGCTCATTCATTGTTCGAGACAGCCATTCCTTCCGAGGGGCCTATGGCCTGGCCATGAAGGTGGCCACGCCCCCACCTTCAGTCCTGCAGCTGAACAAGAAAGGTAAGGTTACTGCTCCCTATTGATCTGTTCAGCTCATCCACAGAGAAACTCTGTTGGTTTATTTTTAGGCTAATAAAATAAAAGATGACTTTAACAATACTCACAAATTTTATTCTTAGTATTTATTTTTTCAGGTATATTTTACAAAGTTTTCACCTTATTTAAGAAAGAACATTAATTTGTTAATTTTATTTTCTATTGTTTTGAATAGGTAATCCATTTCATTGTTCAAAAATTAGAACCATGGGATAAGGCATCCACTAAGCCCGTTTTGCTTCCATTTCGGCTCTACCCCCCTCACCACCCTGTCACCTCCCTTGGGCAACCATCTGGAGTAGATTCGTGTGTGTCTTTTCACTGGTTACCTGTCCAAATGCAGGCAAACACATTTTTTATATGAAAACTAGCATACTGTTGAGTACTATTCTTGTATCTATACCCAGTAGGGCATTTTTAGATGGATTAAAAGTGATACTAGAATAAGCCTAGACTCATGAGATGATCTCTAATGCAGGTAAAGGACTATGCCTGCCTGAATCCTTTTTGCATTAAAAATCATGGCAAAAACCATAATGACTTTTGCACCAACCTGTAATAGAAGGATTTCTATTCCTTTGGGTATAATACCCAGTAATGGGATTGCTGGGTCCTATGGTATTACTGCCTCTAGGTCTTTGAGGAATCGCCACGCTGTCTTCCACAATGGCTGAACTATTTTACACTCTCACCAACAGTGCAAAAGCATTCCTTTTTCTCTACAACCTCACCAGCATCCACCAATCATATTTCTAAGATTGCTTGTAGCTGTTGTTCTCTTTGGAAGTTCTGGCTTTCTATCTTATGAAAATCCTACAGCCAATTGATCCATTCTATTGTTGGTGGACACTTGATTTTCAGTTTTCTTTTTTTTTTCTCCCCCTGCCCTTTTTGCCCCATTATACTCATCTTTGTGTGCTACCATGCTGCAGACTAGACTAAGGAAAGGGAAGCTATTCTTTCACTCTGTCTGTCTCCCCAAATGGAAATTGTGGACTGAGGGGACATTGCAGGTCGTTGGTTCCCAGTAAGGACAGCTTGATTCACTAGGAGTGGGGAAATCAGAAGCAGCTCGGATTTTAAACTCCCTGTGTTTATAGAAAAGTGAGACACCCACCTGGTTCACTCATGCTCTGTGCCTAATACCTGAGAGAATTTTTCCAAATTCTTGGATGAAACCTCTGCTTCATGCTTCCTGGAGAAAATCGCCTTGGAGTTACACCCTGTGGAATGTATGATTTGGCTGCCAGGAGGTCCAGCCTCAGGCAGGGCTGTAGCGTTTCCGGGAAACATAGATGGGTTCATTTTGGCACAGGTAATGGTGTGAGAGTGGAAGGGGTGGGGAGTGAGGCTGGGAAAGACCCGGGGCTCAGTCAAAGCTCAGCCCCGAAGCCTGTGGCTACTGATTGTCCTGAAGTGAAGTAGAGAGAAGGCGTTGTGTAGGGGAGAAAGGACAGATAATTCTTGAAAAGTAGGATCTTCTAGCATCCAGAATTCCAGCATAAGAAGCCCAACACGATGCTATTTCTGAGTGGAGATAAGGGCTTTTGTAGCTGGAGAGCTGAATTAGACCTGATTGTTGAGGACTGAAACTGAATAATGATGATGGCAGGAAAGAGGGTCGCAGGACCAAGAGCATCTGGCGAGTCTGCAGAGATGAGAGATTATTGGGAGAGGAGGAATGATGGATGGTTTTGGTTGGCTCCTTCGTTTCCGTGTAAAGTTTTAAAGCAAGGACAAATAACATTTCTGCATGCATTATCTTTTTGGAATCTAGATGAGAGTATATAACTGTTTTTACCTCTGTGCGTGCATCCTGCCTCTCTGACAGACTTTGGACTCAATCTTAAGATGAAAGGAACAAAATAGGGGATATTAGAATAGCAGACTTGAGGAAACCGAGTGTTGTTGGTGGCCTCTGGGTGAAATCTTATCTGACTGCTGTGTCTTCATCTTGTCCCTGGATTTGACATTCAGATTTCACAATCCAAGGATAGATTTGAGCAAAGAGTTTACCAGGTCATAAAGAGCCACAACCATTCACCATACCACCTCCAGTAAACTGGAGATGGGACAGCTAGGGACGTTCTGGATGCTGTTCTCCAGAGAGCCCTGGCCAGAAGGACTTCCCACTGAGCCATTTCTCACAAGTGGAATCCAGACCCACGCTTGGTGTCCCCTTCAGTTTGGAAGCCAGGCGTCATTTTCTTCCCACAACTGAATGTCAATATGTTCTTATCCCACTTTAATTCAACACAGCCTTTTATGGAATCTGATCATTTCCTTTTCTGCAAGCTTTACTGCCCTTGTGAAATGCTGACACAGTGATATTTGTCATGTTTATAAACATCTTTTGGAAGCCTACTGTGGGCAAGGCACTGGGGACCAAGCCCAACTCCAGTGGATCTTGCTGCCAGGAGGTTTCCAACACCAGAAATATTAGAAGTTTAGGCAGACATGCCCCAATGGAGGGTGATGAAGGAAGCACTGGATCCCAGAAATACAGCACACTGTGAAGGTCTGTTGGACTCATTAGCATAGGGCAGTGACTTCTTGTTCTTTTGGTTGTGCTGTTTGTACTTTTCCACTCTCAGATAGTTTTGCCATTCAGTGGCTTTTTATGATGTGTTTTCTCTTTGGACTCATGGGCTGGCCTAAAGCAGATGCACTGTTTACTGTTAATAGCAATGTGGTAGAGTGCTGCTCCCGTGCAGCTGAGTGCTTGCTTTCTGGAAGGTTTTAAAGATCCAGGCTCCTGGTTAAATCCCACCCAGAAGACTGACCTCCTTCCAGCTCTTTTCAGTGATTCATTATAGGTATCATTTTGTGTCTGAGCCTTTCTCACCTCTCCTCTTTGGGAGAGGATTCAGCTGGAGATTCATGATCCTCTTTCTTAGCTGCAAGCTCATTCCCTTCGTTGGGGATTCTTGCACAATGTTTGAGGGCCTCTCCCAAGGGACCTCTCCAGCCCCCACACTGTCATTGCAAGGGTTCCCGCCCTGTATCTGGCCTAGCCTGTGCTCATCCAGCTGTCCTGCAGCCCGGCTACCATTCCTAGGACGAAGATGGTTCTTGGCAGCCTCTTTTGCAGTGACTGGACTCGTATTCAGAGAAGAGCCTTTTCAACTGTAGCTCCTGGCTTTTATGTTCTCTCTATTGAATTCTCCCATGCTCCCATTTTCAAAAAATTCTTCTTTCTTTAAATTTCTTGCCACAGCTGGAGATTTGGCCAATGAACTCGTCCGGCACTTTTTGATCGAGTGTACCCCGAAGGGAGTGCGGTTGAAAGGGTGCTCGAATGAACCATATTTCGGTGAGTTGCTTGAGAGGTTGCTGTCAATGTTCTGAACTCATGAGGCCTGGATTCCCTCTGCTCACCAACCTGAGATTTGGGACTATCACTCTTATGGTGGTTTACTCATATTTCAGTCCCCAGTTCTGAAATCCTGCTGATCTGCATTATTATCTTTAAGATAAACTAGATTTGAAGTTGTTCTTAAAAGCTCTGTCAAAACCAAACAAATGAAAAGCACCATATCAGACGTAGGAATTACAGACGTCAATAAGATTCTATCCTAGTTGGCAGGCAGGTAAGTCCTGAGAAGGTTGGAGCTCCAGCATGACCCTATCCCACAGCACAAGGAACAACATAGAGCTCCCAACAGAGCACCCTCCCTTCCCTGCAAATTGGGAGCCTTCCCTACCTCACGAGCTTGTTGGAAAGATGACTTGAGCAATCCACACAAAGCACAGTGCAGCCTTAGGCATCATTGTTATTAGAGCTTTGTTAAGAAGCATTGTGCAGGGGTAATATATATGGTTGAAGTTGGAGTTGGCTTGATGTCAACCCTCCTGATTCAAGATCCAACAAACTGTATGCTTTAGTCTTTATATAATTTGGTAATGATGTGTCTATGATAAGAATGATAAACAGTTCCATTTACTTACCTCTCAACTATCTTGTGGAACTTTATACTTCTTTGAAGTTTTACACAAAGCTGCACACTAATCTAACATACCAGTTGCTAAAAAGATAAGGGCTCAGCCTTTGCATCCGTTTCATTCCAGCTGATAAATTGGCTGAGCACACAACATCTACAGCAGTTGTTGACTCTTGTTTGCTGTCTGTCCACTTTGCAGGGAGCCTGACGGCCTTGGTGTGCCAGCATTCCATCACGCCCTTGGCCTTGCCGTGCAAGCTGCTTATCCCAGAGAGAGGTAAGGGGTCCTCAGTGCTAGTCAGGCTCTGTGTAGATTGTCTGCAGTCAAGGCCACCGGTTTTAGAGATCCATGAAGATCCACTGAGAAAAATAATAAGACTGGAAGTTTTTTCGTATTCTCTTGGTTGAACCCAAGAAAAGGCCAATGAGTTCATCCAAATTAAGGAGAGAAGAGGAGATTCTACTTCACTGACAGCTCCCAGATAGCTTTACATCATGGATTTTGATGAAAGATTTCTATAGAGCAAAGATTCTGTAGTTTAAAAATATAAAACCCTCAGACAAAGAAGGCTTCAGGGTCATTGACATTTAATTTTTACGTTTCTACGGAATGGGCAAAATGTTGATGTTGTTGAACTTAGATGATGGATGCACTGTTCTTTTTACTTTTATGTTTGTTAAACAATATCCATAATGAAATTAAATAACACCCACAGCATGTCAGGGCGATGTGACCGTATGTCCCACTTTCCTAAGCAGTCACAACTTCACATAAAAATGGTCTAACTTAATATATAGGTAAATGTGATTTACTTTTCAAAGTGTCATTGTTCATATGACTAATTCGGTGATTAGAAAAATATTTTGTTAGGCCTTGTCATCTCTACTTTTATTCAGAATGTGATCATGGTTTCTATGGGCCAAATTATTGTCCCAAAGAGAAACTCTTGACTCTGCAAAACCATTGCATGTCACCATCTGGGAATTCTGTCATCAAATTGTCTAACTTTGTCATGAGGATTCTTGGTCAGGAGCAGGACTCATTTCTGTATTTTCTTGCCCCTTCCTACAGATCCATTGGAGGAAATAGCAGAAAGTTCTCCCCAGACGGCAGCCAATTCAGCAGCTGAGCTGTTGAAGCAGGGGGCAGGTCAGTAAATGCAGCTCCATTTCTACATCTGGTGACTGGGGAGAAAAAGGACTCACTGACACAACTTCCTTTTGCACTTCAGTATTCAGGTTTCCTTTCTTTTCTGTGAGCCTTGAAGGAGGTTTCCTTTTATAGAAGCTTGCACAGAGCTGGGTGGGGTGCAGTTGTTGGGACATCAGCAAGGCCTTCATGGGCCGGTCTAACTCAAGCAAGACTAAATTCAGTGGAATAAATGTCAAGCCCTGGATTTAGTTTGGGGGAAAATATAGTAAGACAGGATGTGGGTGATCTGTCTCGGCAACTGTAAATGTAAAAATGTTCCAGAGACATGACTCAACAAGTCACTTGACATGAGTCAATGATTTGACCCACACTGCCAGCAACCCCAGTGAGACATACAACACCCAAGAACCAGCTCGCCAGACAGAGCAGGTCACTTAAAAAAATTATTCATAGAGTTTCTTTTTTAGAGCAGTGACAGATTCACAGCAAAATGGAGAAGAAGGTACAGAGATACACCATATACACGCATAGCCTCCCCGCTGTCAACATCCCCCAGCAAAGTGATGCACATGTTATGGTTGATGAACCTGCATTAACACAGCCTCGTCACCTGAGTCCCTAGTTTAGGGA
This sequence comes from Homo sapiens, assembly GCF_000001405.40. Lineage (NCBI taxonomy): Eukaryota > Metazoa > Chordata > Mammalia > Primates > Hominidae > Homo > Homo sapiens. The sequence continues at coordinate 47,291,321 of NC_000007.14, read as the reverse complement.
CTTGATATTTAGGTTCACCTTGATGTCATGCATTCTACAGGTTTGGACAAATGCATAATGACAGGTAATCACCGTTACAGTATCATAGTGAATAGTTTTATTGCCCTAAAAATCCTCTGTGCCTTTTCTGTTCGTTCTCCCTCCCCCACCAACCCCAAGCAACCACTCATATTTTTATTGTCTCCATATTTTCAACTTTTCCAGTATTGTCATATAGTTGAAACCATACAGTTCATAGCCTTTTGAGGTTGGCTCCTTTCACTTAGTCATATGCATTTAAGTTTCCTCCATGTGTTTTTATGGCTTGATAGCTCATTTTTTTTTAGCAGCAAATATTTCCTTGTCTGGGTGTATCAGTTTAGTAACCCATTCACCTACTAAAGGACATTGTGGGTGCTTTCAGGTTTTGGCAGTAATGAATAATGCTGCTCTAAACACCCATGTGCAGGTTTTTGAGTGGATATAAGTTTTCAACTCCTGTGCGTAGATACCAAGGAGCGCATTCCTGGATTGTATGGTAAGAGTGTGTTTGGTTTTATAAGGTACAGGCAAACTGTCTTCCAATGTGGCTGTCCCATTTTGCATTCCCACTAGCAATGAATGTGAGTTCTTGTTGCCCCACATCCTCTCCAGAATTTGGTGTTGCCAGTGTTCTGGAATGTGGCCTTTCTAATAGTAGCGTAGTGGTATCTCATTGTTTCTGATGACTTATGATGTGTAGCACCTTTTCATATGCTTATTTACCATCTGTATATCTTCTTTGGTGAGGTGTCCATAAAGGCCTTTGGCTTGTTTGTTTAATTGGGTTTTGTTTTCTTATTGTTAAATTTTGGGAATTCTTGGTGTATTTTAGACACTAGTCCTTTACCTGATAGGCCTTTTGAAAATATTTTCTTCCATTTCATGGCTTGCCTTTTCATTCTTCTACAGAGCAGAAGTTTTTAATTTTAATAAAATCCAGCTTATTGATTTCCTGTTTTATGGATTGTGACTTTGGTATTGTATCTTAAAAGTCACCACCAAACCCAAGGCCAGCTAGATTTTATAGTTTCAAATTTTACCTTTAAGTCTGTGATCCGTTTTAAGTTAATTTTTGTGAAGGAAGTAAGGTCTGTGTCTTGATTCATTTTTTATTTTTTTGCCTGCAGATGTACAGTTGCTTCTGTACCACCAGTTGAAAAATCTGTCTTTTCACAGTTGTATTCCCTTTGCTCTTTTGTCTAAGATCAGTTAACTATATTCATGTGGGTCTACTTTCGAGTTCTTTAATTGACCTATTTGTTCTTTCACCAATATCACATTTTCTTGATTGCTTTAGCTTTATAGTAATCCTGGAAGTCAAATAATGTCAGTCCTCCAACTTTGCTCTTCTCTTTCAATATTGTGTTTGCTATTTTTGATCTTTTGCCTTTCTGTATTAACTGTAGAATCACTTTGTTAATATCCACAAAATAAGTTGCTGGGATTTTTATTGAGATTGCATTGAATCTATAGATGAAATTAGGAAGAACTGACACCTTGGCAAAAGTTGAGTCCTGCTGTCCATGAATATGGAATATCTCTCCATTTATTTAGTTTTTTGTATCTTTCATCAAAGTTTAATAGTGTTCCTCATATAGATCTTGTCTATAGTTTGTTAGATTTATATGTAAGTAGTTTTTGGGAGGTGCTACTGTAAATGGTATTGTGTATTTAATTTCAAATTTTACTTGTTTATTGCTGGTCTGTAGGAAAGCAGTTGACCATTTGTACATTAACCTTGTATCCAGCATCTTTCTGTAATCGCTTACTAGTTCCAGGCCAGGTTACTTTTGCAGCATTAGATGCAGTCGTAGTGGCCCCAGTTTAAGAAGGTTGTAAACAAACCACACACCATAGGGCTCTTGTGGTTCTGTGGCCATGAGGGAGGGACACAGCTAGAGAGGACAGTGGGGACTGCTGACTTTCAAACCCTGACTTTCAAAACTGTTTTAAGTTTTTCATGCAAGGTAGGTGTTTATTGTCAGAAATGTTGGGGAGGGAATTTCTGAGTCTGGTAGAAAATTGGACTAGAAATACCTCCATTCTGTACCTCATATCTGCAGAGTAGTTTACAGGTGTAACTCCACAATGAAGGTGTATGAAATGTATAGGCATTTTCTTATTTCCTCTACAATTTGTATTATTCTTCTATGTAGCTTTTCCCTGTAAAATTATACATCACTGTGTCTGTTACCAAGCTAAAGTAAAATTACTCTGTTTTGAATGGAATTTTGTAGTGTTTAAGTTATTTTAGACTCTCCTTATAGGATAAGTTATCTGTGGCCAAAACAAAGGTGAAAATAGCTTGCCCCAAATTGCAAGTGTGCTAAAACTCGAAGCTCCAAAATGAAAAATGTAGCTGTGGTCATGGGTTTCCGGCCATGTTCTGCTACTCAGGATTTTGATCTCTGGCAAATCACTTAGCCATGCGGACCTGAGGTTTGTATCTGGTCAGTGGGGATAATAATATTTCCACACATAGCAGTTGAAAAGATTAAATGAATAGGACATTGACAATGCCTTGGGAGCATTTTTCTGGCCCAAGAGGAATGGCCTTTCCTGGGAAGCCGGCCTCACCCTTTCCCTTGTGAGGGACCTGGGCTGGTCCTGGGCCACAGCCCCTAAATCTGTTTTAGGGGGTCCCTGGAGCCCATCATGGTTCTTAGCTTTCTTCTGTTAAAGTAACAGTGGACCCTGTCTGTGGGTCCCAGTGAAGTGCCCAGAAGGATGCAGGAATTTACTGTAGACCTATCTGATGAGCAGCTCACTCACTCTCAACTGAGGAGACAGGGCTACAAAACCAGCTCCACTCTGATGGATTTATTTGTTTCAGTTGCACCTTTTAAAAATGTATTTGAAATTTTGAAAACCTTTAATTAGTGGTTTTAAAATCACAACTTATGCATCGGCAGTGTTCAAGAAAGCGCAGAAGAACGGTGATAGCAACAGGCACAGAGCACTTGTCCTGCCCAGCTTATTGTCTCCTCCCCTTCACCCACAGGGCGTGTGGGTGTAGTGTCCTGTCATCCCATGTCATAGACAGAGGACCCAAGTTGGCAGCTCTGGCTCCTGAATGGTAGATCTAGGCCTGGCATTCAGCTCCCACGTCCAGCTGTGCCCATATTGTCTCAGGGACACAGCCCTGCCCATTCAGCCCTATATGGTAGCACCAGGGCACACGCAATTTCACTTTTCTCCTTAAGCTTCTTAGTTATCCTGCATTCACCCAGTAAGTGTGGAATTAATAAATGAATTGAATGAATTTAGTTGATCATAACAGTGCATCCTAATAGCACTTGTTTTTAGATATTAAAACTTTCTCTTCTATCTTGACTTATCATTTTTAAGTGCACTTCCATCTTTTAAAATTACGTATGAAATGTATCAATAACTCCAAATGTTTTTTAAGGGTGGGTCTTCTTAGAGTCAAGACTTCATTCAGAACTTGGAGTTTGTATCTGATCATCTGAGTTGGGCATTTATATATGAAGCTTAAATTATGACTGCCTTGAGCTTCTTTCCTTTAAAAATCTCATTTCTGAAACACATTGAGAGCTGCGAATGTCTGCTGTCCATTACATTAACCGCGATTCCAAGCCACGGAACCAGGACAGCAGATCTGTCACCAGAGGAGTGAGGCTGTCACAGTGACCACCCCTCAGCTAGTGTCGTCTTCACCTGGAGGATTGGCTGCAGGTGTTTAGAATCAGTGCAGAACAACCATTGTAGCAAGACGGTGGAATTATTGCAATCTCTGATGACCTCCAGCAATTTAGTGAGTTTTCTTTCCTAAACTGAACTTCATCTGTTGTCCTAATTCACTTAGAGTCCTAGACTCCTGGATGTGCAATGTTCTTTGAGATGATCATGTCCAATTTCCCCGTTATAAAGATTCAGGAAGCTGAAACTCAGAAATATTAGCAGACAACTCACAAAGATGGGAATAAACTTGTAATGCTCTCCAGTTTAATCCCTTTTTTTAAATATTAAGGCCATTATGCCTTTGTTCCAATCTCTAAAACAATTTCTATTTGTGTTTTAAGCCTCGGTTCTTAATTGTTTCTTGTTGAAGCAGAGGAATATAATATAATCCTGAAAAGAAAGACTTACTTCTTTTCAGTAGCCTTCTAATAGATTTCCCAGAAATGTTGCAGTTGCATTTTTTAGCATATGGTAGGTATACTTTTTTTTTTTTATAGAGTCTTATATGTTCTTTAAGTTTTAAAAATGGAAAATAAAAGAAAAGGAAAAATGAACTACTCATAGATCGGTTGCCCCTATGCAGCCCCTGAATATTGGGAGGAAGAGTGGACAGCAGGTAAAGTGTTCTCCAGCCCAAAGACCACTCCTGATGTCAAGCAGATCCAATCCTATGCTGCCTTTTTCCTTGTACTTGGGGTCATGCTGCCTGTACGATTCTTTTCTCTTCTCTTAGCATAATAAGTTTACCCATGGTTTTTACAAACATAATGCAGGTCTCATTTTTTTCATGGCTACACAATAGTCCATCATATAATTCACCTCCTTATGGATGTTCATTTACCATGTTTCTAATTTTTAATACCACAGACAATGCTTAGAGGACCATCTTTCTGCATTATTTATTTTTTCTGAAATCTGGATTGTTGCCTTAGGACAAATTCCCACATGTGGGCCTCAGACTTTTGTTCTGTGTTATCAAGTCCCTTTCCCAGAGTAGCCTAGCAATTGACAGAACTCCATGCCATGGGTCTGGTGGGTGCCTTCCTGGTAACTCTTACTGGGCACTGAATCTTCACCTCTGGCCAAGAGCACCTGTCAAGTGGCATTGGATGGTCTTGGGTCAGGTGCAGTTGGACAATCATAGGCAGGCGCAGGCATGCCTGTTCTCTGCTGGAGAGAGGCTTTGGGGCACTTGGTGTCAGTTGGTTGATGTGTGCTCCGTAGAACAGCCTCCCTAGTGGCAGCATTTTCTTCTCTGCTTTAAGGAATGATGACATAGTTCCTGCATTTGGGGAGAGAGATTCCCCAAACAGCAGATTGCTACCAAACTCTAGCCAGCAAGACTGCTCCTCATCAGAAAGCCATCTGTGACTCCTTCAAGAGAGCATGGGTCTGGGTTGTGGCAGCTGTGGTTCTGTGTGAACTGATTGAGATTGTGCCAATTTTGTGGAATTTTCCTAGTAGTTAGGTCAAAATTTTCCCTTTTTTCTCTCTTTCATAACTGCATGATCAGCATGACAGTAATGCTAATAAAATCAAAGGCGGACTGTCCCTCTCGTGAAGTCTGTTTTGAATTCTCCAGGCTCCCTCGCAGCTCCTATCTGATGCACACATGCTTTTCATTTTCCCGTTCTAATCATAGCAGACGTGGTTTTTATTCTGCTTTCCCTGCTGATTGCTGATGACGTCTTTCCATGCTGCCATGTGATTTTCCTGGTTACCGCTTGCTGGTTGCTTGGTATTACACCGAGGGAGCTAATTTCACCCCTCTCTCATTTCTAATGTGTTTCTGGTTTTTCCCACTGTAATGAATATGTGGCACAAATGTCTTTCCCTGAAGGTTAGCTATCCTATGTGGTTACAGAATATTTCCTTTCTCAATCTCCTCAGAAGCGGGACCACTAGGTTACTTCTAGGCATTTCATATCCACCTGATAAATATCGCCAAGTATACTAGTCGGCTCTCATGATGCTAATACAGCCATATCTGAGACTGGGTAATTTATAAAGAAGAAGAGGTTTAATGGACTCACAGTTTCACATGGCTGGGGAGGCCTCATGATCATGGTAGAAGGCAAAGGAAGAGCAAAGGCACATCTTACATGGTGGCAGGCAAGAGAGTATGTGCAGGGGAACTACCCTTTATAAAATCATCAGATCTCGTGAGACTTACTCACTATTACGAGAACAGCATGGGAAAAACCCACCCCCATGATTCAATTACCTCCCACCAGGTTGCTCCCACCACACATGGGAATTATGGGAGCTACAATTCAAGATGAGATTTGGGTGGGGACAGAGCCAAACCATATCACCAAGTGATCATCAAAAATAGTGGGCTCAATTCCTCAGAGTGTCTTCAGCTATAAACAATATGGCCTTTGCGGTGGATAGAAAGGATGGTCCAGCAACTCACAAGTCACCCTGCACTGTGACACCCAGGGACATCCTAGCCCATCTGTGGGCTTGTGTGTCAATGCACCCTGTGGCACACCTGTCAGACCACCTGCCAGCACACCTTCCAGTGCACCTGCCAACACATCTGCCAGAACGTCTACCAACATACCTGCCAAACCACCTGCCAACACATCTGTCTGTGCACCTGCCAACACACCTGCCAATAGGCATGGCCCTTGCTGGTTCTGAAAAGTCAGACTTAAAGGCAAAGAGAAAATGGAGCTGCTTCCCAGGGCTGCCTACCCCAGGAGGACACGGCCGAGGGAGACAACACTACCCAGCGCGTACCGTGCATCCGAGTGCTGAGATGTGTTGCTGTAGACTGTGGGAAAACACTCTTTTTCTGTTAAGTGAAACTTTAGAGGCCTTTAACCACGGAATTAAGACACCCACATGCTCACATAGAGGGACATGTATACAGTAGACAAGGGGCAAGTGAGTGAGGGCAGTTCTGTTCCTCAGGAGGAAGCCTACTCAGCCTTTGGGCAGGAGAGGCCCTGGTTTACTTCAGTGAATGAGCTTCAGGCTAAGGCTGGATGTCTTGGAACACCTCAATTTCACCCATGCCCCAAAGTCACACGTGCACTTATGCTTGAACTGCAGGGTCACAGGCTAGAAGGGAAAGAAGGGTTGTTATGGAGCCCAGTTGTTTTTCTTCTCCCAAGAGGAGATGGTCAGGGACAAGACCCACAGCTCTCCCTTGGCAGCATGGGGAGCCAGGACACAGGTGAGGCCGGGCCACTTTTGGCTTTTTCCAGCCTGTTCTCTGAGCTCACTGCAAGCCATTCCTTCTCTTGGCAACCAGGATTTGAGGACACATGCTTCCCTCATGGTTGTTTCTCAAGGGCCTCTGGGCTCCTTACCTATAACAGTAGTTGGGTTTCATATTAATGTGACTGTTGTCCATACCCACCCTGAGACCAGAGAAGGTGCCTTGGGCTCCACCTGGGACACGAGGGTTTAATACTGCTGCAGGGCGAATAGAAAGCTCCCTCTGGCTGGTGGGAAGGCAAAGCCACACCAGGCGGGTCTGCTTTGCTCTAGTAACTCGCTTATTCTCTGCCTTGACATGGGAGTAAGTGCATCCTTGGAGCACTCACTGTTCATGTTTTCAGAATTAGGGGCAAAGGCCATCTGCCTTACATGCACCCAGCATAGGCCACATGCGCAAGTTGTTCATAAACCCAGTCTGCACATCAGCAACTGCCTGTGTGTTAACAGGACACACCTGTCCCAATAGTTGCAACTAACATGTGTCTCCCTTGGTGTCTTCCAGCCTGCAATGTGTGGTACTTGAACTCTGTGGAGATGGAGTCCCTCACCGGCCACCAGGCGATCCAGAAGGCCCTGAGCATCACCCTGGTCCAGGAGCCTCCACCTGTGTCCACAGTTGTGCACTTCAAGGTGTCAGCCCAGGGCATCACCCTGACAGACAATCAGAGGAAGTGAGTGCCTAGAGGGAGGCAGGAGCCGTCCAGCAGGGGCGGGGCTGTCACGTTCCTCTTGTTCTTCCCTAGTGTGAGTAGTCATCCAGGTAAATCATTAGCCGTCTTTGAGGTCATGAGTCACCCAGGGTCTGTCTAGGTATTTTTCTGTCATTAAATACGTCCTGGGAACCACATAGGAACTCTTAGCATTTGTTTGCAAGGCTATTTTTCTTAGAAATCAGTAAAATAAAATAAAAAAAGACGTTTGGCGTTTTAAAATTACACACATACACACATAATTGCAAATGCAAAAAATCTTTTAACTCAGTTCCTTAAAAACACTCTGATACTATGATCAGAGTCCAATGATCTTGGAACCTATTGTTTTAACAGAGGGTCATTTCCTTTCAGGTGAGCGTATGACCTTGATATGTACTATTTCCGTTGGCCAATTTCAAATGACTTACGCCTGAGCTGTTACTGAGCCAGTTATGCTGGAGCAGATGTTCTCCATGTGGATCTTTACTGAATGCCCAGCATAAGCATGGAACAGAGCAGCCACAGGGCTGTTCCTGTCTCCCTCCCTCCAGAATGCCATCCCTGAGTGCAGCCTGTGGCCTAGGAACAGAGCATTTCAGATGCAATTATTTTGTATTGTGTGGTTGAGGAGGCACGTTGGCATCAACCGTGGCAGCAGCATGATGGCAGCAGCCATCACAGCAGACAGGCCGGCAGGGGACACTCAGACCAGCCTGGCTGCTTTCCCAGGATGCTCCCCGAGCAGGGCCCCCATGCCTCTCTGTGGTGCCCATGTCCCTAGAAGCAAGACATTTTCTTCATCTGCCCAAACCACCTGGGAGGTTGAAGGCAGGATCTTCCCCTCTGTAGCTTCAGGAATAAGTGAGTTTAGGCAGGTTTAGCTCATCACCCTTCATCTGCTGAAAAAAATGAGCACAAAGCAGAACGTGGGTTTTGCTGGTCAGACCCGTTCAGTGCCCCTGACACTGACCAGTAGATGACCCTGGGCAGGGTCCCAATGCTTGATGCTCTCGTATTTCAATCCTGCACCAAAATACCTATTTCAAGGTTTAGTGTCTCAAATGAAAAGGGCACTCAGCAAGTGCCCTGTGTGGCACACGCAGGGACAGGGTCAGGGTTGTGGCTCAACCCCACCATGTTCTCAGGGTCAGGGGCATGGCTCAGCCCCACTGTGTTCTCAGGGTCAGGGTCACAGGCAAGGCTCAGTTTCACGGTGGACTCAGGGTCAGGGACATAGCTCAGCTGTATGGTGGACTCATGGTCAGGTTCAGGGGGCATAGCTTTGCTGTTTGGTGGACTCAGGGTCAGAGTCAGGGTTGTGCCTTGGCTTTATGGTAGACTCAGGGTCGGGGCATGGCTCATCTGCATGGTAGACTCAGGGTCAGGGGCATGGCTCAGCTGCATGGCTCACCCAGGGTCCCAGTTGGGTATGGCTCAGCTGCATGGTGGACTCAGGGTCAGTGTCAGGCATAGCTCAGTTACATGGTGGACACAGGGTCAGGGGCATGGCTCGGCTACATGGCTCACTCAGGGTTCCCGTTGGGTGTGGCTCAGCTGCACGGTGGACTCAGAGTCAGTGTCAGGGGCATAGCGGAGCTACATGGTGGACTTAGGGTTTGGGATATGGATCATCTACCTGGTGGGCTCAGGGTCAGGCTCAGGGCATGGCCAGGCTGCTTGGTGGACTCAGGCTTACAGTCAGGAGTATGGCTAGACTGCCTAGTGGACTCAGGGTCAGGGTCAGGGTCAGGGGCATGGCTAGGCTGCATGGTGGACTCAGGGTCTGGAGGCATAGCTTGGCGACATGGTAGACTCAGGGTCAGGGTTGGGCTCCTTAAGGACCCTCACAATGTTGACTGTTCCCTCCTCCCTGCTGCCCTTGGAAGATATGTTATTTCTTCACAGGATCTGTTCTATGTGCCCTTGTCAGAGTTGTCTTTTTTCTGTGTCTCTTTAGTTTCCCTGTATTCTTTATATTCCCTGGAGATGGGTCATGTCCACATCAGTTCAGATCTTTCATACTGTAAGAGATAGCGTTTGAGTTCAGACTGGCTAATTCTAGACAAAAGGGGGATCTTCTCACCAACAATCAGCCTTAAAAGGCACCTGTTTGAGAGGGGCTGCAGGTGGCTGCAGGGTCACCTTGAATTGAAGCACACCCAGGCTCTGCCTCTGCCCTAGCCTATCTCCTGGCCTCTCTCTTCATCTCCAGATGAGCTTTACTCTGTGCCGGTGCAGAGTCATTCCCAGAAGGAGAGGGGTGACCCCAAAGCCAGCTAGACTGGCCCAGCCTGGACACAGCAGAGTGTTGAGTTGGGCATCCTCTGGGGACCATGTGGACTGGGTGGATAGCACTCTTGGAAGGAAGGGCTGGGCAGGTGAGCCGGAGGAGAATGCCCCAGGTGGTCATGTCAGTGACTAAGGGCTGTCAGGTGAGCCTGGAAGGAGGTCTCTATGGGGGTCGTATCAGTGACCATGTGGAGTCCTTCCTTAAGGAATATTCCTTGCACAGCACTTTATTGTTCACTCAGTGCTCTCAGACCTGTGACTGCATCTGACTTGGGCATCTGTCCTGTGGAAGGGGTGGGCTGGTAACATGATCCACTTTTCACAGGTGAGGAAACCAAGGCTCGGAGCCTGGAGGCTGTTAGTGGTTTCCCCACGATCCTGCAGCCAGCAGTGTCTGGCAGGGCCAGAGGTGCTTCCTTGTGTCCATCTCACACCCTACCAGCTTTTCCAGTTTGTTAGGGCTTTTTTTTTTTTGAGATGGAATCTCACTCTGTCGCCCAAGCTGGAGTGCAGTGGAGCGATCTCAGCCCACTGCAACCTCTGCCTCCCAGGTTCAAGCAATTCTCCTGTTTCCACCTCCCAAGTAGCTGGAATTACAGGCACATGTCACCACACCCGACTAATTTTTGTGTTTTTAGTAGAGACGGGGTTTCACATGTTGGTCAGGCTGGTCTTGAACTCCTGACCTCAGGTGATCAACCCGCCTCAGCCTCCCAAAGTGCTGGGATTACAGGCGTGAGCCACTGCACCCGGCTTGTTAGGGCTTCTTGACCCGATTCCCGCCTTCCACACGGCTGACAGTTTCAGCCTGTGTGGTGCTTCCGTCTACTGGTAACAACTGTTCTGCCCAGCTTCATGACATCTGTTGACTTTGAATGAGCACGCACTTTCTTCTCTCCAAGTGATGAGTAAAAGTATGAAATGTTTTCTGCTGGAAGAATCTTCATGTATGGGAGAGCCCGCCCAGTGCATCCCCCATCACCCAAAAGCCCTAGTAACAGGAGCCATCCTCTCTCCCCCATGTCCCAACAGGCTCTTCTTCCGGAGGCATTACCCCGTGAACAGTGTGATTTTCTGTGCCTTGGACCCACAAGACAGGAAGTAAGAAATTTGCATTTTTATTGAGCAAGGAGTGTACTTAATTCTATCCTTTAGTTTAAAAAAATTAACCTCTGTTTTTCTCTTTAATTTGCAAGGTGGATCAAAGATGGCCCTTCCTCAAAGTAAGTTGCTGAGATTTCTTTACATTCTCTCCTTGTCTGCAGTTGTACTCCAAAGTTGAATTCTCTTCCAGATTTGCACAGGGGGTGCCTTATAAGAAAATGACTACACCATGCCAATTTCTTTTAAAAAAGAAAAAAGTAAAAGTGTTCTCATTATGGACAAGGATCTGGATGCTGTTAACTTTTCTGCCGGCTGTTGGCTGGATGTGCAATATTTACATGTGTCATATAACACTGTGGCATAGATACAGGGAGATGGATGGCACAGCCTTTTTGGCCATTTGGGAATGCATGGGCTCAGCAGTGCTGAGGTCTGCACAGCTAGAAGGAATTGCTCCCTTTGTGCAGGTGTGTGGATGAAGCGGGTGTTCCAAATTTACCAAATGCAACGGAGGAGGGCCTTCATCACACCGTTGCTCCACAGCCAGTCCAGGCAGCTGTTAGAGTTTTTTTTTTTTTTTGAGACAGAGTTTTGCTCTTTTTGCCCAGGCTGGAGTGCAGTGGCGCGATCTTGGCTCACTGCAACCTCTGCCTCCCGGGTTCAAGCAATTCTCCTGCCTCAGCCTCCCAAATAGCTGGGATTACAGGCGTCCGCCACCAGGCCCAGCTAATTTTTTGTATTTAGTAGAGACGGGGTTTCACCATGTTGGTCAGGCTGGTCTCGAACTCCTGACCTCAGGTGATCCACCTGCCTCAGCCTCCCAAAGTGCCGGGATTAAAGGTGTGAGCCACCGTGCCCGGCTTAGAGTTCCCCTTTTATAAGCACACCTTTCCCTGGCTCCCTGAGTACCGTGGCCTTGCTTGGCCTGGGCTCATTCCTGGCCCAGTGTTCCTGTCAGGGCCAGCTGAGGGACCTCATCCTAACCTCCCACTTGGAGGCACAATGGGCTGTATCCCCCCAGCCTGGTTTCCTCGGCATAACCCGGATTTAATGACCACAGTGCCTGATCACAGGCATCCTTCCCTGGAATCCTGTTTTCAAATGGCTTGTCTGTCCAGGAAGTTGCTCAGTGCATGCGTTAGCAGAAGCGGGGAGAAGGAGAAGAGACCCTGGTACTGACGAGCTGGGCTTCCCCGGTGGGGACTGTGTTCTGGGCACACTCCCACTCTGGCTGGTAGCAGAAACACGGGCTTTCATGTGCTTGGAATTTGTGACTGTATTGGGGTTACCTGAGTGTCATTGACTGGTCCCTTCATGATGCGGAAACTGCTAAATTTAAACAAAAAAAATCCTTCATTTTTCTAAGAAAGAGAAGAAAGTCCTTTGCCCAGGACCTGGATAGGGATATGGTCATTATTGTGTGAAGTGCAGGACTCATAAAAGCCTATTAAGATAATGGCTCTAATTCTTCTAAGAAAAATAATTCGATGGGCTGTTCTTTTTAAACAGCTCCCTGAAGTCTATGTAGTTTGTAATGCAGGCTTCCAAGGCCTGAGAGGAGCGCCTAGTGTATTTCCCCTTCGGTCCCAGTGGGTGGGAGTGTCGAAGTCCAGACAGGACTTGCATTCTGGCATCATCTCAGGAGCCCCTGAGTCCCTTGCCACTCGCCTTGCAGACTGTGGTCCAGTATGTCAGGACTGGGGCTCAGGAATCTGCAGGGACAGGTGCCCAGGAGATTCTGGCCCTGGCGTGGGGAAGCATCTATAGAGGAAGTTGAGCCTCAGCTTTGATTCAGGTCCTAACCTGGGGCTGTGGACAGGGCACTCACCTCTCAGCCTCAGGGTCCTCACTGCAGAGCTAGAGTCAGACATCCCATCTGTAGGTCTGTGAAGGCTGGAGGTAAAGTGCATGAACAGGTGGCCAGCAGGGTGCTGGGCACGTGGTTGATTTTTGATAGGTGCCACTTAAAATTCCTCCTGACAGTGCCGCTGGCAGCTGGAGGAAGTAGAAGCTTGGTACTTTGTGGGACACTGACCACTCTGACTGGACTTTCCTTTGGCAGAGTCTTTGGATTTGTGGCCCGGAAGCAGGGCAGTGCCACGGATAATGTGTGCCACCTGTTTGCAGAGCATGACCCTGAGCAGCCTGCCAGTGCCATTGTCAACTTCGTATCAAAGGTCATGATTGGTTCCCCAAAGAAGGTCTGAGAACTCCCCTCCCTCCCTGGACCCACCGATGCCTCTCGAAGCCCTGGAGACAGCCGTTGGGTGAGGGTGGGGCCCCCACTTTTTACCAAACTAGTAAACCTGACATTCCAGGCCCATGAGGGGAAAGAGGATCTTCCAGCTCTGCAAAAACAAGAACAAACAACATCACCGTGAATTGGCCTTTCCTGAAAGTGACTTATCTGACACATCTCTGTAGCCACATGCTTTTTGGGTAGAAGAAGCTGGGCATGGGTGCACCCCACCCCCTAGGGTCCCCATGGGAAAGGGACATGCAAGGAAACAGCACAGAACACGAGGTGGTCCCCATGTCCCTGGCACACTAGCATTCCGGGGGATGAGGAATCCCCAGCCCTTGAGGCAGAGGTGCCGAGTGACTGCCATGCTTCGCCCGTCCGCATGGGCGCTTCTGTCCAGCTGCACCCGAGGCCGGGGGTTTCCCTCACCTCGGTCTTCCCAAGATGGAGATGCTAACGAAACTGAGAAGGGGGCGTATGTTTGACGAAGGTTTGTGCAAGTCAGGCCCTTCTGGAACACAGCAGGGCCTACAACGAGGGGCCTTTGCGATGGGCTGTGAGGATGGGGGTGGTGGGAAGAATTGGCCACGTTGGAGACCCCATGCCACCCCACCATGGTGAGTGCTCTGTGCCTCCTGCTCACCTGTGGTGAGCTGGGCGAGCTGGGCGAGCTGGGCGAGCTGGGCTGGGGAGAGCCTGTGAGGACCGAGAGGAGAAATGAGAAGAAGGAACAAAAATATTATTTCTATGTAATTTATATTTTACTTATGCCAAATTATTTATGATAATTTGCCATTGCTATACTGTACCAGTGTCAAATGCTGCAGCCTGCCAAGCTGTGATTTTGTGAGGCTTGTCCCTATGTAGGATGCACCGCAGGCCCCTGGCCACTGAAAGAGTGTGCAGTGGACTGTGGGTCTCCCATATGCGGTGCCGCCCAAAGGTGGCTTTGCCTCAAGCAACCTACCCTGATGTTTTACTCATTGGAATGTTTTTCCCCGATTGTGGATGACTTCTTTTCTGATGGAGAGAGTCCAGGAGGGATGGAAAACTCCTGGATTTAAGCTCAGCATCCCCCACATGGGCTTTTCGATCATCTTCAGGCCTGAAGCTGCACGACCTGAAGTTCGCCTGCATTTATCAGCCCTCTTTGTGCTGCTCCTTGCCACCTTGGGGTTCCTGCTGGGGACCATGTGTGGTTGTGGCATGTGTGAGCAGAAGGGAGGATGAGGAAAAAGAGAAGAAACCCCGGTACTGACAAGCTGTTTTTGAGTGCCACTGTTTGCCATCATCTAAGCCACTGAATCAAGTGTATTTCAGGCTTATTTCAACATTCCAATGCCCTGGTTTTCCTGCTTGAATCTGTTCGTGGTCAAAGGTTTGGGGGAATTTGTGACCCTGGAACATCCCCAGAGTGAAAGATGGAGCTGGGCCACATCAGAATAAGGCCTTGGCCCCATCCTCTCACAGCCTAGGTGCTCTGCAGGCATGCTGACTGTCCTGATTGCGATCCAGCCCGAAATTCCCTCCTCTGCTTTCAAAAGTCAAATCCCCCATTCTTAGGCCACACTGGTGTCACAAGCTCCTGTCAGGGAGCTGGGGTTTGGGAATGTGCTTTGTGAACTCTGCTTTAAAGTGAGGGGCCGAGGAAAACTTAGAAACAGGCAGAGTTGGAAGCAGCCAAATCACAGTGGGTGTTGTGTGTGTGTGCGTGTGTGCATGCGTGCGTGTATGCGTGTGTGAAAGCAGGTGGACCATTCCACTTTTTAGCTCCTATTGATGCACCAAACCAAGTGCCTCATTTCTGTGCCAAATGTTTGCCTTGGTCGTTGTGGACCTCCTTCTCTAACTTGCGGTGGCATGACTGTCAGGAGGTGCTGGCATTTTCAGCAGATCCTCATGTGTTGACCCTGATGTCTTTAGCAGAGGCCTCTAGCATCTCGGTTTTTCATCCACTGCAGGAATGTGGCCACAGGGAGCAGAGGTTTGTACTTTCCCCAAGAGGTCCTCATCCTGAGACGGTCTCTACCCATGTTTAACCCAAAGAGTGCAGGCCAGGTTCCTTATCCTTCTGATGAAGGATGAGAGAGCTCATTTAGAAGTCAGAGCAAACTAGGGTCTCAGTATTGAGAAACGCAGCCTGCCAGGGAATCACAGAGACATCGGGGTGCCCGCGATGGCCCTCATGAAGCCATGCCTCGACGGCATTCAGGAAGCCCTGCAAACGTGCTTTTTGAACTCATTGGCCAGGTGTGATTTTTACACAAGGTAAACGTGGTCAAGGGCATCGGGGAATTTGCTCCAAGCAGATAGCTCCCTCTGAGGAACCAAAGGAAGCAAGTTTCCACGATTTCTGAAGAGCTGGTATAGGAAGTTTCTTTCTTCCTTTTGTGTTACATGTGCATTAAACAGAACAAGCTGTGTGTCATCACAGATTGTACTGTGGGCTCAGAAACCGTGAGAGAGCCCCCACCGTGGACACCGGCTCTAGGGCCACAGGAAAAGGAACGTTTCCAGGCATTTTGTCTCCAGGGCTCCCGCTGGACAGGCACGTACTGCCCTGGGGAGTAAATGCGGAGAGTTCACGAACTGTGCCCAACGCATGTTATAGCCAGGGTCCTACTAACTACTCAGTAAAAGAACGTATTGTTGTATTCCTCCAGTGTTAAGCTATAGCCATGTTAAAAGTCACTGTGCATTTATTCTCAGCATCAAATACCTTGTAACGTCTTCTCTGCCTTGTTAGTGCATATTTTTACTTTTCTGATACTGTAAAGAATATATCCAGTATGTAAATGAATGTTCTATAAATCTTTTGTATAGTCATTTTCTCTGCTCCTTAAATATCATCTCTATTCAGAGTATAATAAAATTATGAACTTGGTAAGCCTCCGTGAGACGGTATTTGTGTACCCTGAAGTATGTTTGTGTGTGTTTGCACATGTGTGTATGCGTGTGCATGTGTGCACTTTTGTGTATGTGTCTCTGCAAATGTGTGCATGTGCTTGCACAGATGTATCTTTGTCCACATGTGTCTGTGCGTCTGCGTGTGTGCTCGTTCATGAATGTGTGTCTGTGTGTTTACAAATCAGTGGATTCAGTTATAAAATCACAAATGTTTTGCTGTCAGGAATATATTAAGATTTCTGCCCAGAGACCTTTGAAATGTTATATTCAAAGATCTTTGAAGATTAACCACAATGCAGTGTTGATAATGGGTCCTGACATGTTTTCGATGTTGCTATGAATACCCCTACACACACACTGGCTGCAGAAACACACCCCTGAAGTGGGCCAGCTCCTGAAGGACCTCCCAGTGTCTATTGAAGTGGGCACTAAAAGTGAATATTGAGACTGGTGGATTCACTTACACATCAACAGATGCTGGAGACAGCCAGTGTCACCTGCCTCTTCTGTTCCCCCAGCCAAGGCTCCTCCCTCCCCACCTTAAGGGAGTTTGCCCTTTTCTACGGACTCTGCCCTCTTGGGCCTGTCCCCTCCCTCCTGAGTCAGGTGATGGGACACAGGACCCCATCTAACCTCACTCCCTCAGATCCAAACCAGAAAAGAAGCAATGCTTTGGGCTCATTTGGTTATGGACAGATAAAGATGGCAGTTAGCTGCCACCCTGTGCACAGTTTTCTGCCTGCGTGGTCAGCCCCCAGAGACTGTAGCTTTCCACTCTGAGGAGACACAGAGATATTTCACCCCAGCTATGTTGGGAGAGTGAACTTGAAATGGTCCCGGTACTACTGCTTTGGAGCAGAAGAGAGGGCAGGTGGTGGCAGATTAAATCTTGTCCAACAGGAAGCTCCCATTGAGTCTTTGAAGCCAGTCATTGCCCAGACCTTTGACCAATGTCACAAGGTGGAAAGGTGGACAGGGCATTGATTTCACTGCGGCTTAGGGAGTGTGCTTCCCAAGAACACCATACTTGTCACAATTACTGGGCTCCGTACAGTGTGCACATGTGCCTAGGTCCCCGACCAGAGCCAGCCCTGGGGACTGTTGGAGAGACCCAGTGGCCATGAGACCTCAGCTGGACAGGCCCCTGCCACTTGCTGCAGGAGGATGTTATGGGTCCCCCATTCATCTCTCAGCAATCTGTTACCTAATGAGTACCTGGGCCTTACCTACTGGGGTCGTCCTTCTATTAATGTGGTGGGCACCTTGGTCCGTCCACTTGGGGGGTCATTGATCTATTGTGTAATGAACACTTTGGATCTGCCCACTGGAGGACAGTAGGTCTGTAGCTCAGTTGGGCTTCTGTGTCTCATCCTGTCCCCAGGGAGGTAGGTTGCCTGCCTGATGGCTTTGGGGATCACACTTCACAGACCAGGGGCAGTTGGGCTGGTCTCAGAGGATGAATTGGAGTTTTCCAGGTAGACTTGGGGCCTGGACTGGGAAGGGACATTTTATGATGCAGGGATTGGTGAGATCTGGACACATTTGGACAGAAGGGCTGTTGAACTGGCAAACAAGATAAGTGGGAAAAACACAAGTCGCCCTTAAATTCCTGAAAAATCAGTTCACAGTGTGAAGCCTGGCCTGAGGCAACAGAACAAATAGGTCACCAAGAGCCTATCACCAAGCCAGATGACCAGGAAGAGGAAACAGCAAAAGGGACTCCACTGCAATGATTGATCTGGCCGAGGGAGCCTCTCTGTCCCATCTCAGAGAGTCCAGGGTTGGGGGGCTGGAGAAAACAGCAGGATCCCCCTTAGCCCCACCTGGGAAGCACACTCCATCTCCCACAGGCAGGGGACCCACCAGAACACACACCAGGCCAGGAAGGTTTCATAGCTGTGTGCTGGCAGCTTCCCTCTCCCACTGAGAGACACCCCTTCTGTCCCTCAGGTAACGTCAGCAGGGACCCCAGAGGTACCTGATAAACCAAGCAGACTAACATAACGCTGAAAGGCTCTGACGATTAAACTGTCAGTGGGACCACAGGCCACAAATCAGGCCAGGCCCTGCTCCCTAAGCAGAATCAGGGCAATTACCTGCTAAAATTAAATATTTAAATAAGACCCAGAATTCCCTAATAGGTAAAATGGGATACAATAGAAAATTCCTTTCATACCAAGTACCAAGAAATGTGCAGCATGAATGAGAAAGACAATGAATGCCAACGTCAAGATGAACCAACTGCTGGAGTTATCTGGCAAGGATCTGAAAACAGCCATCATAAAAATGCTTCAAGAGGCAAATCTGTTGAAGAAATGAAAAAATAGAAAGCCACAGTAAAGAAATAGAAGTGATGAAGAAGAACCAAATGGAAATTACAGGGCTAAAAGGTATAATAACAGAAGTGAAGGAATCTTACTAGATGGATTCAGTAGTAGACTAGTGGAAATGGCAGGATAGAATCAGTGACTGTGGCGACAATGTAATTCACTCAATCTGAATAACACAGAGAAAATAAACTAAAAAAAAGAAAAAGAACACCCACAAGAACCTGTAGGACACTAACAAAAGATCCAACATTTGTATCACTGGTGTGCCCAAAGGAGAAGAGAGAGGCTATAGAATATTTGAAGATTAATGGATAAAAATTCCCCAAATATAGCAAAAAGACATGTATACATCAAGAAGCCAAGTGAACTCCAAACAGGATCAACAACCACAACCAAAATCCATGCCAAGAAATATTGTAATTAAACTTCTGAAAACTAAAGACAACCTGTAGGCAGCCACAGAGAAATGATGGATTCTGAATAGGAATAGGAGCACACCAATTGGAATGACAGTGGATTTTTCCTATGAAACCATAAAGGCCAGAAGGAAGCTATGCAACATTTTCCAAGGACAGAAAGAAAATAAAAATCAACCATGCATTCTATATTCAGTGAAACTCTCCTTTAGAAATGAAGAGGAAATAAAGATATTGTCAGATGAAGGAAACGAAAAGAATTAGTTGCTAGCAAGCCTACATTTAAAGATTGACAAAAGAAGTTCAAACACAAAGGAAATGGTAAGAGAAAGCACCTTGGAGCATCCAGAGGGAAGAAAGAAGAATGAAAAGAGCAGAGCATGAGTCATACAACAAACCCTCCTTCTCATCACAAGTCATCAATCACATCTGATGATTGGAAAAGATATTACACCACCGTCTGATACTCAAGACAATGAAAGGAAAAAGTGAGAAATATGAAAGAACGTATATGGAGGTGAGACTTCAACACAAGTAGTAAAAGGTTGATAAAAATAGTGATGTTATGAATATTTTTGTAATAACCAGAGCAACCACTACAAAAACTATGCACAAAGATACATGCAATAGCAATTAAAAAATCAAGATGGAATCTTAAAAGATGGGTCCTAGCCCACAGGAAGACAAGAAGATAGAAACAGAAAAACAAAGATGAAGCAAAACAAAACAATAACATGGTAGACTTTAGTCTTAACGTACTAATTACCTTAAATGTAAATGGAGCAACTATATCAATCAAAAGACAGAGATTGGCAAAGTGGGGAGA
Source organism: Homo sapiens (assembly GCF_000001405.40). Taxonomy (NCBI): domain Eukaryota; kingdom Metazoa; phylum Chordata; class Mammalia; order Primates; family Hominidae; genus Homo; species Homo sapiens. The sequence continues at coordinate 47,271,561 of NC_000007.14, read as the reverse complement.
AAATGGCCCAATTACATGCTGCTAACAAGAAACTTCAAATTCGGTGACATAGGTAGATTGAAAATAAGAGGATATAAAAACATAGTACATAAACATTTTTAAAAGGAGGAATCATTATATTAATGTAATAAAATCAGTTTATTTGCTCTACAGTTTTATTTGCTCTACAGTTAACAAAGTCAACTGTAGAGAAAATGAAATTACTAGAGCCAATGAGTGACATTATACGATGATAAAAGGATCAATCCGCCAGAAATGCATAAGGGTCTCAAATGCGTACTCATCAAACAACAGAGCCTTAATACAGAAAATCCTCACTTAAAATAATTGATAGGCTCTTGGAAATTGACTTTCAGTGAAATGGCCTACAGCAGATGCTGGAAATGATGTTTCTTTCTTCATAGTTCCGTTTTAATGTTGATGAGAAAAAAAGTGTTGCCTTATATGCCATTTTGTGTTAAGCCACAGTTCCAAGAACCTATGGACAGCATTAAGTGAGGACTTACTGTACGTAAAGTAAAAACTGATAAAGTCGAAAGCAGAAATAGACAAATCCACAATTATAGTTGGAGAATTTAACATTCTCCACTCACTAACTGGTAGAACTATGCCATGGTTTTAGTATTTGTGTTCTTCCATGGAATCTACATGTTGAAACCTAATCCTAACGTGAAGGTACTAAAAGGTGAGGCCTTTGGTAGGTGACTAAGTCATAGGGGTGGAGCATCATGAATGGGATTAGTGCCCTTATTATAGAGGCCCAAGGGAGCTTGTTTGCCTCCTCCACAGTGTGAGGACACAGCTAGAAGGTGCCATGTGTGAGGAATGGACCCTCACCAGACACCAAATATGCTAGCACCTTAATCTTGGACTCCCCAACCTCCAGAACTGAAGTTTGTTTTTATAAGCTACCCAGTTTATGATATTTTTATTATAGCAGCCCAAATGCACTAAGACAGAAATTTGTACCAAGGACTAGGGATATTGTATAATAAATATCTAAAAATGTGGAAGTGGCTTTGGAATTGGGTAATGTGTAGAGGCTGGAGGGGTTTTAAGGTACATGCTAAAAAAAGCCTACATTGCTGTTAATGGTAAACAGGATTCAGCTGGGAGCACAGAAGGAAAGGAGAGCCATAGAGAAAGTCTCACTCTTCTTAGATAATACCTAAGTGGTCATGAGCATGATGTTAGTAGAAATATGGACGGTAAGGGCCATTCTGATGAGGTTTCAGATGGAAATGAGGAACACGTATTGGAAACTGAAGGAAACAAGTGGCAAAGAACTTGGCTGAATTGTGTCCATGCCCTAATGTTTTGAGGAAGGTAGAACTTGTGAGTGATGTGAGTGATGAAGCTGGGATATTTAGCTGAGGAAATATCTAAGCAAGATGTTGAAGGAGTAGCGTGGCTTCTCTTGACTACTTATAGTAAAATGTGAGAAGAGAAAATGATTTAAAGGCAAAATTTATAATGAAAAGAGAAGCAGAGCTTAAAGATTTGGAACATTCTTAGTCTGGCAGTATGGCATTAATACAAAATGAGATCGCATGTTCAGTAGTGAACGTCAAGGGTGTGACCAAATGACCATTTGATTAGGAGATTAGTATGGGTCAGTAGAAACCAGGCTACCCCCCAGATGACATATAGGTAGCTAACCTTGGTGGCATCAGCATGACACCATTTCCACAGGTGCACAGAGTACATGAGCTATGGATGTGCAGCTGCCTCCACCTAGATTTCAAAAGATGACCAGAGAATCTAGGGGCCCAGGCAGATAACTGCCACAGAGGTAGAGCCACTGCAGAGAGCCTCGGCTAGGGCAATGCCTAGTGGAGCCATAGGAGCAGGGGCTCTAGTGATGTTAGACAGGTGCAGCCGCCGGCTGCAACTCTAGCCTGGGAGAGCCTCAGGCATGCGGCTGCAACCCATAAGAGCTGCCATGTAAGCTGTGTCCAGCAAAGCCATGTGGGCAAGGCTGCTTGAGGTCTTGGCAGTCCAACGCCTGGCCCAGTGTGTCCAGAAGGTGGACATCAAGTCAAACAGGATTATTCTCAAGCCTTAAGATTAAGTGCTGTTTACCCTGTTGGGTCTTGAACTTACTTAGGACATGTTATTCCTTTCTTTCCTATCTCTTCCCTTCAGAATGGGAAGGTCTATCCTATGCCTGTTCCATCATTGCATTTTGGAAGCACATAACTTGTTTGTTTCACAGTTCACAGGTGGACAGCAATGTGCCTCAGGATAAAATATACCTTGGAGTCTCACCCTTATCTGATTTGGATAATATTTATAGATGAGACTCTGGACTTTAGACTTTGTAGTTGATGCTGGAACAAGTTAAGACTTTTGGAGAAATTGAAATGAAATGAATGTATTTTGCATGTGAGGAGGATATTAATTTGGGGGGGCCAGAGTTGGAATGCCATGGTTGGAATGTTTGTGTCTCTTTAAAGTTTATGTGTTGAAACCTAATACTCAATGCGATGGCATTGAAAGATAGGGCCTTTGGGAGGTAATTGGGTCATGAGGGCAGAGACTTTATGACTGGGATTAGTGGCCTTATAAAAGAGGCCCAAGGGAACTTGTTTGCCTCTTCCACTATGTGAAGACACAGCTAGAAGGAGCCATCTATGAGGAATGGGCCCTCACCAGACACTAAATCTGCTGACATCTTGATCTTGGCCTTCTCACCCGCCACAACTGTGAGAAAAAATGTTTGCATTTTATAATTCTATAATATTCTTGTTATAGCAGCCCAAACAGACTAAGACAAATGACTAGACAACAAGTCAGAAAGGATGCAGAAGAACTGAACAACACAAGCAACCAACAGAATCTAATTGGTATGTAGAATGCTCCACAGAATAGTAGAATTATGCATTTTTTAAGCACTCATGGAATACTCACCAAGATAGGTCATGTTCTCAGCCACGAAAAAAATCTCAACAAATTTTAAAAAATGGATATCATCCAGAGCATGTTCTCTGATCATAATGGAATAAAAGTTAAATTTAATAATAATAAGATTAACAATTTCTCATTACTTAGAAATTAAACAACACTCTTCTAAATAACCCATCAAAGAAGTCTCAAAAATAATTTTTTTAAAACATAGAACAGAATGAATTCTGTAGAAAATAAAACATATCACAATCCATGGGATGCAGCTAATGTAGTGCTGAGAGGGAAATTTATAGCACTAAATGCTTACACTAGAAATGAGGAAAGGTCTCAAATCAGTAACAGATGTGGCTTGGGTTGGGTTGGAGCAGTGAGTTTCAGCATCTCTCCCTGCCTTCTGCAGCCTGATTGACTCAGCCCATAGTACTAGAAGCACTGTGATCTTTTGGTGTTGCATGGTGCCTCAGGCAGACCTATTCTTAAGTACATGTAAGGCACCTCTTGAGGAGGCCCTGAGATACCTGGGGCCCACTTTAAAAGGACTGAGTTGAGACCTGGTGGTCTAGGTGTTATCAGTGGCTACACTCAACAACACGGATGAAACTTAGACATAACCACAGGCCAAAAAAGCCAGACCTGTCATAGAGTACTTATTATCAAATTTCATTTATATGGATATCACAATCAGACAAAACTAACCTGTGGCAGTAGAGGGCAGGATGGCAGTTCTTGGGGAGGAAAGAGACAGTGCTGTTTGGGAGGGAATATTAGAGGGGCTTTTGAGGCACTGATGCTGTTCTGTTTTTTTTTTTTTTTTTTTTTTTTCATTTGGGTGTATTCACTGTGAAAATTAATGGAGCTTTTTCCTTATTATTTGTGTACTTTCCTCTATGTCTAACTTCCAAGTTTATTATTATTTTATAAGTTAACGTGGCTTCATTTTTTTCCCCTAAAGGCTGATGAAGTTGCAGGCATTCAGTTTTCACTGGGAATGTCCTCCAGACGGATGTGTAAGAAGGCCAGGGTCAGGCTTCAGGAGCACCTAGGCAGGTTCACACTTGACACCTGTCACTCGTCACTCACCCGCCAGCCCACTGCCTGGTCAACGTAAGGCTGTCTCCTTGCGGAGACTGGCTCAGCACTGAAGTAATGGAGCTGTCTTTCTGTCTGTCTGGCTTGTGGTTTAGAGCAGGAAAGATGGAGGTGAGGAAAATGTCAATCAAACTGTCTCTTTTGCAAAGAACAGAGCAAGCCCTGCCACGTGCTTGGGTCAGAGTAGAATGAATATGGAGAAGTGCCTCCTCCTTGGGGAGATTCTGCATGGTTTCCCAGGCCGTATCGACTCTCCTGGATTCCTGTGCCACATTCAGCCGATTAGGACAGCACAGCAGACATTGGTTGAGTGCCTACTGCTTGCAGAACGCAATGTCTGCACTTCCCATGTTAGCTATGGTTTATGTATTCAAGCTTCCCTCTACTGAAGAAAGCCCAAGGAATGTCCAACCCAGGAACAAACCAGAGTGGTCATGGGTCAAAGCATCCTTCCTGCCATCTGGGCCAAGATATAGGACTCAAAGCTTAAGTCACGTGAACCACCCTGTGTGTCATGAGTTGATAAGTCTATAAACAGCCTCGCCCTGGCGCCATGAGGGGTGGCTTATGATTAACTTGTTAGAGCTGCAATGGCAGCTCCACACTGAAGGGCTCAAGAAGAGTGAGGTGACCTTAGCTGCCTGGAAATGAGCTGTTGAAGGCGGCTGAGGTTCTCCCTGACAGGAGGGGCCCTGCTGACGGGACGTTTCTTCTCCAGGGGTCACATAGCAGCTGGCCCATCCCCATTTTACAGATCATGAAGGTCAGGGTCAGAAAAGTTTAGTGATTTGGCTATGGTCGGGAGACAGGCAAAGAAAAATATGAAGAATTTTTTCTTCTATGGTCCCCTTTACCCCCTGCTTTTCTCTTTGCTTTAATTTCTTTGTATAGAGGCATCCAGCCAACTAGCACAGAATGTTGCGAAAACTTGGCCCACGGGATTCCAGAGCCTGTGTCCTCTGCTATGGCACGGAGAGGACTTCTGTGCACACACGTCCCCAGTGAGCCATTTCCCCTGAGTGGTTCCCTCTTTCTGCCCTTTGCCCTGCATTTTCACAGAAAGGTTTGAGCTCAATTTACAACCTCAGTGGGCCAGGGACTGTAGTGAATGAAGGGAGTGACTGAGAGCATTGTGGGGCAGTCCTGCCCCCTGGTGGGCAGCGTCACTTACTACAGAAGGCCGTATTTTAAAACTTTATTTGCAAAGATGAGGGCTGCATATGTTAGTGGCTAGGTTCAAAATGGAAAGCTAGTGAAATGGAAAATTTAGTGGTTAGAAATGTGGATGCTGGAGCCACGTTGCCTGGCTTCAAATCTTGGCTCTGCCTTGTATACACTCTAGTACAATGACAAGTTATTTAGCTTCTCCCATTTGTCAAATGGGAAAAGCAATCAGGCTTACATGCCAAGATTGTGGTGAGAATCAGATGAGTTAGTACACATTAAGTGATTCAGATGTTGCCTGGCAAGGAATCTTCACTAAATAATATCTAGATAGAGTTACCTTTAAAAATTATTGAATAGGATTTTCTGTAATCCCCATGAAGTCATTTGACAGGATTTGTGGATGTTCAGCATCTCAAACTGTGAAACATTGAGACCCATTTCCCATATGACTAGTTTATCCTCTGTAATAGTGATCACACAGGACAGGGGTTGGTAAGCTTTTCAAAGGGTCAAGGTGAACTCCTCGTACTGCTGGGGCCGAGGCTGCCCCCATCTTCACGTGACTGATGCATTGGTCTGGGGGTCTCCCGTCTCAGTGCACATAACAGCTCACATCATCACTATGGTAAGTTCCTTCAGGCAGGACAGTGCAGACCCTTCTCCCTTTCCTACTATGCAACTTCCTCACCCCCCTTTGTGCTCCCCACCCACATTTCAGCCATCTTTACCATCTGTCTATAACTATAAAGAAATACCAGGAGATAAAACAAAAGAAATTTCCTTTATGAGGTGATGAAAATCTTCTAAAATTGATTGCAGTGATGGTGGATATACTAAAAACCATTGAATCGTACACTTCAAATATGTGAATTGCACAGTATGTGCATTATGTCTCAATAAAGCTATTATAAAAGAATCTAAAAGGAGACTAAAGACAAACTCAAGAGGCCTCAGTGTATGGGCCATCATCCTTAGATCTCTGCACACAGATTGCTGGGGGAACAATGGCCTTACAGTGCCAAAGTGGCTATGGTCTTGAGACATGTCATTTTCGAGACCTAGACTTGGGAATCAACGTGAAAATAAACTTCATTGGCTAGGCGCGGTGGCTCACGATTGTAATCCCAGCACTTTGGGAGGCCGAGGCTGGGGTATCACCTGAGGTCTGGAGTTTGAGACCAGCCTGGCCAACGTGGTGAAACCCCATCTCTATTAAAAATACACACACACAAAAAAATCAGCCAGAGTGGTGGCAAGTGCCTGTAATCCCAGCTACTTGGGAGGCTGAGGCAGGAGAATCGCTTGAACCCAGGAGGTGGAGGTTGCAGTGAGCTGAGGTCGCACCATGGACTTAAGCCTGGGAAGCAGAGCAAGACTCTGTCTCAAAATAATAATAATAATAATAATAATAATAAAAGCAAAAAGAAAATAAACTTTATCCATCAAACACTCTTCTGGCTGGTGCCAATTTCAAGAACTATAAGCACCCTGTAGTGGATGAGCCTATATGATGGCACCACCTCAATCCCTTCATCTGTGACATGGTATCACTTGGCAGCCTTAGCAGCAAAGTATGCAAAAAAAGAACTGAGTGGTAGGGGTAGGAGAACTGAGAGATAGGAGGAGAATTTGGGGACAGACAAACCTCCCAGGCATAATGGGGGCCTCTGAGTGAAGTGGCTGGTTCTCCAAAAGATCTGGGTTTAGCTTCCCAACTTTACCTTAGATAAGAAATGTAACCCAGCAGATAGGAATGCAAAGGGGACTCGTAGATGGGCGTTGCTGCTCCAAGCCAGTCAGGGAGAAGACCAGAGTATTTTTGGTCATCATTCAGTCATCGTCTGGGAACTGGGGAGCAATAGACCTTGATCACAGAAGAGGGGACTGATGAGAACGTGGCAGAGACTTGGAGCTTGCCAAATGATTAGGTGGGGCTCAGGCCTGCACTGCAGCCTTGATAGAGAGCTGGAGAGCCTGGTGGAGACACCAGGACGTGGGCAAGGAAGAATTCCCGTGGCTCTGTGGGCCCAATGGCTGGTTTATCCCACAATGATTGAGTTTCTTACAGGGCTGGTCTGTGATTTAAACTTTTGTTGCCATGCACATTTACTCATTTGTTAATCACTTTCTCAACCAGCCACCTAGACTTTGCTAAGTGCCAGGCATCACGCAAAATGCTGAGAGAGTTACAAAAACAAACATGATTTGTTTCCCACACTCAAAAGTCTTATGGGGAAGACAAATATGTAAAGAAATAATACCAACTCCGTGTGGTCTTGTGCTATGGTTGTGGTTTGGAGGAGAAGATTTATAGCTGTGTACCTCAAACAGGGAAAGCCAGATGGGGATGTCTTAAATCTTGGATCCTATCCTGTATGGCCACTCGGCAGGATAAACAAGTCTCAGCAAGGAGAAGCTATAGGTAGCCAGGATGTTTAGGGGCTAAAGAGGTGGACAGTGATTTCCAAAAGAGAAAACCTTCTCCTTGATCCAAGAAGATGCAAAGTAATGGGGTACAGGCTCTGAATACCTAACGGAAGCACCCAGAGAAAGTTCCTCTTTGCCATGGGCCAGGTGAGCTCATAGCTCTGAGCACCTTTCTACTCTTCTTCCTTTCCCTTTACAAGGTTTCTCTTAAAGACCCAAGATTGCAGCTAGCTGAAGAGGGGAGGTGCACGGCCCTGAGTCATGTTGGACCCTAGAATTCTTATTTATTATTATTTTTTAGACGGAGTCTCGCACTGTTGCCCGGGCTAGAGTGCAGTGGCGCCATCTCGGCTCACTGCAACCTCTGCCTCCTGGGTTCACGTGATTCTCCTGCCTCGGCCTCCTGAGTAACTGGGATTACAGGCACACATCACCATTACCTGGCTAATTTTTGTTTTGTTTTGTTTTTGTTTTTGTTTTTTGTATTTTTAGTAGAGACAGGGTTTCACTATGTTGACCAGACTGGTCTTGAACTCCTGACCTCGTGATCCCACTGCCTTGGCCTCCCAGAGTGTTGGGGTTTACAGGCATGAGCCACCGCTTCTGGCCTGGACCCTAGAATTCTCACAGGCACCTGCACGTCTTCAAACCTGAAATGGATTGTTTTCCACAACTAAGAGTCACTGGGGAACACTGCATTATTTAAAATTTCCAGGGGAGTCATTTGGCCTGCCTGAGGTTTCCCCCAGCAAATGTTCCCCCAGAAGAGGCAAAAAGGTGCAAGAGAGACAAAGGTAAGGCTGCCTTTGCAATGCTCCCATGAGTCTTGCATGCTTCACATTCACTCACACACCCTGGCCTGGGCAGGCAGGTGATGGGCGGGAAAACCTGTCTTTTCTAGCAGGTGTACAGCACATGGGGGGCCAGGTCCTGGCACTCTGTGTGGGGAGGAGGGTGTTGGAGTGGGATGATTTTCTCCCTCTATAAGACAGAAATTCAAAGAAAGTCAGCTCTCTGGGTTGTGGAGCGAAGCCAACCAAATAATGGTTGTGAAGGCACAGTTGCTCTTTCCACGTGAATTTAAGAACAAAGAGAAAAAGCCAAGCAAAGAAAGACAGGTACTTTGGCAGTGTCTTTAAAAAAAAAAAAGAAAGAAAAAATCAAAGGATGTACATGCAGGTACCTCTTTTTCTTATTTACTGTAAATGGGTTTATTACTCTAAAACCCACTTCCAGAATTATTTTTTTTTAACTTTTATTTCAGGTTCAAGGGTACATGTGCAGGTTTGTTATATAGGTAAATTGTGTGTCTTGGGGGTTTGGGGTTTGGTGTACAGATTATTTCACCACCCAGTAATAAGCATAGTACCTAATAGGTAGTTTTTTTGTTTTGTTTTGTTTTGTTTTGTTTTGTGACGGAGTCTTGCTCTATCGCCCAGGCTGGACTGCAGTGGTGCGATCTCGGTTCACTGCAACCTCCGCCTCCCAGGTTCAAGGGATTCTTCTGCCTCAGCCTCCCTATTAGCTGGAATTACAGGCATGTGCCACCATGCTGGGCTAATTTTTGTATTTTCAGTAGAGACGGAGTTTCATCATGTTGGCCAGGCTGGTCTCGAACCCCTGACCTCGGGTGATACACCTGCCTCCGCCTCCCAAAGTGCTGGGATTACAGGCATGAGTCACCATGCCCTGCCCCGATATGTAGTTCTTTGATCCTCTCCCTCCTCCTACCCTCCACCCTTAAGTAGGCCCCAGCGTCTGTTGTTCTACTGTTTGTGTCCATGTGTATTCAACATTTAGCTCCCACTTATAAGTAACAACATGTGGTATTTGGTTTTCTATTCTTACATTAGTTTGTTTAGGATAATGACCTTCAGCTCCAACCATGTTGCTGCAAAGCACCTGATCTCATTCTTTTGTATGGCTGCATAGTATTCCATGGTATATATGCATCACATTTTCTTTATTCAGTCTACCATTGACGGGCATTTAGGTTGATTCCATGACTTTGCTGTTGTGTGAATAGTGGTGTGATGAACATACATGTGCATGTGTCTTCATGATAGAACAATTTATATTCCTTTGGGTATATACCCAATAATGGATTGCTGGGTGGAATGGTACTTCTGTTTTAAGTTTTTTGAGAAATTGCCACACTGATTTCCACAATGGCTGAGCTAATTTACATTCCTATCAGCAGTGTGTAAGTGTTCCCTTTTCTCCCCAACCTGGCCAGCATCTGTTATTTTTTGACTTTTTTTTTTTTTTTAGACGGAGTCTTACTCTGTCACCCAGGCTGGAGTGCAGCAGCACGATCTTGGCTCACTGCAAGCTCCACCTCCTGGGTTCATGCCATTCTCTTGCCTCAGCCTCCCGAGTAGCTGGGACTACAGGCACCCACCACCACTCCCGGCTAATTTTTTGTATTTTTTACTAGAGACCGTGTTAGCCAGGATGGTCTCAATCTCCTGACCTTGTGATCCACCTGCCTCGGCCTCCCAAAGTGCTGGGATTACAGGCATGAGCCACTGCACCCAGCCTTGACTTTTTAATAATAGCCATTCTGACTGATGTGAGAAGGTGTCTCATTGTCATTTTGATTTGCATTTCTCTAATGATTAGTGATGTTGAGCATTTTTTTCATATGCTTGTTGGCCACATGTATATCTTTTTTGAAATGTGTTTGTTCATGTCCTTTTCCCACTTTTTAATGGGGTTGTTTGTTTTTTGCTTGTTAACTTGTTTAAGGTCTTTATAGATTCTGGATATTAGACCCTTGTCAGATGCATAGTTAGCAAATATTTTCTCCCATTCTGTGGATTGTCTGTTTGCTCTGTTGATAGTTTCTTTTACTATGCAGGAGCTCTGTTGTTTAATTAGGTCCCATTTGTCAATTTTTGTTTTTGTTACAATTGTTTGGCCCTCCTGGCCAGGGTCTATATGTCCAGAATGGAATTTCCTAGATTATCTTCCAGAGTTTTTACAGTTTTAGGTTTTACATTTAAGTCTTTAATCCATCTTTAGTTGATTTTTGCTTATGGCATAAGGAAAGTGTTTAAATGTCAGTTTTAAAAGAAATAACCTCTCCGATTGACAGAGTTCTTCGTGACAGTGTGTTTTAGAGCTGTGCACTGATGATCCTCCTTCTCTGTTTGTGGGTGAGAGTCAGGCTGGTCAGTCCACGCTGTGTGATCATGCTCCTGGGACTCCATTTTTGAAAAGGGTTGCTGTGAACATGGAATGAAATTATGTGTAAGAAGAACTAGTACAAAGCCAAGGACATAGTGAACTTTCCATAGATTGTGCTATATCTTCATCATCACCATCATCATCATCTTCACCATTATCACAATCAACATCACCATCATCATTATCCCCATTACCATCATCATCATCACCATTATCACCATCTCCACCATCATCATTATCACCATTACCATATCCTCATCACTGTCATCATCACCATTACCATCATCATCATCATGGTCATCACATCATCACCATCATCATCATCATCATCACCATTACTGAAAAAATCATCACTTTATCATCTCTTCATTACCATCATCATCATCGCTGTCATCATCATTACCACCACCATCATCATCATCACCATCATCACCATCATTATCACCACCATCCTCAACATCACCATCACTATCACCATTATCACTACCATATTTATCAACATTTTTTTGTTATCAGGCATCAGATATGATCATCTTTGACAACCTAAAGCCAGGGAAGGAGTATGAGTTGGGGGAAGCCACTCTGGTGGGTGTTAGTTTATGTAAAAACTATATTTACATGTTTGTGTCTGTGTATGTGCCATTGCCATGTGTTATTCTCTCTCCCTCTCTCTCATTTTTTTTTTTTTTTGGCTTCTGAAGAGCTATTGAAAAGTATTATAAGCTCAGCACAGTGGTGCATGCCTGTTCTCTCAGCTATTCAGGAGTCCAGCCTGGGTAACAGAGTGAAACTCCATCTCTAAGAAAGAGAGAGACAGAGAAAGAAAGAGAGAGGGAGGGAGAAAGAGAGAGGGAGAGAGAGAGAAAAAGAGGGAGAGAGAGAGAAAAAGAGATAGAGAAGGTGAGAGGGAGAGAGGGGGCGAAAGAGAAAGAGAGAAAGAAGAAAGAAAGAGAGAGAAAGAAAAGAAAAGAAAAAGGAAGAAGGAAGGGAGGAAGGAAGGGGAGAGAAAAGTATGATAGGAACTCAAAATAGGAAACATCTACCTGGGTACTAGACAAGCTTCCCAAGGGCGTAAGAAGCAAACACCTCCTTGCTTCTCTCCTCTTTGCAGTCTTATACAGAAGTTTCAATTTCTCTCCTTTCTTTGGTGATTCACAGTGATGTTCATCCACGGTTTTCTCTAAGTAACCCCCTTTTGCATCCTGGCTACCAGAAGTAGCATCTTAGGCAGGGACTCCAGTCTGGCCAGTGTCATTCCTGGCTGCCCAGTGCTGTAGGAATGTCTCAGAGGAGCTTCCTTACAAGGGTATTTATAGGAGTGACTTTTCTCTAAGCTTTATAATGCTAACTTCTAGGGTATAACTATTTTACACCAAAACCATTGATTTTCTCTATTGAGTATCCTCTATGTAGCTTCAATAGTGAGAGACATGCCTGGAAAGTCAGGGCCCTGAGGTGGGGGTTTCCTAAATCTTGGAGCAACTCTCCTAAGCCCATACAGCCTGAGATTCACTGTGGGCGAGGCTGGTCATGAGGAAGAGCTTCAGGGGCAACAGGAACCTGGGGTCTTCTTAGGGCAGCCAAAGTCTGTCTCCAACCCCTCTCCCAAGATTTGGAGTGCACGGGGGGCATGTTGGGAGAGCTTGGCCGCTCTATGATGGCCCAGTTGAAAGCAAAGAAGAAGACTCCTGGAATGAAATACTGACAGCTGCCTGAGGTGTGGGTGAAGCTGAAGGATGTCTACTTGCCACCCTGGGTAAGATGGCAAAGTTACTAGTCCTTCTGGCATATGGCCAAACATGACTGGGTGTGTCTCATACATACTTAGTGTCTTCAATGGGTTTATTTCCCTCTAGTTACCCAAAGCAAAGCAGGGAAAGGCATGTGGCAAGTTCACACAGTTACAAGTAAAAGTGAGGGTTGAATTAAAAAGGAAAAGATTTGAACAGATACTTTCTGGAAGAAGATACACAGATGGTAAGGCAGCACATGAATGTAACAGCATGAGACACTAGGGATATGCCGGTTAAAAGCACAGTGAGCTCTCATTCCACCTCCCTTAGTTCAAAAACAAGGCAAAGCTAAACAAAACCAAAAATGGACATTATCAAGTTCTGGCAGAGGCAGAGAAACTGGAACTCTTACGCTTGCTGGTGGAGATACAGAATGGGTCAACTGCTTAGAAAACAGTTTGAAGGGGCCGGGTGCGGTGGCTCACGCCTGTAATCCCAGCACTTTGGGAGGCTGAGGCAGTTGGATCACGAGGTCAGGAGTTTGAGACCAGCCTGGCCAACATGGTGAAACCCCATCTCTACTAAAAATACAAAATTAGCTGGGCCTGGTGGCACCTGCCTGTAGTCCCAGCTACTTGGGAGGCTGAGGCAGGAGAATCGCTTGAACTCGGGAGGCGGAGGTTGCAATGAGCTAAGATTGCACCACTGCACTCCAGCCTGGGCGACAGAGCAAGACTCCGTCTCAAAAAAACAAAACAAAAAAAAGAAAACAGTTTGAAAATTTCCCTGTAAAGTAAAACTTACATTTACCATGTATGTTGCAGCAATCTCCCTCTTAGGTGTTTACCCAGTGGAAATGAAAGCTTATGGGTCACACAAAAACTTATTACATGAATACTTAGAGCAACTTTTATTTATAATTGCCAAGAATGAAAACCTAATGTCCTTCAGCTGATGGATGTACCAACCAACTGGGGTACATCCATCCAATGGAATATTATTCAGCAAAGAAACCCCAAATTATTGATACTCTCAACAGAATGCAAGAATCTTAAAATAATTATGCTGAATGAAAGAAGTCCAACTCAAAAGACTACAAACTATACAATTCCATTTATATGACCTTCTGGAAAAGGGAAAGCCTTAGGGATGGAGATGTCCTGGGTTAGAGATGGGAGAGAGCTGGATTTCAAAGGATGGTGAGAAAGACTTTTGAGGTGGGTGGAACTTTTCTGTCTTGATTGTGGTGCTGGTTCCATGATCCTGTGCATTTGTCAAAACTCATAGAACTGTAGACGAGAGAGAGAGACAGAGAAAGGAATTGCATTGTACGTAAATTTTAAAAATAACTATAAAATGTGAGGGTTGGTTTCTGAACAGAGACCTAATAAGTTATCTGAGTAATATTAGTATTAACCTTTATTGAGCATTTACTTTGTGCCAGGTGTTATCTTGTGAAGTCCTCAAAACTAGCCACTGGGGTAGATATTATGAGGTAGAGCTCCAGAGAGAACTGGAGGCTCAGAGAGGCTACAGTCAGCAGAGTCCAACTCAACCCCAGGTGGGTGAGGCTGCGAGGCCTGTGCAAGGTTCCCCGGGGCTGCAGCCTGCCCTCCCCTCCCCTTTTCTTTCCCTCCTGAATCCTCCCCTTCCTGCCAGCACCTCCCTATCCCGGCCCCTCCCATCCTTCCCAGAAAAGCCTTCTCCACTCATGTCACTTCTTTGATGTAAATTCCAGTGAGTAAGGAGGACGATTTGGTCAAAGGTATGAAAATATTTCTGACTTTTGATCAAATTTCTGTTCCTATCCTTAAATCAATTTACAACCAGATGGTGTCATACCAAAGCACCTTGGGTACTTGGAGGAAAATGTTCCTTTGTCCAGAGTCTCCTGCAGTGATGTGGCTGCCCCTTCTTCCTCCACACCCTGTACTCTTTCCCATTTCCAGTCCCTCTGCTGCCCTCATACCTGGAGGCCACTCTTCTTTCCCATTTCCAGCCCCTCTGCTGCCCTCATACCTGGAGGCCATTCCTCTCTGTGTCTGGAGGCTGTTCTGACCTAAGCTCCTTTATCAGCAAAGTGGGTCCACTGTTCCTTTCCCTCCTCCCTCACCGTCTCCATCTCAATTCTTAGCCTTTTCCAATTTTTCCAATTCTTAGCCAATTCTAGCCATCTCCTGGCTGCCCAATTCTTAGCCTTTCCTTCACCCTCACCCTTCTTGTCAGGCCACTGTTTCCCAAGGATATTTCTTGCATGAGGCTGATGCTGAGTCCTTTGAGAGGAAGAGACCTACAGCTGGGAGAGGGGGCTCCTACAAGGAGGAGGCAGCAGGTTGCATAGCCCAGGCTCAGGTGCCCGCTGGGGATGACCCAGGAAAACACCCACCAAGCCAGCATGTTAGGGGGCACCCTCACCTAGGAAAGTGAGGTACAAGACAGGGAGTGTGTACTCTGCATAAATAAAAATGCCCTAGGATGAGGATGTGGAAGGAGAACTAGAGGATTATTCCTGTTTTGTTCTCTGTACTTGGAGAAACCCTCTGTGCTTCTCATATCACGGGGCCTGTGGGGCTGAAAACAGGGTGGCTTGAAGACATCCTCTCCTACTCTCCCCTCCCCTTTCTTCAGCTCCCCTCCCCTCTCCTCGGTGCTGTGGGTGCCTCTGCTCATGGAGGGAACCATGTGGCTGAGGCTGTTGTGATTCTTTCTGATTTGGTCTTGTGGTCTCTTTCTGCAGAGTTCCTATAAACTGTGCCCCACCTAATGGGCCTCGGGGATTTGGTGGTGGATGTGTACAGCACGCCTTTCACAAGATTCTTCTTTATCCTGGCAGGTGGCCTCATGCCTGAGGGTGAGACCCATGGTCTGGTGTTGCTCTCACAGGAATCTTGTTCATACTGGCAGACTCCTTGTGGCTCCCATCTGACCTGTTTCCAGCTATTCCCAATAAGATAGCCACTCTTTAGGCCAGCCCTGACTAGGAGAGGAGCTAGGTTCTGGTGCATCTGTCCGGGGAGACAGAGGAGGCAACTGGACAAAGCACATAGAGTCACAGAAGCAGCATATTCCTCACAGATCCCAGAGAGAAGAAGGCAGAATACCTCACATGGCTAGCGGAATGGAGGGAGCTGCCTGGGGCACACACACACACAACCACTGGGTGGGGATCGAGAGAGAGGAGGACCTGTAAGCTGAGGCCTTAAGTGGGGTCCAGGGGTCTACCCCAGGCAGGTTTCCCATAGGGAGTTCTAATTGATGGGTTTAGAGCAAGCAGGCACCGGTTCCATGTAATCACGCCATGACTGAGAGGTGGTCATTGCAGCATATCTGTGAGGTCCATGTGGGGTCAGTGGGGTGAGTCAAGTAGGTTGTATCCAGCTGTCTCGTAGGGCAGTGGTCACCAGGAGGTGTTTGTATAAGGCAGATGTCTGGATTGATCACATTGAGGAACTGGAAGGAGGTGGAGAGCTGGAAACTGTGTTAAGGGTGAGTAAGCCCTGCCTCTGGTAGGAAAAAGTTAAACCTCTGTTGGGAATGGTAACATGGAATTATAAGAGTTCACTACAAGCTGCATCCTAGGCCTTTCTCCTACTCTCACTGCCACAGAAACCCAGTGGTTCCGGGTTAGTGGGTCCGCATGTTGGTGCATGTTCGTGTGTGTGCGTGCATGCGTGTGTTTGTGCATGCATGTGCACATATGTGTGTCTGAGGTCTTTCTTTTCACCCTTAAACCCCAACAGGCTAGTGACAGGTTGTGGGCCCAGGGCAGCAGGGGCCACTGATCTTCAGGGGCCTCATGGCTCAAATGACATAGCAGGGCCCAGGCAGGGTTATGGTTGGAGAGACACCTGGGGACCCAGGGACGGCCCTGTGGCCCAGGCAGGGATGTGGCAGGAACCTCTAACAGAGCCTGCACCTGACAAGGACCAGAGAGTGGTAGCCTTGAAGTCACACCTGCCTCGATTTAATGAACAAGTGGGCAGTTTGCACAACTGGCCTGGCTGTTTCCAGTTAGCGTCGGCTCCCAGGGACTGGCACAGGCTCAGTCGGCTCAGCATATTGTCTATGGGCGATTTTCCATCTTGCTCACAAAACCAGGAACATTTACTATCTGGCCTTTTCCAGAAAAAAGTTTGCGGGTTCCCGGGCCATGCTCTCATTATTGTTGGCGTTATGAGGAAATGCAGATACAGCAGCAGAAGGAAGATCTGAGAGAAGAAGACAACAGGGTCACTGAAGTTGTGTTAAAGTGGTGCAGCACATTTGCCCTCTTTTTTTTTTGTACTTTCAAGACTGGCCACAATGCTGAATTTCAACGAAAGCACCCATAAGGAAGCCTGCCTTTTGATGTGCTCAGCCTGCGAGGGTCGGGAGGAAGAGAGGGGCCTGCCGCCTCGCGCCCTGCCCGCGCGCCCTCTGTGGGTGCCGCTGGTCCCGGTGTGGCCGGCAGGGGGCGCGCGCGCCATTCCCGGGCTCGCCGGGCGGGGCGGGGGCGCTTCCGAAGCTGAGCCGAGGACGCCGTGTTCCGCCGGTCCGGAGCGCCGCTACTCCGCGACCTGAGCCTGGCTCAGCAGCTCTGCCAGGCGTGCTTCCGCGCAGGGTGGCCGGACGTTCTGGGGAAGTTGCCCCGGGCCCAGCACAACGCCTGCGGGGGAGGGGGTGAGCGGCTCCAGCAAGGGACCCAGGGGCGGGGCTCAGGGAGACGGGGAGGGAGAATGGAATAGATAGGAACCGTCGAGATCTCGCAGGGGGGCCCACAGGCCACCCCCAGGGTCGCCTCCGCCCCCGCTGCCCTGCGGGCTACCGGCTCCAGTGGCGGGCCAGGACAGGGCAGCGCGAAGAGGAAACGCGCCCCGGCGCTAGGCCCCCCTCCCAAGGAAGGGGTCAAGCGGGCTCTGCCCTGCCCTACTAGTGTGACTGCTGGCTTCTGGGGGCTCAGCTCCCCGACTGTAGAGGAAGAGCTAGAAAAGCGATTCCCGAGAAGGGGAATCATTGTAAGCAGTTACTGCACTGTAAAGTGGCAGAGGGCTTGCTTGGTAGCGGAGAATCAATCGGGTTACTCTTCCTTCCTCACGGGAAGGGCATTTGTAAATTCCGCGTTGCAGAGACAGCCGGTGCTGGCCAGTTGCCTGGCAAGCGTGTGCTCACGCACACATCAGCTGCATCCATGAGGGAGATGATCCTATCTTAGCGTGGCAGGGCCAGAAAGGGGCTGAGAGTCTGGGCCCAGTACTGCTGGACTGTGCAGCCTTCGCTCTGTTCTCCTTCAGTGATGACTCACTCTCTCCTGAAAGAAGACCACACTGCCCCGGAGACACAGGAGGCCTTCTGACCTGGCCCGGTTGCCCTTCCTGGAGATGCCCCTCCTTCCCCAGAAGGCAGGCTCAGCTCATGGATGGTGCAGTCAGTAAGGGGAACTCAGTGCTGCCCAGGTCCCAGTCCACTGTGGACACCTGCATGATCTGACACTTCCCCATGAGGACTTTTGAGAAGCCAGATGACTTGTTTGAATTATCCAGTTCAGCTCCTGAGCCTCCTCTGCAAGATCCTACCAAGCAAACTTGGGGTGTTTCCCCTGCTCCCCTATTTCTGGTATTAACACCTTCCCCAGAACACCAGACTATTCCTGTTATGACGAGTAAAGACCTCTTAGTATTGTAACTTAAGGGGGTCACACCATGGCAACATTCTATTTTTTTCCTTTTTGTGTACTAGCTAGAATTACTCTATTTATTTACTTCAGGCATTTACTTGTTGTAATTATCTGATTTTGTGTCCCTGAAATAGTTTTTGCAGAAAAATCAGGATAAATTATTGATTCTGCCCCTTTTATTTTTTATAGTTTTTAGAAGGGGTTTATTTTTTATAATCCAAATGTGCCCAAGTAAGGTTTGTTTGTTGAGAAGTGCCTTTCCAAACCCCTCAATTTTTATTTTATTTATATTTATTTATTTATTTATTTATTCATTTTGAGACAGAGTCTTGCTCTGTCTCCCAGGTTGGAGTGCAGTGGCACCTTGTATTAGTCCGTTTTCATGCTGCTGATAAAGACATACCCCAGAATGGGAAGAAGAAGAGGTTTAGTGGACTTGCAGTTCCACATGACTGGGGAGGCCTTACAATCGTGGTGGAGGGCAAGGAAGAGCAAGTCAGGTCTTACACGGATGGCGGCAGGAAAAGAGAGAGAACTTGTGTAGGGGAACTCCTCTTTATAAAACCATCAGATCTCATGTGAGACTTATTCACTATCATGAGACCAGCACGAGAAAGACCTGCCCCTGTGATTCACAGGGACCCACTGGGTCCCTCCCATGACACATGGAATTGTGGGAGTTACAATTCAAGATGAGATTTGGGGGGAAACACAGCCAAACCCTATCAAGCCATCTCGGCTCTCTGCAACCTCCACTTCCCAGGCTCAAGTGATTCTCCTGCCTCAGCCTCCTGAGTAGCTGGGATTACAGGCATGCGCCACCACACCTGGATAATTTTTGTATTTTTTATAGACATGGGGTTTCATCATGTCGGCCAGACTGGTCTTGAACTCCTGACCTCGTGCAATCCACCTGCCTCAGCCTCCCGAAGTGTTGGGATTGCAGGAGTGAGCCACTGTGCCTGGCCCTCAATTTTTAACATGTATGTTTCCATTCATTGCTGAGCTGTTTAACCTTATATAATGTTAAAGAAAACAGATGGCAGCTAGGTAACAAGAGCCCTGTCAATGGGCATCCCCTTCTCCTATGTTCCGTTTCTGGGAATCAACTTAAAGAGACCATTAAAAACCAGATTTGCACAAAATCAAACAAACATATTGGTTGAAGCATTTAAAAGAATGAAAGTTTGGAAATAATCTCATTATTCAATAGTTATTCAGTAGTTGCTTAATAAAATGTGGCATATCCATTTGATGGAATATTATATAGCAATTAAAATGATATTTCTTAAAACTATGTATGTCTTCAAGCATCTTTATTGAGGTATACATACCATAAAATTCATCCAATTTGAAATGTACATTCAGTGACTTTTAGTAAACCATCACAATTCAGTTTTAGAACATTATCACCACCCCCAAAATTTCCTCCTACCCATTTGCAATCAATCCCAGCTACCATTTTTGACTCCAGGCAACTACTGACCTGCTTTCTATCTCTATAGACAGAAATTCCTAGAAATTTCATATAAGTAGAATCATACTATATGTGGTCTTTTGTGTCCGGCTTCTTTCACTTCGTATAATGTTTTTGAAGTTCATCCGTGTGGTTTCCTGTATCAGCATTGCCTTCATTCTTATTTCTAAGTGCGTTCCATTGGATGAATATACCATATATTGTTTATGCATTCATAAGTTGGTGAACATTTAGATTGTTTTCACTTTTTGGATATTATGAATAATGCTTTTGTGAAACATTCACATATAGGTCTTTGTGTGGATATGTGTTTTCATTTTTCTGGGATATATACCTAGAAGTGAAATTGTTCAGGATATGCTGAGTGGATATTTTTAAGAAGCTGCCCAACTTTTTGCCAAAGTGGCTGTGGCATTTTTTTTTCCTACAAGTGATGTATATGGGTTCCGGTTTCTCCACATCCTTGACAGTGGGTGTTGGTGTTTGAATGTTGGCTATTCCAATAGGTTTCTGGTAATATCTTGTTATGTTTTTAATTTGCATTTCCTTAACGGCTAATGGCATCTTTTATCTCATTATTTATTATAGCATGTTTGTCATTATTTATTTATATATCTTTGGTGTCTATTTAAAGCTTTTGCCAGTTTTTCCTTTTTTTTAAAAACTTTTATGCCAATTTTTCAGTGGGTTGCTTATCTTATTATTATTAAACTGTAAGAGTTCTTCATATATTCTGGACACAAGTGCTTTATCAGACCTAAGATTTGCAAATATTTTCTTCAATTCTGCAGCTTGTCCTTTCATCCAATAAGAAATAATGATATATTTTGCAGAACAAATTTTTGTTAACTTTGATAAAGTCCAGCTTATTCATTTTTTTCTCTAGGGATTGTGCTTTTGGTGCCATGTCTATGAAATCTTTGCCAAACCCAAGATCACAGACTTTTAAGAAGTGTTTTTTTTTTTTTTTTGAGACAGCGTCTCCCTCTGTTGCCCAGGCTGGAGTGCAGTGGTGCGATCTTGGCTCACTGCAACCTCCACCTCCTGGGTTCAAGCAATTCTCCTGCCTTAGCCTCCTGAGTAGCTGGGATTACACCATGCTCGGCTAATTTTTGTATTTTTTAGTAGAGGTGGGGTTTCACCATGTTGGTCATGCTGGTTTTGAACTCCTGACCTCATGATCCACCTGCCTCGGCCTCCCAAAGTGCTGGGATTACAGGCGTGAGCCACCATGCCTGGCCCAAGAAATTTTATAGTTCATTTTACATTTGGGTCTATGACCCATTTTTAGTTAATTTTTGTGTATGATAAGAAAAAAGGGTTAAATTATTTTTTAAATGTGGAAATTCAATATTTGTTGAAAATACTATTATTTCCCTATTGGATTGTCTTGGCATTTTTGTCAAAAATCAATTGACAAATATATGCTTAGAAATGACATGAAAGCACAAGCAACAAAATAAAAAACAGACAAGTTGGAATTCATTTAAATTAAAAGCTCTTGTGCATCAAGAGACATTATTAAGAAAGAAGGCAACCACAAAATGGAAGACAATATTTGCACATCATGTATCCAATAAGGGACTAGTATCCAAAATATATAAAGAATTACTACAGCTCAGCAACAAAATAGGCAATGAACTTGAACAGACTTTTCTCCAAAGAATGTATACAAATGGACAATAACCACATGAAAAGTGGTTCAGTGCCATTTAGTCATTAGAGAAATGTAAATCAAAATCACAATTAGAACTGCTTCAAACCCATTAGGATAGCTATTACTAAAAAAAAAAAAAAAATTAGAGAATAACAAGTGTTGGCAAGGATGTGAAGAAATTAGAACTCTTGTACACCACTGGTGGGAGTGTAAAATGGTACAGCCCCTATGGAAGACATTTTGTTGGCTCCTCAAGAAGTTAAACAGAATGACTAAATGATTCATAAATTTCACTTATAAATGCATACCCCCAAATAATTGAAAACAAATGTTCAAATAAAAATGTGTACATAAATGTCCATAGTAGCACTATTCATAATCGCCAAAAGGTGGAAACAACCCAAAGTTTCATCAGCTGATGAATGAACAGAAAATGTGTTATATCCATATAGTGGAACATTATTTAGCCATAAAAAGGAATAAAGTACTGATACATGGTACAATGTGGATGATCCTCAAAAATATTATGTTAGTAAATGAAGCCAGACACCAAAGATTACATATTGTATAATTTCACTTATGTAAAACATGCAAAATACATAAATCCACAGAGATAGAAAGGAGACTAGTGGCTTCCAAAGGCTGGAGGGAGGGGAAATAGGGAATGACTGTTTGATGCGTCTGAGTGAAATAGTTCTGAAACTAGAGAGAGAGATGATGATTGAGCAACATTCTGAATGTACTAAATGCCACTGAATTACAACACTTAAACATGGTGAAAACTTTGTTTTGTGTTGTGTGTATTTTACTACGATAAAACCATAAATGGGTGGGCTTTTAATAGTCTTTTGAGAGGTAGTGCAGTTCAGTGAAAACACCATGGATTTCAGATGTGATAAGATTTGATCTTGTATTTTCTCACTCTATGACCTTGGGAAAACCTCTTGGAACTGGATTCTGTATCTGGAACGCATGGTCAATTGGTGTTACTTCAAGGATTAAATGAGATGATATAACTGCAGTGTCAGCACAGACACTTGGCACATTTCAAGAGGCCAAGAGTAGTCATTTGGCTTGGAGAAGAAAGCAAAAAGGGACAAAAATGCAGGACAGTTCTTTGGGTCTGACCCAGTACTTCCCACCTACTTGCTTGTGGATTTCAAGAGTAACTGTAGCTTGTGCTGAGAGTGCAACATTCTGAGATGCCGGGGACTGGCTGGAATAGCCTGGGCTCTGTCCAGTCCCTTCCTAGAAACAAGATGTCCTTCAGTGCTTTAGCCCAGCACACCATGTAGCCTCTGGAGTGTAAAAACCTGTGTAGGCTGCTTTCCAGAGTCCGGCAGCTGTAGTGCAAGTGGGGCACAAGCAAAAGAGACTCCATCTGCCCCAGGCACCTTTCCTGAGTTCTGGGGGATGGCTTGCAATGAATCCTAGGCTCCCGTTGTCCTTACTGCTTAGCTGTAAGTGATAAATCCATTTGCTGTAACTTGTGCATGGATGGGTGTTCTGTGTCATTGGACTCAGACAAGTTGGAAACCAATGCATTGTGGACGTGCTTCACAATACATGTGGTAGAATAAAAACAGCAAGACAGGAGTTGGGAGTTCTCAGTGATTACAGGACTTGGTGGCCACCTTGGATCTGGTCCAACCCTGCCTCGCTCCATCACCTCCATCTCTAGCTGTGTTACTTTGGACAGGTTGCTTAATTTCTCTGAGCCTTAGTTATGTTAAGTCTAAGATTGTTGTGATAAACAAGACACTGCCCACAAACTGCTAGCATTATTATGTAAGCCTATGTAAGTCCCTGGCCTGATCTTCTTCAGTAATAAAGAAGAAAGGAAAGGAACATCCATGTAAAAGTGATAATGGCTTCTGGGATGGTGAACAAATCTTTTTTAAAATAAATCCAGCATTGGATACACTTATTTCATGCTCCCTTCACATTGTTCTGTCACCTACTTCTACAGGTATGGTTTCGCCCAGGTGCCAGGACCTTAGCCTTCCTAATGTGCTGTCTCATATTTGTGTGCAAGTCCATCTCCTGGTGGGCTTCCCTACCAGGTGCACCTGGCCTTGGTGGTCTCCCTGTGGGGCAGTTTCATGGGCCCCTCGATTCGGGTAGTGTGATGCTTGTTGGCTCCAAATCAGTTTTTACCTAGTGTTTCTGATATTCATGCACCATGGCAAAGGTGAGAATTTGGGCCCTGCACCAGGTACCAGCAGGCTACGAGTTCAGTCTCGGGGAGGATGTCTCTAGGATGGGTGCATCAATACCTATGCTGGGGCATTCATCCCTGCATCATGAATCCTGGCTTGTCCCATTCCCCAAGGGCTGGGAGGCACTGGCTACACCAGCTGTTGGGGTTTTCTCTTGTTTATCTCACAGAGTTTGCCCTTTCTTGTTTCTGAACTAAGGTAGTACTTTTAATATCAAAAAGATTTTTACTCCCACATTTTTATGAATTTACAGTGGGGTTCATTTTGAAGGAGGGGATTTGGGAATGTGCACAGTCTTCCTTGGAACCTGGAAGCCTGAAGTCAGCAGGGAAGGGGAGCCGTGGGAGGCAGGCAGTCAAGGAGTGACAAGATCGAAGGGGTCACTCAGGAAGAGGACTGCACTGGCGTGACCCTGGATGTTCAGGGATCAGAGCACCTGCTGCATACCCTCCTGCAGCAGGTCAGCTGTTTCATCCTAAGTCAGGGGCCTCTTCCATGGCTTGTAAGCAGTTCTAACTTCAGAGCCATGTGGCCTAAATTAGACTTGCAGTCTTTCCCCGAACCCCTAAGTCTTCCATACAGATTGGGCTCCACAGTGTCCTTCCAAGTGAAATGGCGAAAAGCAAAGAATTTAACAGGATCTTCGAGCC
The DNA here is from genome assembly GCF_000001405.40 of Homo sapiens. Lineage (NCBI taxonomy): Eukaryota > Metazoa > Chordata > Mammalia > Primates > Hominidae > Homo > Homo sapiens. The sequence goes on along the minus strand of NC_000007.14, from coordinate 47,247,393 downwards.
ACTTTTGCATGACACAGCTGCTTCCTATTTTGGCTGCTCATTGCTCTTGGATCTGATCCATTTGTACCTTCTCCTAGCTGGCTTGGGACCACAGGGTACTGCAGAGAATGCATTCCCCGAGCTCCTTCGCCAATTCATTTCTGGATATGTAGTTATATACAGTCATGCACTGCCTAACAGTGTTTCTCTGAACAATGCATGTGGTGGTCTCATAAGATTATAATACTGTATTTTTACTGTATCTTTTCAGTGTTTAGGTATGTTTAGATACATAAGTACTTGCCATTGGTTACAATTTCCTACAGTGAATAGTACAGTAACATGCTGTGTAAGTTTTTTTTGTTTTGTTTTTTTGAGATGGAGTCTCACTTCGTCACCCAGGCTGGAGTGCAGTGGAGCGATCTTGGCTCACTGCAACCTCCGCCCTCTGAGTTCAAGTGATTCTCCTGCCTCAGCCTCCCAAGTAGCTGGGATTACAGGTGCCTGCCACTGCACCCAGCAATTTTTTTTGTTTTTGTCTCTTGGGTTTATCTCCTGGCTCATGCATAAATGTGTGAGTGTTTCCTGGGGTGCAGGCAGGACCATGAATAACAACAATTGCACTCAAATCTCTGTGGCAGGGAGCACCGGCCCAGATGAGCAAGTGTCACACACAGGGAAGAAGACATCAGCCATCTCTGAGACTGGCCATCCATCCAGGAGCATTTCTTGGGCTCAGAGCAATGGTGACAGGGGTCTCAGTCACTTGGAAAGACAGTACCCGGGATACCTTGAGACACCTAGCAGAGGCTGCTGTGAGGCGAGGCAGGAGTGGCAGACACACCACAAGTGGCCATGGGCTTGTGGCAAGAAGTGGACTGCCAGGCCCGTGTGGCCTGGCTTGCTGGTCGAAAGTATTCAGGGCATGCTGGGGGACTCTGGGAATAATCGTGGAGCTTTGGAGAACTGGGATCCCAAACCATTGAGTTAGACAAGTTCTGGGAACCCTGGGTTATACAGAGCAGGGGTATGTGTAGGGAGAAAAGGGCCTGAGTCACTGTCCCTTGCAGCTGAGACCTGGAGAGAGGGGCAGGGAGAGAGCATGGCTCCTACCAGAGCAGGTCCAAGGCCTGGTCCCTGCCTCCTCTTCCCTGTACTTTGGAATTATTACTCTGCAGGGTGGGCTCTGCTGGCAACAGATGCTTGTTGAGCACCCCATCTCTCACACCACCATCCCTCCTCTCCTTGGTAGGAAAACTGGGAGCCCCTTAACCCATTGCCTTCCAGGAAGCTCTCTAGACTACAAGCATCCCCAGGGCAGCTCCGGGATTTTGTGTAAGAAGGCACCAAGAGGATAGTCTAGAAGCTGAATTTACATGGAAGACATTTTAATCATTATTCGGAGTGTCCTGGGGGCTTCAGGCAGTTATGAGGAAGGAGCATTTCCATATCTTTCAGCTACTCCCCCCAACGGCACACCCTGTCAGCTGGCTGCATGTAAGACTCAACCTCCTACAGCTCCAACAAGAAGTCCTGGAGGAAACCATGTTTACTGATGCGCTTATGGGAGAACAATGAATGGCTGTGTTGTGATGCTGGGGTTTCGCCTCTGGTTTGGCTGTGACTTGATTGTGGGTTTACACAGCCTCATGCCCTCTTTTTTCGTCTGTAGAAGATGAAGGTTGGGCCAATTACCCTGTGAGGGGTGCCCCCACACATTCTGCTTTGCACGGAGATGAGTGTGGCCACACCAGGGCCATGGGGGACGTGGGACACCCGACAGGAGGCCCCATGAGGTTGGAAGAGCCCTTTGAGCAGAGCACCCATCGATCTTCCCAGAGCTCCTTGGGGTATGGAATTCCATTGCAGCGCAAATTATTTATTTTTTTGTACTCACAAGCCATAATTTGCTAATGAACCAAATTCTGTCCCATGTGGTGCTTGGCTCTGTTGACACTGACAGCTCTCCGAAGTCATTAGCCCAGGAACCATAAACAGACTCTTCTACTTTTTCTTTTTTCTAAAGCTTTGGTGACAGTCATTTCTCGTTTCTTGGACTCTTCCCATCTTCAGAAAAGAGCTAGTTCTCGAAAGCCACCAGTGTGTGGTATTCTCTTAAGTATATATTTTAAGATGCCAGAATTTTCTATCACATGATAAAAACAATAAGTTGGAAATAGTGAGGGAAAATGTCTCACTATTTACTTTTAATGATCAGTTTCTGCAGAGTGTTGATTGCTAATGCAGCCAGTGAAGTCAATTTTGAAAGTTGCTTCTGCCGAGACAGAGGAGGCATCTGAGAAAAGCTTAGGCCACCTTAACTTTCTAAGTGGCTTCAAGGAGATAGTCAAGTGGACCTATCCTGGGAGGGGCAAGGGCCTGTTCTTCTGGTGTCTGGTTGGGTTGTGTTTTCATCAGCTGTCATTAGTTGATGCAACAGAAGCCAGCCAATGCCACTGCTCACCAGAGGCATATTTCTTAGCTAGTAGGGACTGTCAGTGGCTCATGAGGGCAACTCTGTTCCTTGTGTCTTGCTCCACACTGCTACATTCTGAAGCTGGTGACACAGGGCTCTCTGTAATCTGGAACATCCTGTGCTCACAGCAGAAAGGAAAGAAAGCAGTGGGACATCCCAGCAAATGCCTCTGATAGCACCTGCCTGAATTGGTCATGGCAGGTCACAGGGTGAGAGCTTTGTCCAGGGCTAGGAAACATCCTCTGTGCACGCTGTCCAAGAGGTCGTGGGTGAAGGGTCGGAATCCGCTCACGCTGGGTTGCACTTCTGGAGGTGTGAGTTACAGGTGCAGTAAGATAAGCTTCCCTGTGCTCTTTCAGGCGCTATAGGCAGAAAAGCCAACATAAACTGGCTTTAAAAAAGAGGAAAGAATGCAAAAGGAAAGAAAAGAAGAGAAAATAGAGGTGTACCCACCTCAAAGGTCATCCTCCTTTTTGTGTGGTTTGACCAGGAGCTCATTCCCATCGCTGGTTCAACACTATTTGCACAGGCCTGCCTCAACAGATCTTTACTGCGACAATGCCGGCTACAGCCCTGCAGGCCCGGCATCCTCTCAGCTTCTCCAGAATGAGAATGGCTTCCCCAGGAGCTCAAGGTCTCTTTGTGTCTTGATGATTCTTACCTGGTCAGAGGAGTGATTGGATCGACCAGGCCCATCACCACCACTGCAAACCATAATTGAGAGTAGGGAGTGGTCTCCAAGAGGAACATGGAAGAAGGGGGAGCATCCTGGGTGCCAAGATGGAAACCCACAACTAGGCTTCATAGTTCCTGAAGTCACACAACCCTTTTGAGACCAGGCAGGTCACTCCTGAGGGATTTTATGCCTCATTCTATAAATAGTTGCACTGGATACTAGGAAGCTCATAGCCAACAATTTTCTTCTAATTTTATTTTGAATATATTCTTATCATAAAACATCCGTGCAATCCACTTAGATCTCAAATTCCACTTGACCACTACCCATTTCCACTTGTTTTCCCGGTGGTTACCATTATTATCAGATTAGTGTGCATCTTTTGAGGACATTTTCTGTTTGGAAGCAAGTATGTAGCCTACTTCATGCAGTGCTCAGAAAGAAAACCAGGAAAAATTATCATGAAAAACTTGGAGATTTGAGGTGATATCCAATTTCTTTACATGTATTTCACTTTATTTTTATTTCATTTTATTTAATTTTTAATTTTTATTTATTTATTTTTTTGAGATAGGGTCTTACTCTGTTGCCCAGGCTGGAGTGCAGTGGTACAATCTTGTCTCACTGCAACCTCCACCTCCCAGGTTCAAGTGATCCTCCCTAATCAGCCTCCTGAGTAGTTGGGATTACAGGTGTCCGCCACCACACCCAATCAGTTTTTGTATTTTTAGTAGATATGGGGTTTCTCCATGTTGGCCAGGCTGGTCTCGAACTCTTGACCTCAGGTGATCCACCCACCTCAGCCTTCCAAAGTGCTGGGATTACAGGTGTGATCCCTTGAGAGAGAGACAAGGAGAAAGAGAGAGGAGGGTGGTGGAAGGGAGGGAGGGGAAAGAAAGGATGAGCGACAGAGCCAGCTGGCTCCAAGGGTTTATTTTTAGCCACAGTGGGGCAGGTGGAGTCTAGGGAAACGGCCTTGTCATGAAGCCCATCTCTAGGTAAGAGGAATGGGCAGGGTTAAGTCATGTGGCCCCAATAAGACAAAGGAGGGGTGGTGTTTAGGAGCAAGGAGAGGAGGCCGTGGAGCCATCTATATTAGGAACTATCACTGTGCCTCACTCAAGGAGCTCCTGTCTCTGATAACCACTTTATGCATATTTATTTGAAAACAAATTTTTTTTTGAGATGGGGTCTCGCACTGTCGCCCGGGCTGGAGTGCAGTGGCGTGATCTCAGCTCACTGCAACCTCTGTCTACCATCTTCAAGAGATTCTCCTTCCTCAGCCTCCCAAGTTGCTGGGATTACAGGTGTGTGCCACCACGCCCAGCTAATTTTTGGTATTTTTAGTAGAGACAGGGTTTCACTATGTTAGCCAGGCTAGTCTCAAACTCATGACCTCGTGATCTGCCTGCCTGGGCCTCCCAAAGTGCTGGGATTACAGGTATGAGCCACCACGCCCAGCCTGAAATTTTTAAAAATGTCAAAAGGACTGCATATGATGACTTTTTGTGTGCTGCCTAATGTTCACCCAGTGTGTCAGCAAAGTGTTAGGTCTGGGTAAAGCTTCAAAAGGTTCATGTGGCCTTGGAAATTAAATAAAGTCATAACACCTTTGAAATGCTTACTTTTTTCATTCGATCATAACAAGAAACATTTTCTTGAGTTAGTTCTGAACCCTAAAATTAGGGGAGAGATAGAGAGAAGTGTCTGGTAGGATATATAGAATTTTTTGTTGGACATCTAATTTCTCTGCTTTTGAAAACTCATGGGGAAATTGATGTTTCTTCCATGTCTCTGCTTCTCCAGAATATTCCATTATGAGTATCTTCAGAGAAGAACAGAGGTATGAAGACACTTGATTTAAAATATTTAATTGTGGGCTGGGCGAGGTGGCTCACACCCACCTGTAATCCCAGCACTTTGGGAGGCTGAGGTGGGCGGATCATTTGTGGTCAGGAGTTCGAGACCATCCTGGCCAACATGGTGAAACTTTGTCTCTAATAAAAATAAAGAAATTAGCCAGGCGTGGTGGCGGGCGCCTGTAATTCCAGCTACTTGAGAGGCTGAGGCAGGAGAATCACTTGAACCTGGGAGGCGGAGATTGCAGCGAGCCGAAATCGTGCCACTGCACTCCAGCCTGGGCGATAGAGTGAGACTCAGTCTCAAAAAAAAAAAAAAAAACAAATAAAATGATAAATAAATAAATAAACAAAATAAAATATTTAATTGTGGAGGAAGAAAGGGGAAAGGAAAAATTTTTAAAAATCAAATGCAAAAATATGGTCAGTTTAACTAAAGTTTGGGAGTACCAAGATGAATCTTAGACAGAGCTCTGTTTGTGGGCATGTCCAGAATTTCTGGAAAGGAAGACAGATGAACAGGAATTTCCTGGCCAGGCACAGTGACTCACGCCTGTAATTCCTGCACTTTGGAGGCCAAGGCAGGTGGATCACTTGAGGTCAGGAGTTTGAGACCAGCCTGACCAACGTGGTGAAACCCCATCTCTACTAAAAATTAGCCAGGGTTGGTGGTGCATGCCTGTAATCCCAGCTACTTGGAAGGCTGAGGCAGGAGAATCGCTTGAACCTGGGAGGCGGAGTTTGCAGTGAGCTGAGATTGCGCGATTGCACTCCAGCCTGGACAACAAGAACGAAACTCTGTCTCAGAAAACAAAACAAAATGAAACAAAACAAAACAGGGGTTTCCTATCTCTCCATGGCTGTTGCTCTGAGAGAGGCCAGTTCACCTGTTCATCTTCGTCCACTGCCCTGTGTGATCCCTGGCCCATGGCAGGCATCGGAGGGCTGATGCACACATCATTATAGCTTTTTAGCCTTCATAACAACCTTGCTCCTTGTGACCCATCTGGGCCTCTGAAGCTGCTTTCTTTCTCATGATACATTGAGTGGAGACTTCCAGGCAATTGCCTGGAGCGTGGGAAGGGAGTCTCAGGAAGCACACTTCTTAACAGAGATAAGGAAGATTTTATTTTTCTGCTTGAAGGCAATAACAAGAAAGATAACAAGTACAGCTGCTGCAGCTGAAACTTTGTCAACACAGCTACTATTGGTGATGCACTTACTGAGGATCCCATGCTAGAAAAGTGACTTGAAATGATGGTCTCTTCTGGTTGTAAGGGGAGGCCACTGTGGAGGAGAGGTGCAGGCAGTGACTGTATTAGTCGGCTGGGGCTGCTTGATGAAGTACCGTAGACTGGGAAGCTCAAACAACAGACATTTCTCACATCCTTGAGGCTGGAAGTCCATCAGCAGGGTTGGCTCCTCCTGAGGCCTCTATCCTTGGATTGTAGATGCCACTTTCTCCCGGTGTCCTCATGTAGTCTTTTTCCTGTGCACACATTCCTGGTGTCTTTCTCTCTTCTTATAAGGCCACCAGTCCTATTGGATTAGGCCCTACCCTTATGATATCATTTAACCATAATTACCTCTTTAAACATTCTATCTGCAGATACAGTCACACTGGGGGTTAGGGCTTCCGCCTGTGAATTTTGGGGAGCACACAGTTCTGTTCCTAACAGTTATCAAGCAATGTGATGGCTGCTGTGTTGGCGGGAGTGCAGGGCTTCCCTGAGCCTAGGGGAAGGTGACCTATGGAAGATCATTGTCCTCCCAGTGGAAAGGAAGGAGCAACCATTTCAGCAGGGGAAACATGGGTGCTAAAGTCAAATGAAGGAGCCTGGGCTGCAGGGGAGTGGCTGAGATGGGGTGAAAATGGAGAATTGGGAGGGCTTGGAATGCTACCTGTGGAGCATGGGGATGCCCCAGAGTGTAGTAACCAGAGATGAATGGAAATAATCAGTCTGATGGCTGCATGGACGCATCTGAGTTTTCTCTGGGCCGTGCATGTACTGCTGCCAGGCAGTGCCTCAGTGCAAGCCCACAATAAGCCCAGAGACGGCCCCAAGCTTGGCAAAAAAAACAAAACAAACAGAACAACCACCTCAGCTCTGACCCTGTTTGCAGCACCAGGACCATGATCCTTGGAAACTCTCAGTTGAGAGCAAAGGCCTTGGTTCCCTAGCAGCTTTTCAAAGAAGTTGCAAAACACTGAGTATGCTTTTGGGAACACAGGCCTCTCCCACCTTTCCTTTTCTGTAAACAAAGAAATTGCCAAAGTGGAAACTGTCTCCCTTATCCTTTTTGTCAAAGGATGATAATGTGGAGTATCCATCATTTTTATTTCATGTGGTGAGCGACCACAGAAAGACTCACTCCTTTCTCCATTGCCCAATGCACTTTTGTCCCCAACAACAATTGGGTCTGGCATATACTAATGTTTATTTCAACTTCATAATTAAAGAAGAATGTTAAGTGTGCAACTCAACTTTATTCCAAATGCTGGAAAGATCTGGAACAATGTAGCCCCTTGAGAAAAGCTTAGGGAGGGAAAAACACATTTACAAATAAAAATTTGGAAATAACAGAGCATCTTAGTTTTGGATACATGCAACTTTCCTAGATTTTCTGTTTTTTTATTTTTATTTTTACTTTTTTAAATAAGGATCCTCTGAAAATCAACAAAAAGAGGTCAATCGTAGTAACAATTTCAGAATAACCATTAGAAACCAAACAAAAACATCTGGAGATGATGGATAAGATGATACAATAATCTGTAGAAGTGTCATTTTTTTTTAAAAAGTGAAGGATGAATAAACATAAAAATACAATCACACAATTTTCCCTGTATACTTATGCCAAATTACAACATTAACCTAGTATTTTACAGAGAGAGGAGTATTTCCTGCTCTCTATTATTCCTAGCATCTCATGATGCTGCCATTGCCCAGGCAGATTCTGCATCCTGGTCTTGCTGATAAGCAAGCTGAGGAATTCTCCCCAAATCCCAGGGTCGCTGGGTCTGGAGCTCACTTTGGAATCTGTCTTTCTGGGCTGCAAAGCATGTGCCCCTCCTTGCAGCCAGTTCTACCCTGGACAGCCTCATTCTTCTAGGGAGGGAAGCAGGCTCTACGCATGGTGGCGGCAATGGGAGAGTTCCAGGCCTCCTGGTGACGTGGGGAAAGGGGGAGCTTTGGCTTGGGTGCTGCCCATTCCCTGCTCAGGTCTAGGGTTGACTCCTGTGTGGTGACATCTGCCACACTCTGCTGACCTCTGCCTGGCCCTTGGAGATGGCTGACGGGGGGCTACAGCGGAGGGCGTCTGTTGTGATGGGGAATGTCTCAATAAGGTTACAGGCATGCAGGGTGGCACATATTTTCTAAAGTTGTTCTCCTTGCTTTCTCTGTGGGTGTTCTAGTTGAGAATATTAGCTTCTCGTGGGAAGTGAGGAGCTATAATTCAGCCTACTTGATGGAATCATAGCACCATTAAGAAGCCAAAACACATCTTCCTCAAATGAAAAACTGCACAAACATATTCGTATTTGAACAACCATAATGGGGTTCCTGGTCAGTCTGTATATACCTGTAGTGCGGGGTGGTTGGCTAGAGACCAGCACTCCCACCCACCTCCAATTAACATGAATGGAATAATTCTCACGATGACGAAAGCACAAATTCAAATACAAAAAAGTATTAACCCTCCAACTTACCCCGACATGCACTGCTGCTCGCAGCCCCTCCTGCCTAGCCTTTTGCTTCAGAGGTTAGAGTCTCTTTAGCTCTCCTTGCTACTAGGATGACATGGGACTCAGTTCTGGTCCATAAGATGCAAGAGAAAGCCCACAGAGGGGACCCAGGAGCACTTTCTTGTGAGGCTACCTTGTCTACCTCTCCCACTGGCCTTTTGCCCATCTGCCCCGTCTCTACCTTTAAGGAGGGTGTGATGCCTGGAGGAATTCTGGTCTGAGACAGCTTTTCAGTCTTTTTTCGTTTTTCAGATATTGACAGCTTGAGGTATACTGGTCAAGTATTTTGTAGAGTGCCCACCAATTTGAATTTGTGTAATGTTTTTCTCATGATTAATCTGGGGGTATGGATTCCAGTTTTCTTATAATTAGTGTCATTTATATCATTGCATTTAAAAAGAGTTCCACCAGCTTTATTGAGATATAATTGATAAAGAAAAATTGTATAATTTAAGATGTAAAACGTTTTGATTTACATATACATTGTGAAATCAAACTAATTAATGTATCTATCACCTCACAGTTACCTTTTGTAAAAAGGGTTTCTTGCAGACAGCATAGAATTGAATCTTATAATCTCTGTCCCGTAATTGGTATGTTTCTATAATTTACAGTTAAGAAATCATTGAGATTTAGATTTATTATTTTGTTTTTCTGTGTGTTTCTTCTGTTTTTTGTTTTTGTTGCTTTTCCTTGATTTTTCCTTTCATGACTTCTTTTAGGCTATTTGAATATTTTTGGTATGCTATTTAGATTTATCTGTTGGCTTTTAGGCTATCTCTTTTTCCTTTTTTTAAAAAGTGATTACTCCAAAGATATAACACATACCTAATTTCTCACTGTCTACTTAGAATTAATACTTACCATTTAAAGTAAAATTCAGAAGTCTCACAACCATATAGGTCCCTTTATCCTCCCCACTTAATGTTATAGTTGTCACATAAAATGTTATAATTCCTTCTGTCAATGATTATATACATTTTAAAGAGTCTAAGAAGTTATAGTCTATTATATTTACACAGATATTTTGATTTGTGTTTTTTTCCTTAAATCCTGAAATTATGTTTCCCTCCAGTGCCATTTGCATTTAGTATGAAGAGCTTTCTTTAGCATTTCTTTTGAACAGATCTCTGGTAACAAATTCTCTTAGCTCTTCTGTATCAGAGAATGTCTATTTCCCTTTCATTCCTGAAGGATATTTTTACTGGATGAGGAATTCTGAGGAATATTCTGAGGAATTCAACGCCTTATATACTGTTAGGAATGTAGACAGCAGAACTTCCATAGAAGGCCCAAATAATGTGATTGAGTTGATCTCATCAAAGTCTCTTGGAGGCCAAAGGCACACATGTGTAGTGGGGTAAACATTGGAAGTGACATCTAAGCCAATGGGATGTCCTCTGATCCTGTGCTTTTTCCTATATCAAATGAAAATAATGACTTCACCTCATTGGGCTATCATCATTATTGAACTAGACAACATGGTGGATGCAGCTGGCAGTTGCTTGGTACGTTGTATGGGCTAAAAAAAATGTATGTAATGTCATTTTATTCAAGGCAGTTGACAGCCTTGTTTGTTTCTAGTGAGCAGATCCACTGTTGTAATGAGTACATGCAGTTCTTGTTTTTAGGTCATTGCCTCCTGGATATAAATCCATCTGGAGATATGATCGAAAGCCTTCCAGGAAAATTTCTGTCCACATGTTATGATAGAAATTGCATCAGTATCGGATTGACCACAAAGGAATATTGTACCTAGAATAGTTCTCATTTACTGAAGATAATTGAAACTTTGACTATATTGAAATAGCCTGGGAATCAGTTCAGATTTCTCTCTTTCTGGAGTTCTGGCTCTTGTTATTCTGGAGGGAAATACTGCAAATATAGCCTATTATGAAATTTCAACACTTCAGGGTACAGTAATTGCTTGGTTTGTGGAAAAATAAACGTCTTCAACTCCCTTGATACCTCTTGCTTTGTTCTTTGGGCTCCCAGATGAGCTTATCCCTCAAGCAGAGAACAAAGGTCAGATGACCATACTGATCTTGTCTTGACTTCTCAGTGTTTCCTGTGGTACAGCTGACCTCTGATTTCACTGGATAGATTGAGCAGAGTTAGGAGATAGAGTTTCATTACTGCAGTTCAATCATCACCCATCTTAGGGCATGATTTTTAGTAATTTCTCATATCTTGATGGCCTTGCTCTCTGCAGTGTCATTGTGTCACTATTTGGAGCTTTCTCAGAAGAATAAGTGCAATGATTTCATGCATCAATACAAATATTATAAACAAAATAACGCATTTATAAAATATTGGACCTAAGTGGAGAGGTGAAGTGTCTTACACAAAGTTACCCAGTTTGTTGTTCATGAATGTGGTTCAAATTTTTGGATATTTTTTACCTTAAGGTTACTGCCATTGGAGCATTCTGCCTGCCCACCCCCCAGCCTTCTGGTAATCAGTAGTCATTGCAGTACTAATTGTAATAATATAGGTAAGTGCGAGATTTCTCTGCCTCATGAAAAAAATTTGGGAAACTTTATTCGTAGAATAATGTATACTGGCACAGTTGGAGCAAACTATGTGTATCTTAAGCATAACTCAAAAGGACGTATTTGACTAAGCCTTTTATAAGAGAAAAATCCCTTCTCCCACTGAAGACTGTACAATGTCTTAGCTCATAACAGGACATAGAGGTATTACAGGAAGTTGTAAGTCTGCCAGTAAGACTATGCTTTAAATTCAGAGTAGTTTTGAACATAGGAGATATATCTTAGGTTTTTTCCCATGTCAGTTTTAACAGATCAGACAAATGTCAAAATTGTGTAATCTACAGGTCATCTAAAAAAATTATTGCCTATGTATTTATTTAGTCAGTGCGCTTACTAATTATCTAGTGCTGTATTTTCTACTAGGCACTAGGGACAAAATGGTGAGCAAAAGAAGATGACACTATTTATACCCTCATAGACTCTTAGGAACTGAATGTTTGTGTCCCTCCCTGCACACCCCTAATTCATATCTTGAAGCCCTAACCCCCAGCATGGCTGCACAGTTGACCTTCAAACAGCATGGGGGTTAGGCGTACTAACCACTGCACAGTTGAAAATTTGCATATAACTTTTAACTCTCCCAAAAACATAACTACTAAAAGCTTACTGTTGACCAGAAGCCTTACTGATAACATAGTTGAGTAAGACACTTTTTGTATGGTTAAATGCATTACATACTGTATTCTTACAATGAAGTTAGCTAGAGGAAAGAAAATCTTATATGAAAAGCATAAGGAAGAGAAAATATATTTAGTACTCATTAAATGGAACTGGATCATTATAAAGTCATCATCCCTATCATCTTCATATTGAGTAGGCTGAGGAGGAGGAAGAAGAGGAAGAGGAGCAGTTGGCCTTGCTGTCTTAGGGGCAGAAGAGATGAAAGAAAACCCATGTGTAAGTGGACTCACACTGTTCAAACCCGTTTTGCTCAAGGATCAACTGTATTTGGATATGGGGTTTCCAAGGAAGTAATCCAGGTTAAATGAGGTCCTAAGGGTGGGGCCCTGATCTGATAGGATTCATATTATAAAAAGAGATGCCAGAGAGCTTTCCATCTCTCTTCCTCCACATTAGCACAGAGGAAATGCCATGTGAGGACAAAGGATGAAGGCAGCCATTTAGAAAGAGAGCCCTCACTAGAACCTGACTGCACTGGCCCCCAAATCTTGGATTGCAGCCTCCAGAACTGTATGAAAAATAAATTTCTGTTGCTCAAGCTGCTCAGTCTGTGTTATTTTGTTATAGTAGCCGAAGCTAACGAACACATGGACTTACAGTCTAGTGAGGAGGGCTATGAGAATGGGCCAGGAGAGTTGAGAGGCCAATAGAAACTTGAACAGCTTTCACTATTACTTAGATAAGAGGCAATTAGGATGAACGCAGTTGGAATATTTTTGAGATAGATTGTCTTCTTCTCTTCAACCTATTGGGGAGGAAACTGAGGACCAAGCCAAGCACTAAGAAGTAGCACAGTTCAAAGCCCATTGCCTTTGCACACTGTGGTTCTTAGAGGAAAAAAGATTGCATTTCAGTTGACTATAGCAGCTACATCCATCATTTCTTCTCCTTTTTACCCTCCAATTCCATCACATAATTCTCATTATATTTGTCAGGGTACAAATGTCCAAAAATATTCCCAACAATCTTTCCTCCTAATGTGTTTCCTTATTAGTCTTTTTTACTTTATTAGAAATATATGAAATGTTTAAACTAGTGAAAATAGTCAACACTTTGATTGTCAGAAACTCCAAGTAACAAAGAATTCTAAACATCAATGCACCCAATACAGAAAGAAAACTGGAAAGAAAAATTGACTGTTCAAAAGCAAACACCATCTAAATTGTGGCTTACTTTGGCACAGAACGAGTTCATGCTGTGATTCCTTTAAATACTTTTCACTTGCAAGGCTGGTTCAGTTTGCTGAACACAACATCACCTGATCAGAAGCCATGTGAAGCTTACTTACAAGGGCAGATAGATGGAAAGGTGGGAATTTTCTGGTCTAATATTATTTGTGTTAATGGGAACTTGAATGTTTTTAATTGTTCACTTCTCATGTAAGCCTATTTTACTTTTCAAATCAAGATGCATTCTTTGTTGTATTTTGAATATTTCTTTGATTTCTGCAATTGATGTTTTAAATCTACTCAGCTTCCTGTTCCACATTGAAAGTACTTGAAAATGAGCACACGAGAGTATCAGCGTAGGTCTTGCTAAGTCTCAGTAAAACATGCATAATCTATATTTCTAGTTGAATTTAAAGTCCTTATAGCCAAACATATTTAATACATCTTCTAACTCAGGGATCAGCATCAGGCCCAATCCAATCCACTATTTTGTTAAATAAAGTTTTCTGGGGCACAGTTACGCCCATTCACTTACATCTTGTCTGTGGCTGCTTTTGCACCTCAGTGGCAGAATTAAATAGTTCCTATAGAGACTGTATGGTCCACAAAGCTCTCATCCTTTACAAAAAAGGTTTGCTGAACCCTGTTCTAACTAGAAACATTTGAGAAAAAGCAAGAGAATCTGAAGGCCACATAAGAGTGGCAGCTCTTTTCCAAATGTCTCCATTACTGTGTAGAGTCTTTACATACTTTAGATCATTTAATTGTTTCTTAGAAGAGTTCTGTTGAGTGGTTGTTATTAGTCCCATTTTACAGATGAGCAGACAGGCATAGGGTATGACCCAGCCCAAAGTTATCTAAACAGTATGTGGCAAAGGCAAAATTAAAACCAGGTTTTTCTGGTTTCAAACTTCAAGTCTGTACACTAGAATACAAGAAGGCCTTCTATGGGTATTGTATGGACACGTTTCCGAGTTTACTGTGGGAAGAGCATGGATGTTTTTCAAACCATTTTCAGTGGGATGACATGCACCAGGAGATGTCAGTAGTGTCCCACGAAGGGAAGATAGTATATGAACATGAGACACTGGTGTGGGCACCACACTTACTAATTAAGCTCTAAATTTATATTATATCATATATTGCATTTCAGAATTTCAACACATACTTGTGTTAGTTTGCTGGGACTGCCTTAACAAAGCAACAGAAATGTATTCTCTCAGGATTCTGGCCGATAGAAGTCTGAAATCAACACGGCAGCCTTGTTGATTCCTTCTGAGACTGTGAGGGAGAATCGGTGCTGGGTCTCCGCCCTAGCTTTTGTGGTTTGCTGGCAATCTTTGGCATTCCTTGGCTTGTGGTGGCATAACTCTGACCTTCACAAGGCATTTTTCTTGCCTCTATGTCTGTTTCCAAATTTCTCCTTTTTATAAGGACATGGTCATATCGGATTAGGGCCCCTTAGGGTGGGCTAAGGACCACCCTAAGGTCCTCATTTGAACTTGATCATCTGCAAAGACCCCATTTCCAAATAAGGTCACGTCTACAGGTACTAGAGTTAGGACTACAACATCCATGGGGAGGACACAATTCACATCCTAATGCTTATTTTTGTGTATAATCTAAAAATCATACTAAGCAACTACATTTCAGTAGTTTCTTGCAGCCATTTATTTGTGGGCCCTTTAGGTGTCTGTTCTGAGCATTTATTTACCTCTTTGCCTGAGGTGAGGGATGGTGACAGTTCCTAATATAGGTGGCTCCATGGCCTCCTCTCCTTGCTCCTAAATACCACCCTTCCTTTGTCCTGTTCATTCATTCATTATTATGAAATAAGGAATTGCCCTGGAATCGATTACTCTGGAAGCACTGCTTTAGGGGGATGAAGCCCATCCTCCCCCTTTGGCTCCTCCCCAGCCCTTCCTATTAGTTTTCTGTGTGTTCTCTGGCATTTGAGGGTGGTCCAGGCCCTTCCCCAAGTCCTGGGGTGATTTGGAGTTCATCACGTTGTCCACCTGGGTGAACAGTAGGTCTGCAGGCCCCATGTGCCTCCCTGCTTCCTTCCAGCCAAGGCTGAAGGAGGGTTGGTCTGTGATTTCCAGAGGGCTGACCACTCCCTGGCCCTCCATTCAGCTTATGCCTGCCATGCCAGTTCCGGGAGTGGGGAGGCATGAGGATTATGCCACTCCTGTCTCTGCTGATGTTCAAGTCTGTCACCATCCAGCCAGGGTCATACAGATCCTGGCTGGTACTCTTGGAACTATGCCCCTTAACCCATATTTCTTGCATGAGATCCTGCAGGGCTGTTTTCTCTGTGCCTTTGAGATGCTGAAGCTAAGCCTATCTAGATAGGTCTTCCAAACAGGAAGAAGATAGACTGCAGTCAAAGGAGTGACTTCAAATCTGAGTTCTGCAAGTGCATTTTCTAACTCTCAGTTTACTCATCTGCAGAATGGGTTTTGCAGGTGTAGCAATTTGTAGACTGAGATTATTATGTGTAAAGCAACTAACACCATTTTGAATCCAAGCAGACATTGACCAATGCAAGAGATGCTGCTGCTGCTGCTGCCGTGGACATGACTGCAATCTCTTCATGTCTCAGGAGTCTGCCCAGGCCTCATGGCATGGCCTGTTTCTGGCAACCTGCTGAGAGCTGCTGGATTTTCCTTTGTCCATTTGATGTTGCTGATTCTAGACAATACATTCTGTTACTGAGCTAAAATGTACATCTCCATACCTCACTGTTACTGTATGTAGAGACAGAGGTAATAAAGTGACTTTATCTTTTTTTATGGTAATGTCTGTCCTTTAAAATCTGTTCTCCAGGTTAACTGTCTCTAGCTTTTAAACTGCTGTGGCCATAAGACTGCAAATATTCTCCTTATGTGAATCTCTTTCCTCACACATCATTTGACATTGTTCTCATTCCATGGTGCTCCCAAATCAGTTTGATCTGAAGGGAGTGTGGGAGAATGAGCTCCACTCATCACCCTCCCCTGATTTATCCCACACCCGATCATCCCCAGACTTGGTGTTTCCAGGGCCACATAGCAATCTCTGGACATACTGATGGCTCCTGCCTTCTCCCTCCTCCTTGCTCCCTTCTCCCTCCTCCTTGGCTGTACTGGCAGCCTAAGTGGCCTTTAGTTCCTTGTTACCGCTGAGGGCTGCAATGCATGCTGTCATGGGTGTGTGCGAGGGCTTCTGTGTGACCTATAATGAGGAGTGGGATGGCTGGTTGTGCGGCAGATGCATCTGTAAACTCACCAAGTATAGCCCCGCTGTTGTGCAGAGCAGCATGCCACTCCACACTCACACCAGCAGAGCACAGGGACCTGTCTACTCACGTCTTCTCTATACTTTACACAAAGTAGTATGTTGTCATTATTTAAATGTGTGCTTTTGTTATTACTAATGAATCAGGGTCCTCTTCATATACTTGTTAGTTATTCAGGTTGCTTCTCTCAATTGTCAATTTTTATCTTTTGTTCACTTTTCTAATATATTTCTTCTCTCTCTTTTTTGATTTGTAAGAATTATCTGTGCATTTTAGATACTGTATACATCCAGAACCTAGATACTGTTTGCTGTAGGCTTTAAAAATACCCATCTCCCAGGAGACCATTTGATTTTTAACTTTGTTTTTGAAAAGATGTTTTCAACTTTGATGTAGTCGAATACATCAGTAACTACCTTCTGTATTTTTAGGTGGATTCTGAGGTTCTCTATAGTTTTGGTTGGTATTTCTATAGTTTTGGTTGGTATTTTAGTCTTTTAATTTTTAAATTTTTTGTTTCTTTTTCCTTTTTTTAAGAAAATAGAGATCGGGGTCTCGCTATGTTGCCCAGGGTGGTCTCAAACTCCTGGGCCCAAGCGACCCTACTGCCTCGGCCTTCCAAAGTGCTAGGATTACAGGTGTGAGCCACCACACCTGGCCATGGTTGGCATTTTAAATGTGTAGTTTATTTTTTATTCTACTTTCTCAGTTAAAAAAAATTAAAGTGTGGAGAAATGCTATTAATTTTGTATATTGCTCCTATTTCCATAAACCTTGCTAAGTTCTCTTGCTATTTTCAATAGTTTATTGATCCTCTTGTGTTTTCTATGTGCATGATCATATCATCTTCAAATATTGATGTTTTTGACTTTTTCTTTTTACCTTTTTGTTTTTATGATAAAGCTGTTTTCACTTCACTTTCTGTTTTCCCTTCTTCCTATTGGCTGGGAAGTAGGAATATGCAAACCTAGGGATGGAAGTCACATGGTGAAGATTGCAAAGCTCTCCCCTCAAACCTCACCTGATCTGGCCATTCACTGACCTGTGTGGTTTCATCTAAGAGCGTGGAAAATGTAATAAAGTGTGAAACTGTTGGCCAAAGTGGCTGCACCATTTTGCTTTCCCTTCAGCTATGAATTAGAGATACTGTTTTTCTTTCTTTCCCAGGCTAGATGGAGTGCAGTGGTGCAATCTCAGCTCACTTCAACCTCTGCCTCCTGGGTTCAAGTGATTCTCTTGGCTCAGCCTCCCGAGTAGCTGGGATTACAGGCTCCCACCACCATGCCCGGCTAATTTTTGTATTTTTAGTAGCGACGGAGTTTCACCATGTTGGTCAGGCTGGTCTCTAACTCCTGAACTCAGGTGATCCGCCCTCCTCAACCTCCTAAAGTGTTGGGATTACAGGTGTGAGCCACTGCACCCAGCCAAGCTCCTGTTTTGCTATATTCTCTCTAGCATGCAGTGTTGTCAGCCTTTTTTTCCCCATGCTAACAGATGTGCAGTTATATATCATTGTGGTTTTAGTTTTGATTTTCTTAATGTTTACAATCTTTTTATGTGCTTATTTGCCATTTGATATCTTGTCTTTGGTGAAATATCTGTTTAAATCCTTTGCCCTTTTTTTAAAAAGAAAGTTGGGCTGTTTTCTTATTGTAGAGCTTTGAATATTCTTTTTATATTCCAGATATAAGTCCTTTGTCAGATATATGACTTGCAAGTATTTTCTTTCATTCTCTGGCTTATCACTTTTATGTTCTTAACAGTGTCTTTTGAATCATAAAAGGTAAAATTTTGATAAAATCCAACTTAGTAATTTTTCTTTTGTGGGTCTTGCTTTCGGAGTCATATCTGATAACTCTTGGCCTAATCTAAGTTCACACAATATTTTTTTGTGTTTGATTCTAAAGGTTTTACACTTTACGTTTTCCATTTAGGCTTACGATCCATCATGAGTTAAGGAGTTGAGGAGGAGGGAGGCTGATCAGAGGAGGAGGAAGGCAGGACTGGAGGAGGATGGAGGCAGGTTTGGAGGGAGACGGGGTTGGAGGTGGAGGGAAGCAAGGTTGGAGGGAGGCGGGGTTGTAGGTGGAGGTGGGCGGGGCTGGAGGAGGAGAGAGGTGGGGCCGGAGGAGGAGGGAGGCGGGTTTGGAGGTGGAGGGAGGCGGGGTTGGAGGTGGAGGGAAGGGAGGTTGCAGGAGGAGGGAGGCGAGGCTGGAGGAGAAGGGAGGCGAGGCTGCAGGTGGAGACATCTTGGAGCTGGGCAGGGCGGTGAAGGGTTCGGAGCAGGGAAGGATGGTCTGAGGGAACCGTTGCCCAGGCCCCTTTATTGGTCACTCTGGTAGCCATGGTTGGTGAGAGAGGGCAGTGAGCCCCTCAGACATGTCTGTGTTCCAGCCACTGAACAAGTGATTGACAGGAGAAATACACAGGAAGGATTTTTGAAAGTGCTTCTTTGAAAAGGCTTATTGTTATAACTGTTAATTCTAATGAACAATTCTTGTTATTGATCTTATTACAAAGGTACTACAAGCAAACTAAAAGAAAAACTCAGAAAATACAGAAAAGTAAAAAGATCCCTTGTAAATTACTAGTCAGATTATTTATGAATATTGGTGTATATACATTATATATATAATATTTCTTATATATTATGTATTTTTCTCTCTGAATTCAAATATTTTAAGTAATTGTGATAACATATACATAATGTTTACCATGGTAGCCCGTTTTAAGCGTGTGGTTCAATGGTATTAAGGACGTTCCCACTGTTGTGCAGCCATCACCACCATCCAACTCCAGAACTCCTTTGTGACCTGACACAGGGCCGAGGGTACTGCCCTCCATTGCTCTGGATCTCAGGAGACCCAGTTCCAGCTGCAAACAGCCGGCCTCTGGGGCTCTGTGGGTGATGAGTCACTTAGCCCACAGGACCCTGGAAACACCCTCCTCAGCAGTCTCCTGGGAGACAGAGGCTCTCTCAGAGCCTGTGTCCCTGCCGGGAATGAGTGTTTCTCACCAGGAGGCAGGCCAGGGGACAGTTGTGGTTGGGTTATTTATTGCCATGACAGTTGAGCAGCGGCTGTGTATTCTCCAGGAGACATCCCCTGACTAGCGAAGGCCAGGGGCTCCGTGGCCTTGCCAACTTTCTGCCCTTGTTGGTATGGGACTCAGAGTTGCAGTGGGGCAGCAGGGAAGGGCTTCTCAGGATGATGAGGGCAGAGTTCATCTGTTCATCTCTTTTCCAGCTCCCTCCATCTCCCCGTAGGAGAAACAGCAGTGGGGGACCCTCCCCCGCAAGGAAAGAGGAAGCTGGAGGACTGGACTGGTGTGGAGCCAGGGCAATTCTGATCAGAGTATGGTGTCCTCTCTAGAATCGATCCCCCAGCTCAGGTCCTGAGGACATCTGGCAGGATCCTGGGAATGGGAGGGTCATGAGGAGAAACTGAGAATGTGTGTTCACAAACACTTTGCAAGACACAGGGGACCGTGCACCCATGTGTAACCTGGTGTGGAGAAGGAGGGCATTTCCTCTCCCTTCTGCAGGGATCAGGGCATGGGGTGGGGTCCCACAGCACCATCTTGGCACAAGCATGAGCTTTAGTGGATTCCCGTGTCCCATGGAGATGCCCTAGGAGGTGGGAAGGCCCAGCAGGACAGGGCAGCAGTGGCAGGAGGCAGCCCAGCAGCAGCTCTGGACATATCAGGAGGGCTCATTTATGGATTCTATTACAGGGTGTGGGGGAACTACAGTGAATTTCATCCTAAAGTCCTAGCACAAGAGAAGCAGAGAATGGAGGTGGTGCTTGGTGGCTGGCGAATTTGTAAGGAAGAATGCTGAAACACCCTACTGTGTTTCTGTGTGTACTGTGGTGTGGGTGTGCCTGGAGGAGGTGCTGGCTATTCTGTGGTTTCTCCGGGAAGAGTTAGGGACATACAGGTAATGCTGCTGGTATAGCCCTGTTTAATATCCCCAGGTTGGAGGTCTGGGAAACTTATGCTATTCTCCCAGCAAACCGGTGACGTAGGTCTTGCAGTGCCCACTTTGCAGATGGGGAAATGGAATCTAGGGGAAGTGACTTGCCCAGATGTGCATGGCTGGTCAGAGGCAGAGCCAAGGCTTGCCTTCACAGCTGTTCACTCTTGAGTTCACATTGTTCTACTCAGCAGAGCCCGTTTGTGTTTATTATGTGTATTGGCAGGTTCCTGAAAGGAGCGGCCTAATTCTCAGTTAATTGAATATCACAATTTGATTTCTTGGCTAGAGGTGAGGGATGAGCCTTAATAGGGGACACCTGGATATACTAAACACAAACACCTTACTCAGCTCTGTTTTATTGTTTTATGCCACTTGCTAAGTAACATTTTTAAATTTATTTGTTGCTATTATTTACTTTGGGCAGGTTACTTCTTGGGCTGCAGTGGGGGGAAGCCAGAGTCCCGGAGTCAAGTGAATATAGGATTAGGATTTAGTTTTAAATCCAGATCTATAATTTTGAGCATTATTTAAAAACTATCAATCTCAAGCCAGACATAATGGCATGCACCTGTAGTGCCAGCTACTTGGGAGACTGAAGCGGGAGGATGGTTTGAGCCCAGGAGTTCCAGGCTGCAGTGAACTATGATTGTGCCACTGCACTCCAGCTTGGATGACAGAGCAAGACCCCATCTCTTAAAAAACAAAAACAAACAAACAAAAATAACTTAGCGATCTCAGTTTCTTTGCCTATAAAAGGAATATAACTGTGCCTCCCTGGTATTAATTAAATGAGAATAGTTATGAAAAATCAAATCACCTTGCCCTAAAGAAATATTCAACAATGTTTGGATCCCTTCTCCTTTTCTCTACACTACTCTCCTTGAAATATTTTCTAAACTTTGGAATTTCCCTTTTAACTTCCCCTTTCCTCATGAGATCTACTCTATCTAGTTCTCAGGTGGCTGCAGGAAGGCTGGACTTCCTGTCCTGAGGACATGGCCTAGTGGGAGAGGAAGTGGCATAGTGAGGACTCTAACCCAGTCTTGACATGAGAATGACTGGGTTAGAGTCCAAGTTCTGCTATGGCCTGTGGTGTCTTTGGCCCTGGAAAGTCTGAATGCAGCAAAAAACCACCCAGCAGATACAGGAACAAAGCTGCCCCTCCACGGCCACACCCACCAGGGGCTGAGATAAGCATCTGCTAAGTTATAAGACAGAGGATGAATTTTAAGTCTTAAATGGGGAGAGGAAAGTCAAGCTGCAGGGCCAGGGATCAGCTTAGAAGATGAAGTCTACCATTGGGCTCAGCTGGAGAAGACTGGAGCTGCAGTGACTCAAGATTTATACATCTTCATCAGGGATGGGTGAGCATCTGAGGTTGTGACTTGTCCCAGCTTCCACGGAGGGAAATACAGCTTTTACCCAAAGCCCTATAAGTTGCATGTTGTTCTTCTTGCATCATTCAGGAATGACGAAAGCACCAAGATGAAACTCTGCTCATAAGAAATAAAGTAACAAAAGACACCCAGATTGGGAAGAAAGAAGCAAAATTCTATTTTCAGATGACATGATCTTTTATTGAGAAAATGTTAACACACACACACACACACACACACACACACACACACACACAGACACAGACACAAAGGCTATTAGAGCCAATAAGTGAGTTCAGCAAAGATGTAGGATACTAAACCAACACACAAAAGTCAATTATACTTCTATGTATTATGCATGAACAATCTAAAATTGGAATTAAGAAAACAATTTCATGTACAGTAACATAAAAAGGAATGATACACTTATGAGTAAATCTAACAAAAAAGTGCAAGATTTGTGCCCTGAACACTGCAAAACATCATTGAAAGACATTGAAGAAGACCTAAATGATGGAAGGACACCTTGTGTTTGTGGACTGGAAGGCTTAATATTGTTAAGATGGCAAAACTCTGCAAATTGATTTGCAGATTTAACACAATACCTATCAAAATCATAGGTGCCTCTTTTTTTTCTAGAAATTGGCAAGCTGATTCTAAACTTCATGTGGAAATGCAAGGAACCCAGAGTTGCCAAAACATTTTTTTTGTTGTTGTTTGTTTTATTTTGAGAAGGAGTATCATTATGTTGCCCAGGCTGGAGTACAGTGGCGCGATCTTGGCTGACTCCAACCTCTGCCTCCTGGGTTCAAGCGATTCTCCTGCCTCAGCCTCCTGAGTGGCTGGAATTACAGGTGCGCACCACCATGCCCGGCTAATTTTTGTATTTTTAGTAGAGCTGGGGTTTCACCATGTTGGCCAGGCTGGTCTCAAACCCCTGACTTCAGGTGATCCACCCCTTTAGCCTTCCAAAGTCCTGGGATTACAGGTGTGATCCCAGCAAAAACAATTTTAAAAAGAAAGAACAAAGTTAGAAATCTCACACCTCCCAGTTTAAAAACATACTACAAAGTAATCAAGACTGTTTGGTATTGGCATGAGGATAGACATATAGATCAATGGAATAAACTTGAGATTCCAGAAATGAATCCATACAATTGATTTTTCAACAAAGATGTCAGTGTAATTCAACAGAGACAAAAACTGTCTTTTCAACAGATGGTGCTACAACAACTAGATAGATATAACATACAAGATAATTACATTGGGCTTCTACTTCATGCAAAAATTAACTGAAGACCTAAATATAGGAGATAAAACTACAAAACTTTTAGGAGAAAACATAAATGTGTGAATCTTAGTGACCTTGGATTAGGCAGTGCTTTCTTAGATATGACCCCAAAGGTACAAGCAACAATAAAAAAGTAGATATATTGGACTTAATCAAAATTTAAAAACTTTGTGCTTCAAAAGATACTATCAAGAAGGTAAAAAGAAAACTCACAAAATATATTGGGGGAAATTCACTCCCGATATTTCACATAGGTTCTTTGCTATGTTCCCTAAGTGTCAGCTGGTCTGAGAAATAAAGGGAAAGAGTACAAAAGAGAGAAATTTTAAAGCTGGGTGTCCAGGGGAGACATCACATGTCGGCAGGTTCCGTGATGCCCGCCAAGCTGCAAAACTAGCAAGTTTTTATTAGTGATTTTCAAAAGGGGAGGGAGTGTATGAATAGGGTGTGGGTCACAGAGATCACATGCTTCACAAGGTAATAAAATATCACAAGGCAAATGGAGGCAGGGCGAGATCACAGGCCTGGGCAAAATTAAAATTGCTAATGAAGTTTTGGGCACGCATTGTCTTTGATAACATCTTATCAGGAGACAGGGTTTGAGAGCAGACAACCGGTCTGACCAAAATTTATTAGGCGGGAATTTCCTCGTCCTAATAAGCCTGGGAGCGCTACGGGAGACCGGGGCTTATTTTATCCCTTATCTACAACCATAAAAGACAGATGTCCCCAAAATGGCCATTTCAGAGGCCTCCCCTTAGGGGTGCATTCTCTTTCTCAGGGATGTTCCTTGCTGAGAAAAAGAATTCAGCGATATTTCTCCTATTTGCTTTTGAAAGAAGAGAAATATGACTCTGTTCCACCCGGCCCACAGGCAGCCAGACTTTAAGGTTATCTCCCTTGTTCCCTGAACATTGCTGTTATCCTGTTCTTTCTTCAAGGTGCCCAGATTTCATATTGTTTAAACAATTTTTGCAGTTAACGCAATCATCCCGGGGTCCTGAGGTGACATTCATACTCAGCTTATGAAGATGATGGAATTAAGAGATTAAAGACAGGCATAGGAAATCACAAGGGTATTGATTGGGGAAGTGACAAGTGTTCATGAAATCTTCACAATTTATGTTCAGAGATTGCAGTAAAGACAGGCATAAGAAATTAAAAAAGTATTAATTTGGGGAATTAATAAACGTCCATGAAATCTTCACAATTTATGTTCTTCTGCCATGGCTTCAGCCGGTCCATCCGTTGGGGGTCCCTGACTTCCCGCAACAAAAATGAGAGAAAATATTTGCAAATCATACATCTGATAAGGGTCAAGTATACAGAATATATAAAAAATTCTTACAACTCAATAATAAAAAGACAAATAACCCGATTTTTAAATGGGCTAAGGATTTGAATACACATTTTTCTAAAGAAAAAATTCATGGCCGATAGGGACATGAAAAGCTGCTCAACATCATTCGTCATTAAGGAAATTCAAATCTAAACCACAGTGAGATATCCCCTCACACCCCTTGGGATGGCTAGAATACAAAAGACAAACAGTAACTAGTATTGATGAGGATGTGGAAAATTAGAGCCCTCATTCATTGCTGGTAGAAATATGAAATGCTGCAACTTGGAGAACATTCTGGCAATTCCTTAAAAAGTGAAGTATACAGCTACCAAATCACCCAGCAATTCCACTCTAGGTATATACATAAGACAATTGAAAACAAATGATGACACAAAATCTTATACATGAATGTTCACAGCTGCATTATGTTCACAATATGTGAATGCTCACAGCCGAAATGGAAAAACAACTTGAATGTCTATCTGTTGATAAATGTATTTAAAAAGTGGCATAAGATGGGGTATGATTCAGCCATTAAATGGAATGAAGTACTTACACATGCTCCCACATGGATGAACCTTGAAAACACTATGCTACCTGAAAGAAGCCAGGCACAAAAGTTGCATCTGTATAATAATTCCATTTATATGAAACAATCAGAATAGGCAAGCCTATATATAAAGAAGTTAGAGTAGTGGTTTCCAGGGCCAGGAGGGAGATAATGGGACTGACTGTTGGTGGGCAGGAGTTTCTTGTCAGAGTGATCTAAGTGTTCTGGAGTTAGATAGTGGTGCTGGTTCTACACCTTTGTGAATATCCTAAATTCACTAGATCACAAACTTTAAAGCATGAATTTCATGGTACATGAATAATTATATCACAGTTAAATAAAAAAATTTCCTAGGAAAGGAAGATGGAAATGTTTCAAGGAAAGACTCAGAAGTTAAACTTGAGCCAAATTCCTTTCTGATTAATCTAGACATCGGATTTGACTAGTTTTCAAGTGAAAAAGAATAAATTGAACATGTCTTTAAAAAATTGAACTTCTGTATCAGCACAGTGTGCTGCCCATAAAATGTGTAAAGGGAAAGCTGTAACCATCTCTTCCATGACTACTTTTCGAAAGAGAGCATGTGTTTCTTTGTCATTCAGGACAGAAACACGTAAAGCCAGGGCTATTTCTTTGGGTCATTGATTCTGTATTGGGTACAAAGCTGTTCTTTGCTTTTTAAATTCTATGCTTATTAATGAAATTCATGCTAAAATATAAAAGGAAGTAGAACAAAAATCATAATATCACTACCCTGAGACAATTACTGTTAACACAACGGTAAATTTCCTTCCAGTTTTTTCTATTCTTTTTTTTTTCTTTACATAGTTGGGATTACATTGAATATGCAATTCTGCTTACTTTGCTTAATAGTATACCATAAGGATTTTCTAGACATTTAAAAACTTATTATAACTATTATTTAAGAGGCTGCAGGCTATGCTATCTGGTGGGTGAATATTTTCTGATTATTTATTACTTAATAAAATGTGCATAATAAAATGTAGCTTCAAAGTAAAAATATATATCTGTTAATTTTGTGGGTGACTGCATTCAGCTGGGTGGGTTCTTACCTGAGATCTCTCATGCAGTTGCTCAGATGGTGGCATCATCAGAAGGTTGAACTGGGCTGGATGTTCACTCTCATATCTGATGCCTCAGTGGGAATGGCTTGAATAGCTGAGGGCCAGCCAGGCATCACTCCCTCTCCATTCAGCCTTTCATGTGACTGCTTGGGCTTCCTCACTTCTTGGCATTTTCAGGATAGTCAGATGTTGTATATGACAGCTGGATTCTACCAGAATCCACATTCTAAAACACAAACTGAGGTGGATACTCCAGTTTTCCTTATGACTTAATCTTGGACGTCACAACAACCACTTCAGCCTCACTCTATTGGTTACACAGGACTGGTCAAAATTCACTTGGGAGATGATCATCCAAGGCTGTAAATACACTGAGGCATGGTTCACTGGTAAACTGTCTTTAGAAACTAACTACCATGTAAATTTAGTTTGATACCATTATTTTACTGTTATTAATAAGTTGCAACAAAATCTGTGTAAATCTCGCTTTATATTTCTGCTTAGAAACATACTTACAGGGCAGTGATCTAGCTGTGAATGGATTCATCAGAAATTGACTATTAGTTCTGTCTCAGATAGCATATTAGGCATTAGGGATATGAAGACAAAGATGAAAGAGATGTGATTCAGGTCCTCAAAGGATTCACAGGCTAGACAGACACACATGCATTCGTTGTAATAAAAAGCATGCTCCATGAAGCTGGTAACGACATATCTCTGATTTCCTGTTGAATCTCTGTGCCTAAAAAAGCATCAGTGAGTACATTCTCAATAAATCTTTACTAAAAAATGAATATAACAAAGCAATAATAGTTTATATGAAGCTGTGGCGGCCCAGATGGAAAAGTGAGGTATCTCACACAGAAGATAACTTTCATAAAGTTATTGCAGTTGAACGTAAGTTAAATGGAGAGAGGAGAGAATAATGTCCCATGAGGAGGGGATAGCCATGGTACAGATTTCCCCATATTTTTATTACCCTTTATAATTTCTCCTCTGATGACTGTCTGTTTATGTTTAATCTGTGTGTGTGCACATGTGTGTGTGTTTCTTTTAGATATTAAGGTGTAATACATTTTGTTTGAGATTTCTCTACATAATTAGCGCTTTTTTGTGACCTGAGTAGCAAATGTTTTTTTGAAAAATTTTTGGTATTTTATTTGCAATTAAAAGATGTTTAAAATTCTCACGACATCCAATCTATCATTTTGTTCCAATTGTGGTTAATTTTATTATTTTGTGTTTAGCATGCCCTTCACCCACCAGAAAATGGTCACTTCTATAGCAAATTCTAGATTGAATTCTTGAACCTATTGGAAATTTATCTTGGAAAATAATATATGAACCTATTTGTTTTTTTGTTACAACTTACAAGTCATTTTCTTAACGTAATTTGTCCTAGGCCCCATTTTTTCTAACGAATCCTTTATCATATAGAATATATCATTATACATGCAATAATATTATAGTATATGTTAATTTATATATATATATATATATGTCTTCTCTGTGCCCATTACCCTGTTCTTTCAAAATCTGCTAGAATGAAGGAAGGATCTGAGGCTTCTCTTTTGTTTACTGTATTTTTTTTTTTTTGAACTGGAGTTTCACTCTTGTCACCCAGGCTGGAGGGCAATGGCATAATCTCAGCTCACTGCAACCTCCTCCTTCTGGGTTCAAGTGATTCTCCTGTCTCCACCTCCCGAGTAGCTGATAGTACAGGAGTGCACAACTACGCTTGGCTAATGTTTGCATTTTTAGTAGAGATGGGGTTTCACCATTGTTGGCCAGGCTAGTCTCGAAATCCTGACCTCAGGTGATCCGCCTGCCTTGGCCTCCCAAAGTGCTGGGATTGCAGGTGTGAGCCACCGTGCCTGGCTTCTTGTTTACTTTTAAATCCTTTTCACAAGGAAAGCTGAAACAATGGAACTTGCCCTGTGATTCTAAGAAAATCCCGTGTATGAGACCTGTGTGACAGCCACTCCTTCCCTCCAGTCCTGTACAAATGACCACAGCACTGGCAGATGCAGTCTGACTTTCCTATCCCTGGATAATCCATTTTTCTTAAGGTAGTTTGTAGAAGAAAGGTGAGGCCAGAGGTTTTCAGCTCAGCTCTTGTCCCCAGCTCCAGGCTTATGCTGGAGGGAGAGCCAAAATTAGAGAAGGAGTATCTACAGAGACATCTAGCTTTGACACTCACCCTAAAAATAAGCTACTAAATGTGAGAAGGGGCTGAGTCAAATTAGGGGCAGCACGCAGAGGCCTTGGGGCTGCGCTCTGAGCTGGGAGTCTGTGCAAGGAGATGCAGCCTTCAGCGATATGGCACTGTCATGCTTCTACCACAAACAGCATTCCTGGAATCAAGACTGAGGTTCCTAGAAATCAGTGGTTTGGGGCAGGCTTCCTTCTTGCTCCAAATAACTATAATGGGTTCCAGCTGCCTGTGGCCCAGTTGCTTCATGGATGTTAGGGTGGAGAGGCAGGGATGGGGTGAGGGGCACAGAGGAGCAGTGCATCGTAGCTTCACACTGTCACAAAAGGTGATGAAGGGCTGGGACCAAGCCTGGCTGCTCCCTCCAGGTAAGCTGTGGGAGTGAAGGAAGGCTCGGCAAACAGTGGGGGTTAAGTTTCCTTTGCCCTCCCCTTGGCAGCTTGCATTCCTTAATCAAGGCAGGCATGGCGTTAAGTCTGCTGGGACACTGGCAACACCCAAGGAGGAAGGAGTGGAACTGGAAGGAGGAAAGAGGCTCACCTCTTTGGAGAGTGAGCCCTGGGTGAAGCAAGCCCAGAGCTTGGAGACACACAAGTCTCTCTTTTGAAATTAGGGGTGGGACGAGGGGATTATGGAGCAACTGCAGTGTGCAAGATCCTGAGCGGGACACTGCCCAAGCCCTTTACCCCTCTCCCTCCACCCATGAGGCATGGGTCATGATGTACAGATCACGGTTGAGGAAACTGAGGCCCAGAGAAGTTAGCTACCTAGACCAACAGGAAGGAGGGAAGTGATGGGTGCTCCTGCTGGTTGCCTGTCACCAGAGCTGGAAAGCCACCTTATTCAGATCTGGGGCCTCCCCCAGTGGGCTCCTTGACAGGTGTACCTCAGCTCCAATCCCAGATGCTCCTCTGCCTCCTCCCTACTCATGCTTACTTATACTGTTTGATCTTAGCTGGTAACACTTCTCTTTGCCACAGACATCTAAATGCCTTGCAGGCTTATTGTCAAGGATGAAATGACTAGCCAAAAGGGTTTGCATCATGAATGACCCCTAAGTAGGATTCTTGAGAGAAGAGAGAAAGAGACCCCCCCCCATATTGTTCTATATTGTTTTATACTCAGTAACTGTTTTAAGAAGAAACAAGGAAGTGAAACCAAAGGCAGGTAGCCCGGCACCAGGCCCCAGACCCAAAACCAGACCCCAAACCAGGCCTGGGCCTGCCTGAACTTAGCCTGATAGTTAAAATTCAACCAATGACCTAGCAACTGATGTTATCCATAGATTCCAGACATTGTATGGAAGGACATTGTGAAACTTTCCATTCTGTTCTGTTTCACTCTGATTACTGGTACATGTAGCCCCTGTCACGTACCCCCCTAGGTTGCTCAATCAATCACGACCCTCTTATGTGAAACCTTTAGCATTGTGAGCCCTTAAAAGGGACAGAAATTGTGCACTCAACAAGCTCGAATTTTGAGACGTTAGTCTGCCAATGCTTCCAGCTGATTAAAGCCACTTCCTTTACTACCTCGGTGTCTGTGGGGTTTTGTCTGCGGCTCATCCTGCTACATTCTCTAAGCGGGAGGCATCCTTGTTGCTGCTTTTGCTATTTTTGATGACATTAATCAAATCTGAAGGGGTCAACCAGGCAGTGCTGCCTGGCTCTAAAACCTGTGGGAAGGTGCACTCTCAATCCTCTTGCTAGGGCCAAGCCCTCCCCTCTCTCACTGACCATTGGGCCCATGGGGGTACCCCATGGCTACACTTGCTTATGGGTTAGGACAAGCATGAAGTTTTGTGAAATCACAGAAGGTTCTTCAGGGCCATAGCGGGATGAGGTCACAGAGGGACAAGAGTGGAAGTCATTGACCTCTCTGTCCAGAAGTGAAAAACTTCTGTAAAGGACCTCTGATACTGAATTTTTAAAACGGCAACACTATTCGTGGTTTCTTAGGAAAAGGCTGGAGGAAACAAATGTCCAAATACTGTATGCAAAAATGTCCTAGGATAATGGGCTGAATGGGACACTTCTGGCTACAACTTCTGTTGCCTGGTGTTGGTCTTCAAGACTGCTGTGAATTTCAGTCAATATGTGTTCAAAGTCTCCCCAGAGGACTTTTCCAGAGGGAAAATTAATATGCTTACTTGGGAAAAAGGAATTTGTAATTTTTATTTCCCTTCTTGTTCAACTGGTGAGAAACTCAGATTAAGAAGCTTTACTTGACAGATTATCTTTGATGTAATGGTTACTTTATCATCTGGTGACCATTCAATGGGTGCCTTCTGGCTAGAGTTCATGGTTTGGAATCATATTTTCTTAGCTTGGAGTTTTATAATAGAAGACTAAAGGAAACATGAAAACAGAAAACAAACACTTCTAAAAGATAATTCTGAAGGAGATAAGAAGCGGGGATGAGGCCAGTACCATGGGGAAGGCGGCAGTTTGGAACTGGCTAAGGCAGAGACACAGCAGGAGGCAAAGAAGCAGGAAGCACTCATGGGAGGAGGAGACAGGACTGTGTTTCACCTCCCAGAACAGACTGAGTATGGTGACGCTCAGCAGATGTGTTCAATGAGCTTGAGGAATTGGGATCAGATTGAGTTGGCAGAGAATACATTCTATGACTTTATATTTTGCACTTATGAGGGGCTGAATTATGTCTCCCTGCCAAGCCAAATTCATATGTTGGAGTCCCAACCCCCCAGGACCTCACAATGTGACTGTGTGTTTGTAGATGGGGTCTTTAAATGTGTGACTAGGTAAAAATGAGGTCACATGGCAGGCCCTAACCCCATAGGGCTGTGCCCTTGTAAGAAGAGATGAGGACACAGACACACATGAGGGAAGACCACATGAGAACACAGGGAGAAGATGGCATCTACAAAGCCAGGAGCGAGGCCTCGGCAGAAAACGCCCCAGCCGCCCCTTGATCTTGGACTTCCGGTCTCCAGAACAGGGAGAGAATAAATGTCTGTGGTTTAAGCCCCCAGTCTGTGGTGCTTTGTATGGCAGCCCTGACTGACTAAGACAGTGATATAAATTCATTCATTATCCTTGAGAGTGATCAACTTTGGGCCTGGGGAATGGTAACCAGGTTATAAAAGATTAATCCTCATCTCATGTTTTTTATTGAGATGAGAAGCTGGGTAACAGCATCTGCTTCCTGGATATTTTCTTATCTCCTCTCTCCTTTAATCAAATAGTACACTCTTGGCACGTTTTACATCGTTCAGTTTCTTACAAGGCTCCCAGTCTAGACCTGGTTCCAGCATTGGCTTGGAAGCTCCAGGGGACAGGCTGTGGAATCAGCCCAGATGCCTCTGCAGCTGCTGAGGTTCTAGAAACTCCTCAGGCCTCAGCTGTCCACGGTCTCAGGGAGTTCTGGGGCTTTCTTGACCGCACATCTTCACTCTCCCACCTTGCCCGTTCTGGGCTTGGTACCACGGTGCTGCTCCTGGGGAGTAACTGGGGACTAAGAATCTCTCTCAGGCTCCCGGCCTGAGACTGCAGCCGTCTGCCCTGCTCCTGGTCAGACTGCAACCCAGACTGCAAGCAAGGGTGGATGGGTGTTTGGGTACTCAGTCCCTTCCAGGGAGCACAGAGATCAGACCCATGATATCTTGGTCGTAACAACATGGTTTCAGCGGCTCAGCACCAGCCCCCTCCACTTGGCAAAGAACTGGAATGTCATGGGAAAGAAGCCCACCTTGAAGAGCTCTGGGAGTCTCAGTGCCCAGTGGGGTGGGGGTCTCTTGTGGGGGTACACAAAGTGGGGGGATGGGAAGCCAGTGGGAGGCAAGAGACACTTACAACTGGGGGCTTCGGACCTTCTGTGAACATGAGCCATCTGGGGACATTTCAAGATCTGGGGCAGGAGGCTGGGCGGGCGCAGGAATAACACTGACTAGCAGCCTCCCTAGGGGACTCCCCTGAGAAGCACCGCCTCAGCCAGTCCACTTTTGCACAATCTCTTCTCCAGGCAGGGGCTTCATAACCACTCTTGCCTTGTTCCATGAGGATACATCTCTGTGATTTAAGGATAGTACCATGTATAAAATAGACACTGAATTTAAATGAAAAAATACAGAAGATAATAAGAATGCAGTTTATGTTAGCATGTGTGCCAAAATTCTTGTCCTGCCTTGGCTACAGCCACATTCAAGCCCTAGCTTTCACATGAAAGAGACAAACAGACATATAAAAATAAATAATAAAAATAAATTTTGAGAAAATAATAAGAGAAATAATCATGAACAGAAATAATAAAGGAAGTAATCATTAAAGCAAAAGTGCTATCAGAATTGAGTAGAAAAAAATAGACTAAAATAAATGATGAAAAGGAGGAACAGTTAAAATACAAAATTTAAAAACCAATGCACTAAATAAACGTCTCCACAAAAGCAGGGAAAGATGACTCAAGCTAGTGAGACAGAAAATTGGCCTAGAAACAAATCATAAAAGAAATGAAATTCTAGGACAGAGGACAGAGAAAAATACCCATGGAGCTGAGAAAGAGCTAAATGAATATAAGGGTTATAAACAAAGGCTCATAACTATGAAGACACTGCTTGTCATGAATAGATAGTTAAAAAATGGAAAAAATGAAAGCAGTAAACTTGGAGATTAGCAAGATGGATGGAAAGAGGGAAAGTGATTAAAGACAGCATAAGTCAGAACCCCAGAATATATGAAAGCATGGCAGCGTTGCAACGGTTTGAGTGTATTTAAAGCAGAATAAATACATCCTCAAATATCTGGAAACAAAACCAAACAAATTGAAAGAAAAAGTCCCCAAGTTGAAAGCCTGCAACTAGAGGGTGTCCTCAGCTGGATCCTTGAGTCAGGACAGCCGGACGGAGCCAGCACAGAGTCTGAGCCAGCCTGGACTCCAAGCTCCACCTGGCACCTGCAGACTAGATGGCTTCCCAGTCATGCTTGCGACTGTCAGAGGGAGCCATCTTAAGTAGAAAAACACTTGCAACCTCATTTTTCTCTGTCCTCTTAGCACAGGGACTATGGTTAATTTTGAACCAACTTGGCCAGGCCATGGTGCCTAGTTGTTTGCTCAAGTACTAGTCTAGATATTGCTATGCAGATTTTCTTTAGAGGTGATTCAATTTCAATCAGTAGACTTTGAGTAAAGAAGATGACCCTTTGTAATGTGGGTGGGCCTCATTCAATCAGATGAAGACCTTGAGAACAAAAATGGAGGTTTTCCGAAGAAGAAGCAATTCTGCTTCAAGATTACAAGATAAAATCCCTGCCTGCTGGGTCTCCTCTGCAGATTTCAGATTCAAGGCTTTTACCTGAATTTTTAGCCTGCTGGCCTGCCCTAAGGATTTCAGACTTGCCAGCTGTCAAAACTTTGTAAGCCAATTCCTTAAAGTAAATCAATCTCTCTCTCTCTCTCTCTCTGTCTGTCTGTCTGTCTTCTTATCTGGAAATGTGGCCATAGAGCTTTAGGAGGTGCCAAGGCCCCATCACTCCTGGTGGGTGCAGCTGGGTGGTGAGTCTGGGGTCCCAGGCAGTGAGACCCTGTGTTGGTCAGCAACTCCTGACCAGTGTGGAGGCCCGAGTATACATCCTGATTCAGGACCTATGAGCTTACGAATCCTCCTTGTCTGAGCTGCCCTTTTCTTATCTATAAAATGGGGAAGAAAACATTCCTGGCTTCGAGGGAATTTGTCAGGATTATCAAGACTATGCCTGATACATGTGCTGGATGCCTAAAAGGCACTCAGTGGAAGGTGCTGTGTCTTGTAGTTGTGGGTTCTTTTCCCAGCACAGCGTAATGAGATGAAATCACGGAAAGTTCAAGTAGCAGGGCATGCCAACTCAAGGTGTATATTAATTTGTGTTCTTTGAGAAGAAGCCCATTGGCCATTCTTGGTGACATAAGAGATTACTATTGCATTTCTTGCCCTCAGGAGTAATCCCAGTGGGGAGGTCTCCATTTTTCAGGGCTATAGGACCCTTCGTGGAATCAAGAAAAATCGACTTAGGGGAAACTTTGGTGGTTTTCAAGTAAGATGTGGTGTAGCCAGACAATTCAAAGGTGTTGGGTTCCCCTGGATGGGATAGGAAATGGGGTGTTGGGTTCCACACGTTCTGGAAGATGACCTCACACTCGTGGACAGATCCCAGAGAATGCCTGTAGTGTCTATCACAAGCAGAGGGACTCTGGGAGTAGAAGGAATACATCCAATTTGGAAAGAGATCAGTGGGTCTTCCCTCCGTCTACCCGGGGCAGCAGTGTTTGACCTAGGATGGAGGAGGACACTTGAACAAGGACACTTGGCCTTTAGAGATGCTGTGGTCACAAGAGAGAGCCCCACACTCATCCAGAATCATGTAAGCCCTGGGGTTCTAGTGCCACTCATGGAAATCACAAGAGAGACCTCACGAGTGATGGGTGCTCTTGCTAACCTTGAAAAAGAGGAGCTCAGAACTGGATTCTTTTCAAGTAACAGAGACGAGGCATCCCTGAGTGTACATCTCCTGGCCCTGGATACTGAACTTGGACTTTAAGTTCTCCTACCCCAGTTTCTCAGTAGTAGCGATTGTCAGTATAAACTCCCACACTGACCTCATGCTTGTCGATGGATGTGGGTAGAAGTGGCTTCTAAATGCACTTATCATTTTGAAGATGAGGGGACCAGGTTGGGAGTAGAATCTTGGGTGACTGTCAAGTCCTTACAAAATGTGGGAGAGTAGGGAAGGTAAACCCAAGCCAGATGCCTGGAGACGCAGCCATAGACACTAGACTGGACTCTACAGCAGCAAGCTAAACACCCTCTGGCACCAGAAGGGCTGGGCACCAGAGAACTATGAAGACACCTGGAGGAGGAAGGAAGCACAGGGGAGATTACAGGTCACCCTTGTGGACAGGTGAGAATGTGGTCAGGAGTGTGTCAGGCAGAGTTAAAGGTGGAGGCTGGAGAAGCAAAAATTGGATTCTCTGTGTTGAAGTTCTCTGTGCCATGTCAACTGGGATTTAGGAGGCTGGAATCTGCAATCCCTAACCACATGGCAAGATCTTTTTCAGAACATTTTTCTTTTATGTTACAGTGCTGCTACTAAATCAATAGAATGACTATTTAAAAATATTCCTTTTCTTTCAAGTGAATACTAAGTGAAGGCCACTCTGTAATCCAAATAAGTAAGTTGCCAAGTATGTGAAAAGCAATATTTGTCCTGAAACCAAAATCACAAATTAAAATGACAAGAAAAGAAGCGTTAGAGAAATGTTTGACACTCAGCATGCTCATGTCGGCAGAGACTGAGCCAAATAAAAATGTAAATCACTCGTGTTTGTGGTAGAGCTCCCTCAAACTCACTTGTTCTCTTCTCCACTCCTTGCTGACATATGGAAGAGTCTCCTCCCCAGACCTCATGCAGGCAGACACTGTCACGTGAGTGCCTCCAGCCACCAGGCTGTGAGCAGAGTTCTCAGGTGTCACTTCTGACTCTTATCTGCTGTGGCAGCCATGGGGCCGCATGTTGGGATTGAAACCAAAAGTGAATTCTAAGTTCCCCAACCAACAGAATGGACCCCTTGTCCCAGGCAAAGAGATTTTGAAGAAACCTGAAAAACTAGTTCAGGCCATGATGGGCAGGGTGGTCAGGCATGCCTCATTATACTCTCCTCTTTTTGGAATTCAAGCACAACTGACCAACGTTAACATTGAAACAGAGATCTTAAGACTGACAAAGGAGACTCTTCGCAGCAATAAGATACCAACATGACAGATAGCAGGACCTGAAAGAAATCAAATATTTTACCCCAAAATATGTTTCTTTAACATATTTTAAAATGGCCCTGCAAAGCTGTCTCTTGTGGGGGAAATTTACATTTTATAATCCTGAAGAAATTAGCTGAGAGTCTAGTATCCTTAAGGGTCTGAATGACAACCATTTGCCATCTATTGCCTCTGAGGACAGCCACCTATGAGGCTTCATCTGCATAATAAGAACCTTGGTCTCCACAGGCTTTATCTTAACTCAGGAGCTCCATTCTATTGGTTCCAGATCCTTAGATAATAACTTAACTCTTTCAACCAACTGCCAATCAGAAAAATCTTTGAATCCACCTGTGACCTGTAAGCCTCCGCTTTGAGCTTTCCTGCTTTTCCAGACAGAACCAATATATACCTTACATATATTAATTGATGTCTTATGTCTCCCTAAAACATGTAAAAACCAAGCTGTAACCCAGCCACATTGGGCATGCTCTCAAAACCTCTTGAGACCGTGCCTCAGGCCATAGTCACTCCTATTTGGCTCAGAATAAGCCTCTTTATTTTACAGAGTTGGAACGACAAATGTATACTTTGGAAGTTGCCTGGGTCTTCCAGGCACTGCTTGAACAGTGGCAGCGCTGTGCCATCAGGACACTCCTCTGCTTTAATTGGAAGTGGATAAGTGAATTTCTGTTGTGCAAAGCCAAAGGGATATTGGGGCTTCTTTGTTATCAAGCATAAACTAGTGTACCCTGACTAATGCAGTTTGACGAAATGTCAGGGATTTGTATCATCATCACTATTAACTACTTAATTGAAAGTCATTCTGTTTGTACTCCTTATGTACTGCCTCTTCTTTATTAAATAGACTCCTTAGCAAGACATTCAGGGTACTTTGCACTTTGTTCCCAACCTACTTATCTTTTGTCACTCCCAATGCTAACACTCCCTGATCGGCTCTGCTATGCACCTCCTCTCTACACATGCATTCTACTTGTCATTCTTTGGATACCATCTCTGTTTTTTTTCTTCCCTCCATGCCTTTACTCCATGCCTGGTTCTTAGAATGGTGTCTGTAAATGCTACATGATCTACTCTGTTTACAGAAAAAATACTTCACCTTCAAGGCCAAGTATAAATATCTGTCCTTCTTTGAAGATCTCCACCACTCTCAGGATCAGTTCCTCAACTCTCAGTGCTCTCTAAGCTGTTGAGTTACAAGTCCATCCTGGGACTGATCCTACTCCATGATAGTTGGTTAATAACCGATTTCTCTTTTTCAATCTACAGTGGTCATTGCAATAAAATAGGGATGTCAATAAGTGTAGCCTGTACCTGACCCATGAGGCATTTAATGAGGGTTAGGTTTGAAGATTTTCTTTTCTTAAATTTTTAATTTTTGGTAAGCTACAGAAAAATGATAGTCATGGTTGTTATCATTAGTTTTAGACCTCCTTTCTACCCT